>NC_000002.12:87803761-88109144 GCF_000001405.40 Homo sapiens
ACCTGAGTGAATGGATTAAGAGGGAAACTAACTTATTATGATTAAAAGTTCACAGTCAGGTGTGGTGGCTCATACCTGTAATCTCAGCACTTTGGGAGGGCAAGGCAGAAGGATCACTTGAAGCCAGGAGTTCAAGACCAACCAGCCTGGGAAACATAGCAAGACCTTGTCTTTACAAAAAATTTAACAATGTAGCCAGGCATGGTGGCAGGCACCTGTAGTCCCAGCTACTGAGCTGAGGCTGAAGCAGGAGAGGATCACTTGAGCCCAGGAGTTCGAGGATGCAGTGAGCTATGATCATGCCACTGCACTCCAGCCAGAGCAAGAGTGAGACTCTGCCTCCCAAAACTACATATCGAAAAATTTTAGGCTGTGCGCAGTAGCTGACACCTATAATCCCAGCACTCTGGGAAGCTCGAGCCCAGTTCAATGTTACGGTGAGCTACGATTACGCAACTGCACTCCAGCCTGGGTGACACAGCAAGACTCTAATAGACACACAGACAGATAAATTTTAAAGTTTCCATTAAAAATAAGAACTATTGGCAGGGCGCGGTGGCTCACACCTGTAATGCCAGCACTTTGGGAGGCCAAGGTGGGCGGATCATGAGGTCAGGAGATCGAGACCATCCTGGCTAACACGGTGAAACCCCATCTCTACTGAAAATACAAAAAAATTAGCCAGGCGTGGTGGTGGGTGCCTGTAGTCCCAGCTACTCGGGAGGCTGAGGCAGGAGAATGGCGTGAACCCAGGAGGCGGAGCTTGCAGTGAGCCGAGGTCGTGCCACTGTGCTCCAGCCTGGGCGACAGAGTGTGAGACTCCATCTCAAAAAAAAATAAAATAAATAAAAATAAGAACTATCAGTTACTTGAGAATTTCTATAAGAACCTTTTAATGTTTGTATTACCTAGTGAACCTCACTAAATCCATTAATTTTCACTAATCCATTCCTTATGAACACAGAAGTTTCTACTGAGCCAATATTAGCATTTAACATGTGAACTGTCTATCAACGGTGTTTTTAAAAGATTTACAGGCCAGGCTCAATGGCTCATGCCTGTAATCCCAGCACTTTGAGAGGCCGAGTCGGGTGGATCACGAGGTCAGAAGATCGAGACCATCCTGGCTAACATGGTGAAACCCCATCTCTATTAAAAAATACAAAAAATTAGCCAGGCATGGTGGTGTGTGCCTGTAATCCCAGATACGTGACAGGCTGAAGCAGGAGAATCACTTGAACCCAGGAGACACAGGTTGCAGTGAGCTGAGATTGCGCCACTGCACTCCAGCCTGGTGACAGAGCGAGACTCCGTCTCAAATAAAAATAAAAAGATTTATATTAGGCAGGGCATGCTGGCTCACTGCCTGTAATCCCAGCACTTTGAGAGGCCGAGACACGCAGATCACCTGAGTTCAGGAGCTCAAGACCAGCCTGACCAACATGGAGAAACCTCATCTCTACTGAAAATACAAAATTAGATGGGCGTGGTAGCGTGTGCCTGTAATCCCAGCTACTCGGGAGGCTGAAGCAGGACAATCGCTTGAACCCGGGAGGCGGAGGTTGCAGTGAGCCAGATGGCGCCATTGCACTCCAGCCTGGGCAACAAGAGCAAAACTCTGTCTCAAAAAGAAAAAAAGATTTATATTAGAAGGAGGGGCCTTCTCTAAAAGTAATGAATCCTTTTTTTTCCCTCCCCAAGCAAAAAATCCTTCTCTAAAATTAATCATTTTTCTAAGCCTGGTTTAATGCTTTTTTTGGAAGACTGCTTATTTCTTTTCCTTTCAAAAGTTATGCAAGCTCATTAAAAAAAAAAGTCCGGGAATGGTGGCTCACGCTTGTAAATCCCAGCACTTTGGGAGGCCGAGGCAGGTGGATGACTAGGTCAGGAGATTGAGACCATCCTGGCTAACACGGTGAAACCCCGTCTCTACTAAAAATACAAAAAAATTAGCCAGGCATGGTGGTGGGCGCTTGTAGTTCCAGCTACTCGGGAGGCTGAGGCAGGAAAATGGTGTGAACTCGGGAGGTGGAGCTTGCAGTGAGCCGAGATCGTGCCACTGCACTCCAGCCTGGGCGACAGAGCGAGACTCCGTCTCAAAAAAAAAAAAAGGCCAGGCACGCCAGGCACAGTGCCTCGGGCCTGTAATCCCAGCACTTTGGGAGACCAAGGCAGGTAGATCACGAGGTCAAGAGATTGCGACCATCCTGGCCAACATGGTGAAACCCCATCTCTATTAAAAATACAAAAAATTAGCTGGGCTTGGTAGCACGGGCCTGTAGTGCCAGCTACTCGGGAGGCTGAGGCAGGAGAATCACTTGAACCCAGGAGGTGGAGGCTGCAGTGAGCCGAGATCACACCACTGCACTCCAGCCTGGCAACAGAGAGAGACTTGGTCTCAAAAAAAATAAAAAAATAAAAAATAAGAAAAGGTTTTATGTTTTCAAAGATTAATAGATATACTGTTACATATACACAATACAGCCATAAATGTTATATACATGTGTTTCAATTAACATGTTAAATTGCAATCATATTCTTCTATCATAGGCTATAAAGCCATTGCCCTACATCTACTTATTAGGATTTTGTCCAAGTAACACACCTTTTTGAATCAAGCTTTACCCATAATACGAGATTACATCTTTATCATGTTCCCAAAAATGGCAGAGTAAAAAGATCAAACTCTTCAAATTTGTCTACAAACAAATCATGGCAATGCAGGCTTTCGACAAGAGTGCACTCAACATCCCTGTTTCACCAGCCTCACCAGTATTGTGTATGCTTAGTTATTTTCCACTGTATCAAATTGACTATTTCATTTTAATTCCACAGTTTGTTCACATATTGTCATTACATACCAGAGCACACCTTCATTTAAAACACATCAAGACTCCGTGAAATGTCAATTGCTCCTACAAGTGGAAGACTTACCTGAAATGCTATGACATAGCACAATGCAGCCAGCTCAGAAAGAGCTTGCCATTGAACATTATTACCATGCTGACCCATCTTCAAGAGCAGAGAACCAGCATGCATGTAGAAATGTCCTTTCATTTCTAAGAAAGTAGCTGACAGTTCATCATTTCCACCCAAAGAAGATTTTGCAGACTGAAGAGCACTATCAAAACTGTAATATGAAAATATCAAACAGATGATACACACTTACTGCACTGTGAATAATCATGGTTCATTTAATTCAAAACAAAATAAAAATTTTATTTCAAGCTTCATCTTCCACATTCAACTTCTAATAATTCTTATTCCCCATGTTATAAATTATGAATCATCTAATGCTTATTTTTATCCTGCATACTTCCTATACTTCATGCTTAACCTCTCAAATGATGTCTTATTCCCAGTTATTTCCAGCCCTCCAATCACAGGATAAATATAAGATTAGTGATTATAGGTGCACATTTCAAAATAAACCAGGATAAAGTTGGGAGACTATTTTGTAGTTTCTTCCTGATCATATAATTTCATTATTTAATTAACAGTTGTAATTTCTCAAATTAGACATACCATTTCCAAATTATAAGTAAGTAACTGACAGGTATTTGAGTATCAATACAGCAATTGCTCTTTTTACTATATAGATCATTACAGCGTTAAATTGTTTTTTTTTTTTTTTTTTTTTTTTGAGACAGAGTCTCTCACTATCGCCTGGGCTGGAGTGTAATGGCACGATCTAAGCTCACTGCAACCTCCACCTCCCAGGTTCAAGTGATTCTCCTGACTCAGCCTCCTGAGTAGCTGGGATTACAGGCACCTGCCACCATGCCCCGCTAAACTTTTTTTATATTTTTAGTAGAGACAGGGTTTTACTATGTTGGCCAGGCTGGTCTCGAACTCCTGACCTCACGATCCGCCCGCCTCAGCTTACCAATGTGCTGGGATTACAGGCATGAGCCACTATGCCTGGCCTATTATTTGTAATCTATATTCTAAATTAGTTCTTCTAAATCCTAATGTTTCTCCAAATCCTCACTTTGGAAGAAAAGTAAAAGCAAAAAGCAAACACTTAAACGTGAAGCATGATTTTAAAGTGGCTTACAATAACGCAACCAGAGCAAATGAGGTCTAAAGATCTCTGAGGGTGCTCAAAAACCCCTTCAGGGGATCCATGAAGTTAAAATTACTTTTACAATAATACCAAAAAAAAATTTATATATTACATACTCATTTTCTCATGTATGTAGAGCTGAGTTTTTTTGTTTTTGTTTTTGGAGACAGAATCTCACTCTGTCACAAGGCTGGAGTGCAGTGGCACAATCTTGGCTTAATGCAACCTCTGACTCCCAGGTTCAAGCGATTCTTCTGCCTCAGCCTCCCGAGCAGCTGGGAATATAGGCGCGTACCAACATGCCCGGCTAATTTTTTGTATTTTTAGTAGAGACAAGGTTTCACCATTGTTAGCTGGGATGGTCTCGATCTCCTGACTTCGTGATCCACCCGCCTCGGCCTCCCAAAGTGCTGGGATTACAGGCCTGAGCCACCGCGACCCGCTGAGCTGAGTTTTCTAGAGGCTTCATGACATGTAATAGTTTTACAGACTGAAAGAGGAAGTAAATGAGAATCTAGCTATGTTCTATTAAGCGAGACATTAAAAAGATTTACAAAAATGCAAAAACAATGACACTTTTCTGACTACTTTTTTGCTGTTGGAAAATAATTATTTTTCATAAAAAATGCTATTATTGGCCCTGCGCGGTGGCTCACACATGTAATTCCAGCACTTTGGGAGGCTGAGGCGGGTGGGTCACCTGAGGTCAGGAGTTCAAGACCAGCCTAGCCAACATGGTGAAACCCCATCTCTACTAAAAATACAAAAAATTAGCCAGGCGTGGTGGTGGGCACCTGTAATTCCAGCTACTTGGGAGGCTGAGGCAGGAGAATCGCTTGAACCTGGGAAGCAGAGGTTGCAGTGATCCGAGATCACACTGTTGCACTCTAGCCTGGGCAACAAGAGCAAACTCCGTCTCAAATAAAAAAAAAAAAAAAAAAAAAAAAAGCTATTATTATTAACACACAATAGGGCTTATTACATTTTTAATGGATTACATTTTTTATTTGTTTTAATTTCTAATGTAATAAACACTGACAGAAATAACCCACATACGGCCAGGTGCAGTGGCTCAGACCTGCAATCCCAGCACTTTGGAAGGCCAAGGCAGGCGGATCACGACGTCAAGAGATTGAGACCTTCCAGTACTTTGGGAGGCCAAGGTAGACAGATCAAGAGGTCAAGAGATCGAGACCAGCCGGGCGCGGTGGCTCATGCCTGTAATCCCAGCACTCTGGGAGGCTGAGGCAGGCGGATCACAAGGTCAGGATATCAAGACCATCCTGGCTAACACAGTGAAACCCCATCTCTACTAAAAATACAAAAAATTAGCTGGGTGTGGTGGCGGGCACCTGTAGGCCCAGCTACTCGGGAGGCTGAGGCAGGAGAATGGCGTGAACCCTGGAGACAGAGCTTGCAGTGAGCCGAGATGGCGCCACTGCACTCCAGCCTGGGCAACAGAGCGAGACTCCGTCTCAAAAAAAAAAAAGATCGAGACCATCCTGGCCAACATGATGAAACCCTGTTTCTACTAAAAATACAAAAATTAGCCAGGTGTGGGCTGAGCGCGGTGGCTCACGCCTGTAATCCCAACACTTTGGGAGGCCGAGGAGGGCAGATCACGAGGTCAGGAGATCGAGACCATCCTGGCTAACAGGGTGACACTCCGTCTCTACTAAAAATACAAAAAAATTAGCCGAGCGTGGTGGTGGGCGCCTGTAGTCCCAGCTACTCAGGAGGCTGAGGCAGAAGAATGGCGTGAACCTGGGAGGTTCACAAGGGGGGGTAACAAAGGGCCCATGAGTCCTGATTAACTGATCTGACAAACCATCTGTCACCCACCACCCTAAGCCACACTGTGAAACTGCCTAGGGTGGCACCAGCTTTTTATCTTCCTCAGGGTCCTCCCCTCAGGCCCCCAAGTCACCCCCTCATGGTCCGGATTCTCCCCTGAGTGACTCCATCCCCATGGTCATCTCCCCTCCTGAGCCTCCCCCTCTGAGGGCCAAGGGCTGTCCTCAGGGCCCTCCTGGGGCTTCCTGGTGGGGAACAACCTGAGGCAGGAGGATAAGCTCTTATTCAGAGCATTGAGAGGAAATTGTGAAGCTTGCAGTGAGCCGAGATTGCGCCACTCTACTCCAGGCTGGGTGACAGAGCGAGACTCTGTCTCAAAAAAAAAAAAAATTAGCCAGGTGTGGTGTCGGGCACCTGTAGTCCCACCTATTCAGGAGGCAGAGACAAGAGAATCACTTGAACCCAGGAGGCAGAGGTTGCAGTGAGCCGAGACTGCACCACTGCATGCCAACCTGGCGAGAGCAAGACTCAGTCTCAAAAAAAAAAAAAGAGAGATTGAGACCATCCTGAACCCCGTCTCTACTAAAAATACAAAAATTAGCTGGGCGTGGTGGTGTGCGCCTGTGGTCCCAGCTACTCAGGAGGCTGAGGCAGGAGAATCGCCTGAACCCGGGAGGCGGAGGTTACAGTGAGTCAAGGTCATGCCACTGCACTCCAGCCTGGTGACAGAGCAAGACTCCATCTCAAAAAAAAAAAAAAAAACAAAACAAAAAAGAAAGAAAGAAAGAAAAAAAGGAACCCACATACAAAGATCTTTGATGTCCTTAAGAAAAATGTAAAAGGAACTTGTGACCAAAAAATTTGAGTATACAAAGAACACAAAATAAAACATCCTACATGTTTTCTAAAATAATCTTAAAGTTATGTTAGTTCTTTTAGATACTGCTCTTACCCTACCAATTTAGGACACTATGTACTTTTTCAAGAAAATTACCTACTCCCTGCACTCAGTGAAATGAACTTCTTTCCTTATACCAGATGGGGAAATAAATTAACTTCCAAACAAATGGACAGCCTAAACTAGCAATCAGTAAACTTTTTCTACAAAAAGGAGGAGATTACTAATCTGGCTTTACAGGCATACAATCTCTGCTGCAACCACTCAATTCCAACCTTGTAGTATGTAAGCAGCCACAGACAATACATAAACAGAGGCATGTTGCATTCCAATAAATATTAACAAAATTAGGCAGGGGCCATATTTGGCCCACAAGTTCTAACCAACCCCTGCTCTAAACTAACATTTTTATACAAATCCAAGTGATGTTTTTGTTCAATGGAATTTATTTTCAAAATGGAGACACTGGTTTTCAAAATCAAAATTTAGGAAAAAAGGTAAATCACATAGTTGAGTTATTTTGTTTCTTAGCTAAAACAGTATTTTCTGAAATACCAGTGATGCTAAGTGCTTATACTAGTACATGTGAACCTAGCCATCTGATGACAGATGAACCTTAATTTTCACTCAAGATTATACTATTATAAAAAATAAAATATGAAATAGCAGTTAGAACATTCATTTTAAGCTTGACTATGACAAACCTGAGTATTTAACCATAAGGCTAATTTTAATCAAGCTTGAACTATAAGAGTTCTCTAAAAAGGAAAGTCATATAAAACCAATTAGAACTTCCCCGTAAAAGAAGAAAAATAAGATTGCCTCCTAGTGGTTCACTGTATTAACTATAACTCCTAGGTACATTATAGAAATAATGATGCAGTAAAGAAATTTAGAGCAATGAACTTACTGCAAAAAGAAAAACTACAATTTATACTAAAGCATTCTCCTCAAAGTCAACGCACCTTTCCAGTAATTCTCTACTTTCCTGCACATCTCTAGTGGAAAGCGTAAGAAGCATAAGATTAGCATAGGCCAGCAGTAAGTCTGTATTGGTTGCTCGCCAGTCACTTTTATCAGACTCCAAACACTGTAAAGACTCCAGATATTCCTATTTTGTGGAATGAATAGTAAGTTACAAAACTTAATCAAGTGTTAAGAAATTAACCATTTTATGCCTACAAATTCCTTTTCTCACTCTAACCACGTTTGTGAAACTACATTGATTTTTACATCAACCTTATAAATGAAAACACCAAAAATATATACATTTATCATAGTTATCTCCCCAACTTTCCCATTATAAATTTAACTGATCCTGGTAAAAATTTCATTTTATAACTGTTCTACCTAAATAAAAGAAATTTAAGTCCTGCGGGGCACTGCTGCTTTAGTACAAAAAGATGTATGCTAATTGCCTACATAGAAATGTAAAGACCCAATAGCTTTTATCTACCTTAAGGGTCTGTACAACACACGAATTCCACTCTAAACTTGAACGCAAAGCTATGTTCCTCTCTGCCTCATGGCAGCGGGCCACAGCATCCTTCAATCTTTTATTTGAGCGATACAACTCCACTAGCCGGATGTTCATATGGACGTCATCAGGTCTTACATAAAGTTCTGACTGAATCCAGTCAAAAAGTTTATTCCATCCATCTTCACCTTCACAATCTAGAAGATGTTCCTATTTAGAGGGGAAAAAGAAAAATTATTAGAGTAACACTTGTGCAATTTTAAACAAGTCATGCTCCCAAAAAGCACCATTCCACTATGTCTAGTTTTATGATGATGCCACCAAAAACACCATCCTATATACCTTATTCGTCCCTTCTGAGAGTTGCTTACAACCCAGAAACTAAGCCTCAAGAACTGTATGTGAAGAAAAGCATCTGTGATTACTGCAGTAGCTTATACTCTCTTCAGAGACTACCAGGACTATTGCCACACATCCCTGTCCATCTGAGTCACCACCAGAAGCCTAGACCTCCCCAGTCAATCCTCAGCAACAAGGTCCTTATGCTCAAACTGCTCTGTATCTCCTTAAATCTGACTCAATCCCACATCCCCTCTCCTCCCACTGTTCTGTTACCTTCATCATCATCTCAAAGCACTGTCATCACCTCCTGATCTTAAATGAAGACAGTATCATCTCAGGATAACCCCCACTACCATGATGGCTTTTTCTCTCTGAACTTACATACAAGGAGAGGAAGTAGGGTTTGTGGCCACTCGCTTCTCATTTGCGATGCTCTTCCATCAGCCTCTCAAGAAGCTAGGACCATAGGCATGCACCACCATGCCCGGCTAATTTTTTTTTAACGTTCTGTAGAGATGGGGTCTTGCCGTGTTGCCCAAGCTGACTACTCAGTTCCTTAATCACCTCATCTCCAGTCATGTTATCCTCTACTCCAACCTCAACCATCCACTTGCCACTGACACAGGTCTTCAAAATCTGCATTTTGGTCATACCACCGAAACGACCATACCATCCTTCTTATTCTTCCACCTCACTGAGGGCCTACGTACCCTTACTTTCAGAAATATACTTCTCCACCACATGACAAGTTCCCTTCAAGACAATAACATCATCAAGTTTTAAGCACCTGTAAACACATATAAATACACACACTTTCTTCTGTCAGGCAAAAAATGCTATAATCCCTTATATCCATAATTACTGTTTGCTTACAGATCCCTTCAACTAATTCCCTCTTTTCCTCAGAACCCTCCCAACTGGTTTCTGTGTGCTTAGATTTGGGAAATCATAACCCCAAGCTAACCGATTTCATTTGCATTATCTCAACCATCAAACTGGTGCTGCCTAAAACAAAATGCCATTTTAGTACTAACAGACTCACTTTCTCCACTCCCTGACACTTCACACCTCCTCCTATTTCCTCAACTTCCCCATACCTTCCTTTGACCCTCACTTTCAACTTATAACCTAGATTCATCCTTCACTGAGAAACCTGATGCTATCACATATAAATTCCATTTTACCTTACCTACTTAAACTCGTCTTTCCCCAGCTCTCAAGACCAAGCCGTCCATTACTACTCTGTATTTCATTCCCCTCTCTCCTTTATCAATTTCTCCTCTTCTGGATGAGATGGATGATACCCTGGTCTCTCCCTATTGCAAAAGCCCTAGTCTTTGACTCTATGTTAAACATTTTTTAAAAAACCACTATGAGTGCTTTTAAAAAGTTCTATCTCATACTTGAGAGAAAAAGCCTTCTCAACAGTAATACTCTCATTCATTAAACAAATGTCAGAAACTGTTTACCTTAGCAAGCCTTAAATTTTAGGAGAAATGGAATTACTTTGCATGACAATTATAAATCTCATGGATTTCAATTCCAAAAAAAAAAAAAAATCTGATACAGGAAAGGTGTTAACAGTGCCTTCAAGTTATTAAAGAAAATCTTTAAAGAGTGCTTCAAAGTATCTAACTTGTTACACTGCAAGAAAACAATCTCCTGCCATTACATATGTTCTTTAACACTACTGACACCAGATTAACTGGATTGCCACGCCCAATATGGGAGTTATGTTTGAGGCATAACACCTAAGAGAGTAAAGAAATCTGCACAATTAGACCTCATGTTTTAGACTAATATTTAAAATCCAGCTGCTTATTACTGGGGAGAAAAACTTATCAGTAATATTTATCTTTGGAAGCATCTTCAATGCTTTTTCAGCTTCAAAAATCTGGACATGATTGTTCATAGCAGTTGAACAACAGCCAAAACCTAGAAATAACCAAAATGCCCCTCAAAAGTGAATGGTTAAGGCTGGGCACAGTGGCTCACACCTGTAATCCCAGCACTTTGGGAGGCCAAAGTGGGTGGATCACCTGAGAACCCGGGAGGCAGAAGTTGCAGTGAGCCGAGATAGCACCACTGCACTCCAGCATGGGCGACAGAGCAAGACTCTGTCTCAAAAAAATAAAAATAAAAAAAGTGAATGGTTAAATTGTGGACCATGAAATGCTACTCAGAAGTAAAGGAACCAACTATGGATATACAAAACTTAATATGGATCACAAATGGTATTATGCTGACTGAACAAGCCAACCTCAAAAGGTCACATGCTTGGCTGGGCGCGGTGGCTCACGCCTGTAATCCTAGCACTTTGGGAGGCTGGGGTGGGCAGATCACATGAGGTCAGGAGTTCGAGACCAGCCAGGCCAACATGGTGAAACCCCGTTTCTGCAAAAATACAAAAATAAGCGGGACACGGTAACATGTGCCTGTAGTCCCAGCTACCCGGAAGGCTGAGGCAGGAGAATTGCTTGAACCTGGGAGGCACAGGTGGCAGTGAGCCGAGATTGCGCCAGTGAACTCCAACCTGGGCAACAGAGCGAGACTCCGTCTCAAAAACAACGAAAAAAGAAAAAAAAAAGTCACACATTTCATGATGACATTTACATAACATTTTGAAATCACCAAAGTATAAAGATGGAGAACAGATTAATGGTTGCCAGAGGTCAGGCATAGTGAAGAGAAGTAAATAGCATGACTACAAAAGGGGCAGCATGAGGAAGATCTCTGTGGTAATAGAGTAGCTCTGTATCTTGACAGTAGTGGTGGTATGAATCTACACATGATAAAATGAAAGAAAACTATATACATACACATTGTACCAATGTCAAAATTCCTGATTTTGATATTGTGCTTTGGTCGGGTTAAACAGGTTGAGTATCCCCTATCCAAAATGCTTGAGACCAGAAGTATTTCAGATTTTGAATTTTTTCAGACTTTGGAATATTTGCAGGATACTTAGCAGGCAGAGCATCCCAAATCTGAAAATCTGAAATCCAAAATTTTCCAATGAGCATTTCTTTGAGCATCATGTCAGTGCTCAAAAAATTTCAGATTTTGGAGCATTTAGGATTTCAGATTTTAAATGCTCAACCTGTATAAGCATTGGGGAAAAATGAAGTAGCATATAGGATCTTTCTGTGCAATCTTTGCAACTTCCTGTGCAAAAAAATCTATAATTATTTCAAAATTAAAATTTTTTAAATTTCTATCAGAAACATATACAATGGGGGTAGGAGGAGGCTAAAGGCAAATATACATTTATAATTTTATATTGTACATACACAATAAAGTATACATTAATATATAAAATATTACAATATACATTTTAAATGTTTGCCAAACATATTTGTGTAGATTTTCTCCAGAACAGTTACTTAGTAAACTATATTTTGCTCTATAAAGAATATCAGGACCAGTCAATACACTAGCAAGAACTTCCTACCATTTTTAGTAATTACATCTTATATACTAGAGAAACCACCTTTTATCTTTTCCTTGAAAACTTTACTATCTCAAAATACAATCCCTTCTACTTTCAGACCATAGTTATTAGAAAACTCTTCTTTAAAATATCCCTAAATTGTCATCCTGTAGGTAATTTTCACTTAATGAAGCAAAAATTGTATACCAGACAGAACTTAATGTAAATCTTAGCTCTACTTAGTTTACAGCTACTAAACTGTAAAATCCCTAAAATATTAATTATTCCAGAAGGGTAAATGAGATGTCACTTATAAAGTATAACAATGCCTAATAAGACAGCAGATGCTCAGAAAGGTTTTAATACACTTTTTAAAAGAAAAATGTTAAAGGAAACACAAACACCTGGGCTTAAGGTTTGCTATTGAAAAGTAATTTAAACTCCAAATATTAGAAATGGTTATGTCTTAAGTTTTCTCCCTTTATGTTTTGTATGTTTACCTTTAGTTTATAAATTGCAGGACTTCCTGGGAAAAGTTTCGCTGCCCTTTCAACCCAGTATTTTGCTCTTCCATCAGTAACATCATTTTTACAAAGCAATTCTGCAATCTTCAACACAAGATCTTTTTGTGGTGGGTTTAATTCCAGTGAACGCTAATATCAGAAAAGAAATTAAAGATTAGTAAATAAATTGTATGTATGTATGTAGGAGTATATATACTTATATACTTATATATAAAGGTTAAAAATTATCACTCCAACCCTTAAAAAATTCTACTTCTAGAGAAAACATGTTACTTCAAAGGTGTTAAAATAAAAGTGTCTTGGAATTTTCTGGAAATGAATCAAATAAAAATTATATTTGTGTCATTTGAATGCAAAAGAACACAAAAGAACACCATTTCTGACCATGTTAGACTTACAATTTATAGGTGTTAAACAATTCTAAATCTGTTCCAAGCTGTGTCACATAATTGTACTATGATACCAATGCCTGTTTTATGATATTCATAAAATATATTTGACTTACTTATATAAATTTCTCTGGGCATCATGTGTTTGGCTATGCAAAGGCTATATTTGAATCCTATAACTTACCCTGTAACATTCAACGGCTTTCTCTGTGTTTTCTTCCAATTCATAAAGAAGACCCAGAAATCTGTGAGCTCTGGGATCCCTCTCTTGCACACTAAGGTAAGTACATACGTATCTGTTTTTCAAAAGTAATACAAAAGTAAATTAAACTTAGAACTGTACTTTTAAATGCTAACCGAAGAATACATCTTAAACCAAAGCAACCACTAAACTCGTTTATATTGTTACTCAAAACTACCACTATTTATGCAGATAACTCAGAAGTATTCATAGAAAGAAATGGGTAATACTTAAAAACACGTACATAGAGTTGACCACATACTCGTTTTACCATTAAATGTCACATTTACCAAATTTTTCTCCAGTGTTATCCACGCATAAGAAATGAACATATAAATTGCTTTTTCTTCCTGATCACATTTTAATAAAGCACTAACAGTTTTGCAAATAAATTAGAAGTGATTATAGTAAACATTTTTAAAGTTATCATAATGCAAAATACTAAACAGCAACAATTTCCCAAACAACAAAGGGAAATACACCTACCCTTTAAGCAAGAAAGTAATTTCTAACAGTACTATATCCAGCTAAAATCGAACAGAAGACAAATTACTAATTACAGTACCAAATACAGGAAATTTCCATTTCTCAAATCAAGTAACAACTAAAATAAGTAAATATCCTCTAGGTTCCTTGACAGTATTACCATCAGAGAAATTAGGCCAGACCCAAACTAAGGGATTAAAGTCTCACAGTAAAAAGGTACAAGAGTTAACAGTCACAGTGCTGCTAGTTACATAATTTATGTACCACCATTTTCCTTTCTTACCAGCATTTCCATCTTCCTTTGGATGCCTTTAAAAGCCTGCCTCCCAGCTGGGAGCAGTAACACACACCTGTAGTCCCAACAGTATGGGAGGCCGAGGCAGGCAGACTGCTGTGCTCAGAAGTTCAAGACTAGCCTGGGCAACATAGTGACACCTGTCTCTACCAAAAAATGCAAACCTTAGCCAGGTGTGGTGGTGCTCATCTGTATCCCCAGCTACTTGGGGCGCTGAGGTGGGAAGATCTCTTGAGCCCAGAAGGCAGAGGTTACAGTGAGCAAAGATGGAGCCAGCTGCTGCACTCCAGCCTGAGCAAGAGAGACAGATACTGACTAAAAAAAAAAAAAAAAAAAAAAAAACCCTGCCTCCCTCTTAATTTCCTGCTTTAATCCACTCCCAGTCAGGAAATCAGAATCACCAAGCTTCTTATCCCTAGGATAGAGCCTTAGAGCATCACATATTGTGTCAATTAAAGATCTTTTATACAAGCTATTCTCCTGCCTTACAATTACAGTTTTTTATTCATTGCTATTTTCCATCTGATTAAGGTATCAGATATCTAACCAAAAACAAATGAAGATATAGGCATGGTCCTCTTTTACTCCAACAGAAGACAATTTTTAGAAAAAGTGTTTTAAGCCAAACAATTTCTTGCCCTTGGTATAAAGCAGCAGCATGCAGAAAACACTAATTACGGTTTCAATCTCAATGGAATCTAGGCTGGTCCTTAGCATCAGTCTGAGTGATAAATCCCTTATTCCAGAATACACTTAGGAAGAACTACTAAGAACATATTTTTACCTATTTCAAAGAAGAAAATGAGAAAAGGCATTGATTTTAAAAAAAGAATACATGTTACAGTTTGTACTTACTTTTTAGCAAGATCATATTCTTTAGCTTCATAATACAGCTTTGCAAAATAGAATCCTCTCAACTTCTAAAAAAAATTAAAAGTTGTTTTACGTTTCATACAGAAATATTTTCCAACATTTTTTCAAAAGTAGTAAAAATCTGCCCTAAGTTTATGTTCAAATATGCCATTTTCATTCACTTAAAAGTTTTTTTTAAAGCCTGACAAATGCATAATTCCATGTTTTATAATTTCCTATCACAAAACAAAAAATAGAGCTGGGTGCAGCGGCTCATGCCTGTAATCCCAGCACTTTGGGAGGCCGAAGTGGGCGGATCACCTGAGGTCAGGAGTTTGAGACCAGCCTGGCGTTATAACATGGTGAAACTCCGTCTCTACAAAAATAGAAAAATTAGCCAGGCATGATGGCGGGTGCCTGTAATCCCAGCTACTCGGGAGGCTAAGGCACGAGAATCAGTTGAACCCAGGAGGTGGAGGTTGCAGTGAGCCAGAGGTTGCAGTCAGCTGAGATCGTGCCATCGCACTCCAGCCTGGGCGACAGAGACTCCATCTCCCAAACATCATCATCATCGTCATCATAAATAAGCTGGGTGCAGTTGGTCACACCTTTAATTCTATTTAATTCTAGCACTTTCAGAGACCAAGGTGGGAGGCTAGCTTTGAGGCCAAGAGTTTGAAACCAGCCTGTGCAACACAACAAGATCCTGTCTCCAGGGGGAAAAAAATAGCCAGGCATAGTGGAGCATGCCTGTGTTCCTAGCTACTCAGGAGGCCAAGGAAGGAGAATCACTTGAGCCCAGGAGGTTGACACTGCCGTGAGTTATGACTGTGACACTGCACTCCAGCCTGGGTGACACAGGGAGATCCTGTCTCTAAATAATAAATACATAACATACAAAAAATAAATTCAAGAAAGCAAGACAAGCAGACAACAGAAGTTAAGAATTTTCATCAGCCTTGGAAATCTTGGAAACCCTGTGGTACCACTCTCTCACTTAACAAACAAAAGAAACCAGCTTTCTTTGGGGAGGAAAGGTATTCCAGAAATCTCTTCTCCTACCATGTGTAAGCCTCTATGGGAAAGAATAAGTAAGTACTTACGATCTATTAAGGCACTGAGGATTCCCTGTGCCTTAATAGTACATGTACTGTTCTCTCTACAGATCAGATCAGTATTTTACAGTCAAGGAGTCAAAAAGGCAGAAATAAATATTGAATTCTTCAAGTAATAAACAAGGTCCACAGCCTGGCTCCTTGGTTACGTAAACTCCAAAGTCCAAAATGCTGATGCACACCAGGCTGGGTGCGGTGGCTCACACCTGTAATCCCAGCACTTTCGGAGACTGAGGCGGGTGGATCACTTGAAGCCAAGAGTTCGAGACCAGCCTGGCCAACATGCAGAAACCTCCTTTCTACTAAAAATACAAAAATTAGCTGGGCATGGTGGCACACGCCTGTAATCCCCGCTGCTTGGGAGGCTGAGGCAAAGAATCGCCTGAACCCGGGAGGCAGCAGTGGGCCAAGACCGCACCACTGCACTCCAGCCTGGGCAACAGAATGATTCCATCTCAAAAAAAAAAAAAAAAAAAAAAAAAGCTGATACAACCAGAGTATGTTCCATCCATGTGATAAAGAGTATACAGCCACTCAAACATCTTATTTTTGAAATTCCAAGACCCCAGTGAATGTCCAAAACGATGAACAGTATCAAACCAGGTTGCCATCAATCGAAACATGTTTCCTGTTTGTGTCCTCCACCCACAAATTTAATGTCTTGTCCATCTCAACAAAGCACTTATCACACACTGTGGCTGTAACTTTTGCAGTTTGGGGTGTCACAACAAAACTAGCACAAATTTCTTTTTCCTTCTTCACAATTTCATGGACAAAAGATTTGTTCTTACCGTAGATCTTAGCAACCCCAGTATACGATCTTTTTTCTTTCCTAAGTCAAAAACTCACCTCTTCACTTAAAGGAAGCACTATATGGCTTCTCTCTGGCATATGTGAACTGCCAGCATCGCTATTCTTGCTCTTTGGTGCCATTTTAAATAAAATAAGGGTTACTTGAACACAAGCACCGCAATACTCCAACAACTGATCTGATAACTGAGATGGCTAGTATGTAACTAGCGGGTGGGGAGCACATACAGCATGAATATATTGGACAAAGGGATGATTCGTGTCCTGGGTAGGACGGAGCAGGAGGCTGTGAGATTTTTATCATGTTATTCAGAACTGTTTGCAATTTAAAACTCATGAAATGTTTATTTATATAATCTTCCATTCAATATTTTTGGACCACGGGTGACGCAGGTAAGTAAAACCACGTAAGGCAATACTGTGGATAAGAAGGGACTACTGTACCAGCAACGAACAATCAGAAAAGGAAATTAAGAAAGCAATTCCATTTACAATCGCATCTAAATGAAAAAAATGCCTGGGAATAAATGTAAACAAGGAGGTGAGAGACTTGTATGCTTAAATTACAAAACGTTGCTCAATGCCAGGCTAACACCTGCAATCCCAGCACTGGCGACAGAGCAAGACTCCATCTCAAAAAAAAAAGAACTATAGCAATCTTAACAAAAATAATACACAACAGTCAGGACAGCACATAAAGGAACAAGGCTTGTTCCCCGCTTCCTTTTTTTTTTTGAGATGGAGTCTTGCTCTGTCGCCAGGCTGGAGTGCGGTGGCTCGATCTCAGCTCACTGCAACCTCTGCGTCCCGGGTACAAGCTGGGACTACAGGCGCACGCCACCATGCCCAGCTAATTTTTGTATTTTTAGTAGAGATGGGGTTTCACCATGTTGGCCAGATGGTGTCGTTCTCTCGACCTTGTAATCTGACTTCCTCCGCCTCCGAAGGTGCTGGGATTACAGGCCTCAGCCACCGAGCCCGGCCAGTTCCCCCTTTTCAAAATGAAGAAATAGATTCAAGGTACAATGCCAAAACATAATAGAAAAATAATTCCATTACCTTCTTTGCTTCCAACTATGTTATTAAAGTAGACAATCTTAAGATAATTAAACAACTTTACAAATTATTCTTCTGTATGATCTTTTGCCTCTAACCTCACTTTACAAGGGAACTGAAGCTCAAGCAGGCAAATGCCTTGTTTAAAGATATACAGCTAGGAAGGAGCACAGCCCACGTTATGTAAACAGGACAATATCTGATTCAAGCAGTACTTCTTTACATGACAGCAGATGTCACTATAAGCAAATACCTGAATTCACTTAAGCTGCCAAATATCAAGAACTGATGCAGGGCTGAAAACAGGAACAGTAAGACCCTAAGAGATGCCACATCATCGCTATCTTGCACAGTAAGATAGAGATGTAATTGTAATTGTCCAAAACTTAACATTTGTGGCCTACTTTTTCATTATGCAGTTCTAAATTTCTCTCTCTTTTTTTTTAATTCAAACGGAGTCTCGCTCTGTCGCCCATCTTGCACAGTCAAATGAATCTCCCTCCCCCTAAAATCCTCCAAAAAAGCTGCTGTTCTCAACAAACCCATCTGATCAGCTCCAAATCTGTGGAGTCCCAACAAGGGTGAAGGCCGTGATTATACAGGACAATGAGGAAAAGTCTAGATACTGAAACATGAATTCCCCAGTCTTCTTCCCCTGGAACATAAGGGTAAGGAAATCTCTCAAAAGGCAGAACAAACAAAAGAGGAGAATAAGAGAAAAATTAGAGAAACTCCAGCTTTCAGGTAAACATCATTAAAAAAAAGGGTAAGAAATGGTCAAAGAAATAATACAAGAAACGCTACAGAACTGAAAGAAATGAGTTTCCCAATTGAAAGGACACTTCCAGAAAACCTTTGTTACCAAGAACAAGACTCTCATCAGACTCCTAACAACAGAACTTCTGGAAAATGGAGCAATGCTTTCAAAATTGCGAAAAAAATTATTTCAAACTCAGAATTCGATAACCAAATGATCAACTAAATTAAGTAAAGATGTTTTAAAGACATACCATTAGTTTCCAGACCAGCCTGAACAGTATGGTGAAATTCCATCTCTACTAAAAATAGAAAAAATTAGCCGGGCATGGTGGCGCACACCCGTAATCCCGCTACTCGGGAGGCTGAGGCAGGAGAATCACTTGAACCCGGGAGGCGGAGGTTGTGGTGAGCTGAGACCATGCCACTGCACTCCAGCCTGGGCAACAGAGCAAGACTCTGTCCCAAAACAAAAACAAACAAAAAAACCTCTCATCCACTTTTCCTCAAAGCAAGTGAACTATGCTACACCAAAACAAAGAAAGTAAATGAAGATGACATGAGATACAAGAAACAAAGGGTCTAACTCAGAAAAAAGATGAAGGGAATTCTCAAACTGGTGATAAAGGGAAGTCCCAAGAGCACAGCTGTGTAGCAAAGAGGAAGAAAAACCAATCTGGGTTGGAGAAGTCGGTTAGTAAGGGTATTCCAGGTAGACAGACAATCAATCAATCAATCAATCAATCAATGTTTTAAGCTGAAATTGATCGGATTATGTGACCAGTTTGACCACATTTGAGGGTTTAAGTTGCTGAGTTTAAGTAACCAAGTAGTAACACAACATACAAGCAAACCAAAAAATAAAGCAATTATTCAGTCCAGGAAAAACAAAACTGCACAACAAGGGCAATTCAAATGCAAAATATTTACCTTATATTTATATAAATGTTAAATATTCATTTAAACAAAAACTCCAATAACAGTACTGAAACAATGAGGGGCAAAGCAAAGTGTCTGAGGACAGTTTTGGAGGAGCATAATAGCCAGTACAGAATGTCTAAAGTGGGGCCGGGCGCGGTGGCTCACGCCTGTAATCCCGGCACTTTGGGAGGCTGAGGCGGGCGGATCATGAGGTCAGGAGATCGAGACTATCCTGGCTAACACGGTGAAACCCCGTCTCTACTAAAAATACTAAAAAATTAGCCGGGTGTTGTGGCGGGTGCCCGTAGTCCCAGCTACAGGCTGGGGCAGGAGAATGGCGTGAACCCCGGAGGCAGAGTTTGCAGTGAGCCGAGATCGCGACACTGCACTCCAGCCTAGGCCATAGAGCGAGACTCTGTCTCAAAAAAAAAAAAGAAAACAAAATGTCTAAAATGGGAGAAAGGGAATTCAAAATAACAAAAGTATATGTGTGTGTTACTCAGAAGCATGAAGTATAGATGTAAAGGGCAGAAAAAAAAACTAACAGCTGTCAAAGGTGCCTGCCTGTAGTCCTAAGTACTCAGGCAACAGAGGTAGGAGGATCATTTATGCCCAAAAATTTGATGGCAGCCTGGACAACACAGCAAGACCCTATTCTAAAAAACAAATAAATAAAAATAAGAGCTGTCAAGTAGAGTTTGAGAAGTAGGAATCAGCTGCAGAATAAGAAACCAACTTGACAGAACATAGAAAAACTAAACAGAAGCCATCTGGAAAAAGAAAAACTAGAGAAAGAATTATATATTTTTTTATTTTTTTATTTTTTGGAGACAGAGTCTCGCTCTGTCACACAGGCTGGAGTGCAGTGGCGCAATCTCTGCTCACCACAACCTCTGCCTCCAGGGTTCAAGCAATTCTCCTGTCTCAGCCTACCGAGTAGGTGGGACTACAGGCGCTGCCACCACGCCCGGCTCATTTTTGTATTTTTAATAGAGACGGATTTTCACCATGTTGGTCAGGCTGGTCTCTCTGCCTCCCAAAGTGCTCGGATTACAGACGAAGAATATTTTTAAGAAGGGCAAAAGCACATGTGAGGGAGTAGAAAAATGGCAAAACAAGAGAAGATTAACAAATGAAAGCACAATGGAAGACTAGAAAGATATGATATACAGACGCATCATCACACTCCAAAACTCAGACATTCTAGAAAGCATGGGCAGTTCACAGATGGCCAGCCTCTGCCAAACTGGGGGAGAATACTAACCTCTTTATATTCTTCACAGCCACTGCCTCTTCTCCCTCCATTCCTTACCTTCTATCCAAAGCACCCTGTTTTGTCATTTCACTCAAACCTAACTTTACAGAATAGCTTCACATGTTCCAAAGTTACTCACTAGTTAATCCATATTCCGTTGAAATCCCCAGGTTCTAATGTAAATGACTTTAAATTTGGGGGAAAAAAAAAGACTCTAAGTGTAAGAGAGGTGAGGCCGAGGCCGAGGCCGCCGCCGCCGCCCGGCCAGGCCGAGGCCGCCGCCGCCGCCGCCGCCGCCGCCCGGCCAGGCCGAGGCCGAGGCCGAGGCCGCCGCCGCCGCCGCCCGGCCAGGCCGAGGCCGCCGCCGCCGCCGCCCGGCCAGGCCGAGGCCGAGGCCGCCGCCGCCGCCGCCGCCGCCGCACATTAACCTTTTAAGTTAAAGATTAAGAGAACCAACACCTCTTTACAGTGAAATGCCCCAACTAAATACTACCGTATGGCCCACCATAATTGCCCCCATACTTCTTACACTATTCCTCATCACTCAGCTAAAAATATTAAATACAAATTACCATCTACCCCCCTCACCAAAGCCCATAAAAATAAAAAACTATAGTAAACCCTGAGAACCAAAGTGAACGAAAATCTGTTCGCTTCATTCATTGCCCCCACAATCCTAGGTCTGCCCGCCGCAGTACTGATCATTCTATTTCCCCCTCTATTGATCCCCACCTCCAAATACCTCATCAACAACCGACTAATTACCACCCAACAATGACTAATCCAACTAACCTCAAAACAAATGATAGCCATACACAACACTAAAGGGCGAACCTGATCTCTTATACTAGTATCCTTAATCATTTTTATTGCCACAACTAATCTTCTCGGGCTCCTACGCCGAGGCCGCCGCCGCCGCCGCCGCCGCCCGGCCAGGCCGAGGCCGAGGCCGCCGCCGCCGCCGCCGCCGCCGCCCGGCCAGGCCGAGGCCGAGGCCGAGGCCGCCGTCGCCGCCGCCGCCGCCCGGCCGAGGCCGAGGCCGAGGCCGCCGCCCGGCCGAGGCCGAGGCCGAGGCCGCCGCCCGGCCAGGTCGAGGCCGCCGCCCGGCCAGGTCGAGGCCGCCGCCCGGCCAGGTCGAGGCCGCCGCCCGGCCAGGTCGAGGCCGTCGGTCTCTTCGAGATCCACTCACCTTTCCAGGCGACGGGGCGGAGCCCTGCACCGAGGCGAGGTACCGCTCCCCGTAGGCTTTGCTGCGCCTCATCGCACCGCCAACCTGGCTCCCGAGACGCGTGAAACCAGCGCTCAGCCCCGCAGCAGTCGCCAATTCCAACAGGAAAGCGCCTGAAAGCCACTGACGTAGCCGGCGGAGGACCACTGTGACGCACTTGTGTACTGCGTCAGCACTGTGTATCCTTGGCGACGTCGGCGCTCGAGCTGCACTCGGCCGGGCTCTTGGCAGCACCCTGTGCTCTGAGGGTGTCTTGCCCGCCGGGCGCCGTGGCTCACGCCTGTAATCCCAACACTTTGGGAGGCCGAGGCGGGTGCTGTAAACCATTCATTTGCTTATTTCAATATTTTCATTTGTATGCTTTCAGATAAGCTGAACTTGTTCCAATCTGCTATACATAGGTTTGTTTATATCTTTACAGTAAATATCTCAGTTAAGAATTATTTTCTCTTTGTAAAGACATTGTGACTCAGATACTACTTGTAAAGTCTATAGGAACACACAGCTAGTAAATGGCATAATTGAAATTCAAATGGAAATCTGATTCTAAAATATACTTGTAGCAACATAGCTGATTCCTGTTACTGTATCTGCTCCTGTAAATTTTGTAAATTCATTACAATTTTTAAAATATAAAATATTTTCATATATTTATTTAGTCTTTGCTACCATGAATAGCTTCAATGGGAATGATGATTAATTCTAGAATGTGCTTGTCTTTTACATTTCTATGATTTTTAGGGTTAAAATAAACCTTGTTGGTTTACAAATGATTCCTGAATGATTTCTTTCCTCTAAATGCTACAGCACTTCACTACAAGGTCTGCAAAGAAGCTATGTGGGGGAGTGAAGTAGGAGGTGACTGAGATTATGTAATTAAGTTCATATATGTCATAATTTTTCATTGTTCCCACTGTTTTAGAGAAAAGTAACAAAGGAGAAGACATGTGGGCGTGTAGAGAAATGCAAGGTGGAGATATTAATGCTACAGTATAATCTTCTGTGGGTGTTTAGCCTGGGGATGAGAAAACTAAGGAGAACCATGCCAGTTGTGTTGAAATATTTGAAGAGCTGTCATGCAGAAGAGAGAATAGACTTTTTTCTGTAGGCCCAGAGGGTATAACTAACATTAAGGGAAGAAAGTCATAGGGTAGAAAAATTTTATTCAATTTAAGGAATAACTTTCTAATAGTGCATAGTATTGGAACAGGTGGCTGCATAAAGTCCCACGAAGTGTTCATTCTAATGCTGAATACCCATGCACCAAGAATCCTGTGGAAATGATGCTTGCAGGGATTAAAGAATGAAGTAGAATCTAATCTAATATAGCCTCTTCCTACTAGAATGCCAAACTCAGAAAGACTTTCTCTCTGTTCTCTCTTTCTCTCTCTCTCGTGCTCTCTTTGTCTAATTTATCTGTATACCTATTTAATTTCCAAAAAATGAGATTGACAGGAAGTGTAAGAGTTAAAAAGAATAATGTGTGTATGCGTGTGCATGTGTGTGTGAAAAAATGGATTTTAAAGGTATTGGATGCCCGTTGAGAATGTTTATATTCCTCTACCCCTTGAGGTTTATGGTTAGCAAAAAAATAGTAACAAAGATAATTTTGTTATATCTTATTGTATGGCAGAAGGAGATTTCCATAGTAGAATAAAAAAAACTTTTAAATCAGAGATAACCTGGGTTCAAATTCCAACTTTCTCACTTTCAGCTTTTTGACCTTGAAAAAGTAACTGAACCTTTATAAACCTTCATTTTTTTACTATAAAATTTGGATAATAAAGTACCTTAACTGTAGGGTTACTGAGAAATTAAATGAGACAAGTCACATGAAGCACACTTTATATTGCCTAGTATGTAGACAGCAATAATAAATCCTGGCTTCATATATTTCCTTACTTTAGTTTACATTGTTTTTACAAACGTATCACATCAGCTGATAGAATTTTGATGTCGTCATTTAAGTTTCTGGTTATCTGGTGTAGAATGCAACTGTTTTTCTGATTTAAGATAATTCAATCAACAAATTTTTCTTGAGCTCCAATTTTGCTCATTCTACCTTTCTCTCCATGCAAAAAGAAAGTGAGAAATGTCATTTCATTTGGCAATGGTTAAACATAGGCAAACCTTTAGAAATATTTCTTTATTTTAAAATTTGTGCTTGTAAAATACTTAGTTATAATATATGTTTACTAATTTACTGTTTTTTAAAGTTGTTTTATTACGGAAAAACAATTTTGGTGCTATACACCCCAGAGAATACTTTAATGCTCAATTATCTGAAAAAATAATCTATGGTATGCTTTTTCACAGCCCTGCTGAATTCTAGGTACTCTTCCTCGAATTTGTGTGAGAAAATATGTAGACTCACAGTTTACTTCAGAATTAAAAATATTACTACAGAATACATTCAAATTTTATACCTCTGATTGCAGCATATTGAAATGCTTAAGAAGTTCCATTAGTGCAGATGATGACAACTATGTATGCAAAAGTACCAGAGAAATTTTATGTGTGTTTTTATGCATGTATCTTTGTGTATGGTTACAGTATGATCGTGGCAAATGTATAAGATACACACATGTTACACTTTTCATGCCTGATTAATTCATAAAAGGCATGTGTGTGAGTGTATGTATGTGTGTATTTGCTTATGCTCACTTTCTGTGCTTGTCTAAATAATGAAGATTTTTTTCCTGTATCTATGCTTTCAGAAACCATACCTGACTAACTGGTGGGGAATGTGTATTTACATTTTGCCACTACACTAATTATTTCTGATTAAATTTTCTAGTTGCTTACGTAAATCATGAATTGGATTCTCGTGTTAATTTGACTAAAACTACCAACTAGTAAATATTTTCAATTAAGTGATTTTCTTCATAATTCCCATCAATGATTCTTTGTTCTTGTTTTTTAAAGAATATTTTGATTAAAATACAATAGTGTCATTGTAAAATGATTGACAAGTATAATGAATGAAATAAAAATAGTTGAAGATTTTTAAACCAAAACAAATTCAGTGATAAATGTTAATATATTTTATTCTAGTTGTTTGTATGTCTGTATGTAGCAGATAAAAGAAAATCTCCATGGGAATTGAGATGCAAATGAGATTGAGACATCATTAGGATAAAAATGTTAGAATCATGAATGTCAGAAAAAAAATTAGTACCTGGTAAACTTGAGGAAATCTTTGTACTTTCCAAAGATAAAAAGAAAGTTGTTGCAAATCAATTTATTTTTATTCCGAAAAGACAAAGTGATCCAGCTGATATACAGTTATAGATAAATGCATGTACAGTCATACAGTGTATATCCTGATGCTTTATATAATATGTGACAGCAAGCTTGTCTTTCTTCTTTAATAATTGTTGAAAATTTAATTTTTGTGACCACATGGTAATTGATTACAAGAAGGGACTATAGTGTGTTTATTTATTCATTTCTTGAACATTTCCATTGCTTTCTACTTTAAAATTGCTTTAACAGTGCTGCAGTGAAGATACATGTACTCAAATATTTTTTAATAATTCTACTAATTTTCATTAATTATATTCCTGGAAATGCATGTAGAAAATTAAATGATATAGATATTTTAAATATTCTTATTACCATATTACTTGATTATTTTTGCCACATTACTTTCTAGAACAGTTGTGTCAATCTGTTTTCTTGTTGGGAAGGTAAAATGCAAACATTAGATGTCTAGAACCCAATAAAAAAGACAATGTAAACAAGTTGTATTAGTTTGTTCTCACACCATTATGAAGAAATACCTGAGACACAGTAATTTAAAAAAACAAAAAAACAGAAGTTTAATGGACTCACAGTTCCACATGGCTGGGGAGGCCTCAAAATCACAGTGGAAGGGAAAAGAGGAGCAAAGGCAAGTCTTAGAAGGCAGCAGGCAAGAGAGTATGTGCAGAGGAACGGCCCTTTATAAAACCTTCAGGTCTCATGAGACTTATTCACTATTGTAAGAACAGCAAGAGAAAAAAAACCCGCTCCCATGATTCAGTTGAGTCCTGTCAGGTCCATCCCATGGCATGTAGGGATTATGGGAACTAAAATTCAAGATGATATTTGGTTGAGGACACAGCCAAATCATATCATTCTGCCCCTCACCCCTTCCTTTCAAATCTCATTTTCTCACATTTCAAAACACAATCATGCCTTCCCAACAGTCCCCCAAAATCTTAACTGCTTTCAGCATTAACTCAGAAGTCCACAGTCCAATGTGTCATCTGAGAAAAGGCAAGTCTCTTCGGCCTGCAAGCCTGTAAAATCGAAAGCAAGCTGGTTACTTCCTAGATACACGGGGGTGAAGGCATTGGGTAAATACACCCAAATGGGAAAAAATGGCAAAACGAACAGGCTACAGGCCACATAAAAGTCCAAAATTCAGTGAGGCTGTTAAATATTAAAGCTCCAAAATGACCTCCTTTGACTGAAGGTCCCACATCCAGGTCACACTGATGCAAGAGGTAGGCTCCCACAGCCTTGGGCAGCTCTGCCCCTGAGACTTTGCAGGGTACAGGCTCTCTCCTGGGTACTTTCACAGCATTTTCCACCCCTGCTGAAAACTTCTGCCTGGACATCCAGGCATTTCCATACATCCTCTGAAATCTATCTAGAGATTCCCAGCAAGATCACCATCTACATCTGAGACCACCTCAGCCTGGATTTTATTGTTCATTTCACTATCAGCATTTTGGTCAAAGCCATCCAACAAGTCTCTAGGAAGCTCTAAACTTTCTCACATTTTTCTGTCTTCTTCTGAACCCTCCAAACTCTTTCAACCTCTGCCTGTTACCCAGTTCCAAAGTTGCTTCCACATTTTTCAGTATCTTAATAGCAGTACCCCACTCTACTGATACCAATTGACTGTATTAGCTCATTCTCATACTGCTATGAAGAAATAACAAGACTGGGTAATTTATAAAGAAAAAGGTTTAAAGGACTCACAGATTCACATGGCTGGGGAGGCCTCACAATCATGTCAGAAGGCAAAGGAGGAAGAAAGGCATGTTTTACATGGTGGAAAGCAAGAGAGCATGTGCAGGGGAACTGCCCTTTATAAAACCATCATATCTCATGAAACAGTCACTATCACGAGAACAGCACTGGAAAAACCCACCCCCATGATTCAATTACTTCCTGCTTGGTGTCTCCCATGATAAATGGGGATTATGGGAGTTACAGTTGAAGATGAGAATTGGAGTGGGACACCGTCAAACCATATCACAAATAGTAGAAAAAGACCTACAGCACATTAACATAGTTGCGTTACCACACAGGCTTTAAAATTAAAGTTATTTTTGCATGAAATAAAACACGAGAAATATGTTTTTGCATGAAACAATGAAAATAGTCAATAAAATAATGGAAAGTATGGTAACTTAAATAATTGGATTCATGAGAAATAACCAAATAAATATTCTAGAGATTAAAAATGCAGTGTCTCAAACTTAGGCCATATAAAATATGTTTAACAGCAAACAGGACATGGCAGAAGACAAATTAGTAAAATGGAAAAGATATCAATGGAAAATAGTCAATATGAAGCACAGGGCAATAATGATTTTTTTTTACTGGACACAGTGTAAGGAAAATGTGAGCACATTAAAATATCTAACATATATGTTGTTAGAGGTACAGAAAGAGAAGAGAGAGAAAATAGAGCAGATGTAATATTTGAATATGTAATACCAAAAATTGATAGACTTCAATTGACAAATTCAAGAATATGAGTGAACCCCAACCAAAATAAAAACAAAGAGAACCCCATGTATATGCTTAGTCAAATTACTGTAAGCTGAAGTCAAAGTGAAAAAACATATCTTAAAAAAATAGCTGTGATTTGGGAAGAGACATACAATGTTACTTTCAAATCAGCCACAGTAATACTAACAACTAGATTATTTTCCATAAGAAATGGAGCCAGAAGACAATAGAAAGTTATTATTAAAATACTAAGTAAAACAAAATCCTAATAAAGAGAAAGACCTACCAACCTATGATAGTATCCCTAATAAAAATATCACTCAAACTGAAAGCTAAATAAATCATTTTCAAACAAAAGATTGATGAGATAATTCATCAGCAGAACTGCTAAGTGAATTTCTCAAGCTGAAATCAATGATGATACCACATGAGAAGCAGAATCACAGTAAAAAAAAAATGAAGAGTATTAGAAGCTTTAATATATAAATAATTATAAAATAATATTTTAATAATATTGTTAACACAGAAACAACAAAATCTTGGTAGATTTATAATAAATATGTATATAAATATATGACAAATATCACAAAAGGCATGGAAATGGTGCGAATAGTTATATATGCTTTGTAAAATTTGTGCAGTTTTATAAAAATATTAGTACTACTAAAAAATGGTTGATTATAATAACTAGGAATGCATTCTGTAACCTAAAGATGTTAATAAAAATTAATAAAAGAATGTACAAGTAAAACTTAATATAATAGAACTAATTGTATAAGAATGATGATTAATTGAAAATAAATAAATTTACCAAAAACAAAGAAGAAATAATGAAACAAGTTGCAAAATGGTTGACTTGAACCTACCTATGTTAGTAATTGTTTTAAATGTACATGTACTAAACACTCTAATTGAAAAGCAAACTGTCGGAACAATTAGAAAATACAACTAGATGCTGTTTAAAAAGGACAAATATTAACTACAACAACACAGAAAGTCTGGAAGAGAAAGGACAGAAAAGATATACCACACAATCTCTAAATAAAGTTACTGTAGGTAAATATAAACTATATCAAAATATCAGACCATGTTGAAAGTAACAACTTTTATTCTTTGGACCATAAACCCACACACAGAAGAAGATTATTAAAATATGCATTTAACAAAAGATTTTATTTAGAATAGATAAAGAAATCCTGGAAGTCATTAAAAACAAGATAGGCAATTAAATTTAAAACTAAATGGTAGGCTGGATACAGTGGCTCAGTCTTGTAAACCCAGCACTTTGGGAGGCTGCGGTGAGAGAATTGCTTGAGTCTAGAAGTTTGAGACCATCCTGGGCAACATAGCGAGAACCTTTCTTTAAAAAAAAAATAAAAATTAGCCAGGCTTGGTGGTGTGTACTCCAGAGGCTGAAGTGGGAGGATTACTTTATCCCAGGAATTCAAGACTGCAGTAAACTACGATCATGCCACTGTACTCTAGACTGGGTGACAGAGAGTCTAGTCTCTGTCTATAAATAAATAAATAAATAAATATAACATAGTAAAAGAACCTGAACAAGACTTTCAGAAAATGATATGTACATGACCAATAAGCACATAGGATAATGATCAACGCAACTAGTCATTAATCGAATGAAAATAGAATCACAATGAGACACTACTACAGACCTACTGATGACTAAAATTAAAAAGACAAATAATACCAAATGTTGACAAGGATGTAAAGGAACTGACAATCCCATATTTTGCCAGTGGAAATATAAATTGCTGTCAGTTTTTCAGAAATAATTTTGGCTGTTTCTACTATATCTAAGAATACATACATCTGGTGAGCCAGCAATTTCACTCCAAGAGAAATGAGTTCTTACCTTCACCATGACATGAGCAAGAATATTCATAACAGTTTTATACATTATAGCCATAAACATAAACTGCCAGTTAAACGAGGAGTTTGAGGAGATTTTGGTTGAAAAGTACAAAGATTTAGTTAGAATGATGAATAAGTTCCAGAGCACTATTGTACAGCATGGTGACTGTAGTTAATAGTTAACATAATGTATACTTTAAAATTGTTTATAGAGTAGATCTTACCTGCCTTCAACACCAAAAAATAATAAGTACGTATGGTGATGGATATGTTTATTAGCTTGATCCCGTCATTCCTCACTTTATACATATATAAAAATATCATATATGCTTCAAATATATATATAGTTTTTTGTTAATTATAGCATAGTGAAGCTGAAACAAGATAAAATAAAATGTGGGGGAGTTTTACCATATGGAGAAGCTGGTAATAGCACAATAACAATAATAATAACAGTAATAATTGTTATATAACCCAAATATTTCAAAGAATGAATGATAGTTAAAAGCTACATATCTTATATTACAATTTTAGTTATACTATTTATCTAAAGAAGCCAAAGCTTAAATATAATTAATTGATATTTTAAAAAGTAAATACTTTTATCGGGAAATGCAGAAAAGAGAGCACTTTCCAGCTTTCAGTAGAAAGCCAGCATTGTCCTGACATCAAAATCTGATACGTAAATTATAATAGAAAACTACAGAAAAATGTCTGTCATGAATATAGATGCAAAAAAATTTATAAAACATTAGGATACAAAATCCATCAATTTATAAAATGTATACTACATCATAACCAAGTGGATTTTTTACCTGGAATTTAATATTGGTTTAATATTTGAAAATCAATCAGCGTGATTCACCATGAACAGAGAAGCGGAGAAAAATCAGAAAATTAGAAGTGCATTTCCTTTATCTGATAAATAACATCTAAGAAAACCTTCAATTTATATCATATTTATTGGTGAAAAACTGAGCTCTAAACCGGGGAAGAAGAAAAAGGTATCTGTGCACACCATTTGAAGTCAAAATTGTAATGAAAGCCATAACAAGTAAGACAAGGTTGAAAAAATATGCAAGGCCTCAGCCTGAGAAGCAAGAATTAAAGCTCTCCTTATATGAAGATTACATGATCATAGATGTAGAATATAGTAAAAAATGCACAGAAAATCTACTAGTGCTAGCAAATGACTTTTGCACATATTCAGGATACAGTGTGAATATATAGAAAAAATAGATTTTTTGCTTACTAGTAACAAACAATTGGAAAGATTTAAAATATCACTCAAACTAACACAATATGAAACAATTGGATATGAATTTAACAAAATACATGCAAAAATTATACACTGTAACACATAAACATTGCTGAGAAAAAGTTAAAAAGCCATAAATGAGTGGGGAAAGATATTGTATTCATGAATTTGAAGTTCCAATATTGTTAAGATGCCCATATTCATAAAATGTTACATAGATTTATTGTAATCTCACACGAACATGAGGATTTTTAAAAAAATGGTTAAGTGGATTTGAAACTTATAAGAAGCAAAAGACCTATAATGCAGAAAAACAATTTTGAAAAAGAAGCCCAACGTTGTAATACTAACATTAGCAAATTGAAGACTCAATATATAACTGCTGTATATGATCAATTGATTTTCTGACTAAGGTGCTAAGGTAACTAAGTATGGAATTAATAATATGTCAACAAATAGTTCTGAGAAAAACAGGACATCTGTAGATAAAAAAATACATATTTACATTTATCTCACTCCATATACAAAAATGAACTGGAAATGCATCATAGATCTAAATATAACAACCAAAATTAAAAGCTTTTAGAAAAAATTGTAGGAAGATGTTGCTGACTTTGAGGTAGGCAAAGGGTTCTTAGACATATAAGAACAAATTCTAGTCATAGAAGAAAAATGATCTGATACAGCTGAAAACGTCACTATAAGAATTTTATAATACAATCAGAAATATCAACAAGAGAAAGGAATAAGCAGAGGAAAGAATCTCAGTGTTCAAAAAAATCCGTTCTTTGAATCAACTCAGTCAGACAATTATAAAGAAAAAAGAATAAAAAGAATGATTAAAACCTCTGAAAAATATGGGATTACGTAGACACCAAACCTATGACTCATTGGTCATTGTGTTGTGGGAATTGAGGGACTAGAGAGACCAATGTGTGGAACAGGAGAATTTTATTTAGGTGACCACTGGCTCAGTGAACTAACATCCACAGGCTGAGCCCTGAACAAAGACAGGGCTCCACTTTTATACATGCATCTGAAAAGGGTGTGAAATCTGTAAGGCGGGTAAGCAAGCTTACAGAAGCAGAACAAAGGCAGTTTATCAACCAGTGACAGGTTTTACAACTCAAGCCAGGTGTTGCAACTCAGGCATATCTTGTGACCTTCGTTGTGCTGCACAGAAGGGAAAAACAGGAACTTACAAAACTTGCAAAGATAATTGTGAGAATAGTAAGGGGGAAAGTGGAAGCTGAAAGAGAAAAACTTGTTTTTCCCAACCTTGCTCTGGGTTTGGAGGGAGAGACTCTGGAGCCCATTCCTTCTTAGCCTTGGCTCTGCAGATAGTGCTATCAAAGCCTCCACAGAGCCCTGCCCTTCCCTGGGTCTTGGAGTGAGTGAGCCTAGTACAGAAAAACTTGTTTTTCTTTTTATATCTTCTGCTTCAATTGGTGTCCTTGAAAGAAAGTGAGAGAGAGCAAACAACTTGGAAAACATATTTAAGGATATTGTACACAAGATTTTCATCAACATTACTATAGAGGTCAACATTCATATCCAGGAAACTCAGATAACCCCTGTGAGATACCATACAGGATGACCATTCCCAAGACACATAGTCCTTGATCCTCCAAGGTCAAAGAAAAAGAAAAAATATTAGTGGGAACTAGAGAGAAGAGACAGACAAATAGAGAAAGAAAGAAGGAAGGAAGGAAGAAAGAAGAAAGAAAGGAAAGAAAGAAAGAGAAAGAAAAAGAGAGAGAGGGAGGACGGAAGGAAGGAAGGAAGGAAAAAAAAGAAAAGAAAAGAAAGGAAAACAGAAACAAAATATCAGGCCAACAATGGACCATTCAGCAGAAACCCTACAAGCCAGAAGAGACTGGGGACCTATATTCAGCATTGTTAAAGAAAAGAAATTTCAACCAAGAATTTAATATCTAGCCAAACTACACTTCATAAGTGAAGGAAACATTAAATATTTATTAGACCAAGAAAATGCTGAGAGAATTTGTTACCACCAGAGCTGCCATATAAGAGTTCCTTAAGGGAGTACTAAATTTGGAAACAAAAGGCCCTAACCAGCTATTGCAAGAATCATTGACAATGTAAATGAACAACACAATCAAGTCATCATAACAACTAGCTTACAACACAATAACAGAATTAAATCCACAGGTATCAATATTAACATCCAATGAAAATGGCTACATGCTCCACCTAAAAAGCACAGAGTGACAAATTGGGTAAAGCAGCCAAACATAACTGTATACTGCCTTCAAAATAGCCATCTGACATGCAATGACACCCATAAGCTCAAAGTAAAGAGGTAGATAATAACTTATCATCAAACAGAAAGAAAAATGAGCAAGGGCTGCTATTCTTATTTCAGACAAAACAGACTTTAAACCAACAATCATCAAAAAGGACAGAGAAGAGCGTTACATAATGATAAAAGTTTCAATTCAAAAATATGTGACTATTCTATCTATATATGGACCCAATACAGGAGCCCCCAGATTCATCAAACAAGTTCTTAGAGACACACAAATAGACAGATAACCACACGGTAAAACTGGGAGACTTCAACATTCCAGTAAAGGAATTAGACAAATCATCAAAGCAGAAAACTAACAAAGACATTCAGGACCCAAATTTGATACTTAACTAAATAGACCTAACCTCTACCAAACCTTCCACCCAACAACAACAGAATATACATTATTCTCATCTGCACATGGCACATACCCTGAAATTGACCACACAGTCATAAAGCAATTCTCGACAAATTCATAAAAACTGATATCACACCAACCACACTCTCAGACCACAGTGCAATATAAATAGAAATCAATATCAATAAGATTTCTGAAAATTATAAAATTACATTAAAATTAAACAACCTGCTGCTGAATTACTTTGGGTAAAGAATAAAATTAAGGCAGAAATCAAGAAATTCTTTGAAACTAGTGAAAACAAAGATACAACGTACCGGAATCTCTGGGGTGTAGCAAAAATAGTGTTAAGAGGACAGATTATGACACTAAATGTCTACATCAAAAAGTTAGAAAGATCTAAAATTAACAACCTAACATGACACCTAGAAGAACTAGAAAAATAAGAGGCAACCAACACCCAATCTGCCAGAAGAAAAGAAATAACCAAAATCAGAGTTGATCTGAAGGAAATTAAGAAGGGAAAAATAATGCAAAAGATGCAAAAAACCAAAACTTGGTTTCTTGAAAGAATAAATAAGTTTGATACACTTCTAGTTAGAATAATGGGAAAAATAAGAAGATTTAAATAGAAACATTCAAAAATGAGAAGAACACATTACTACTGACTATACAGAAATACAAAAAACCCTCAGGGACAATTACAATCACATCTATGCACACAAATTAGAAAACCTAGAAGAATTAAATAAATTCCTGGAAACACAAAACCTCCCAAGATTTAACCAAATGTAAATTAAAACCATAAACACACCTCTAAGGAGTTCTAAAATTGAATCACTAATAAAAAGCTGATCAACCAGAAGAAGCACAAGACCAGTTGAATTCACAGTCAAGTAGTACTACCAGACATATAAAGAAGAGCTGGTATTAATTCTACTGAAACTGTTCCAAAAAGTTGAAGAGGAGGCACTCCTCCCTATCTCATCCCATAAAGCCCACATCATTCTGATACCCACACCAGTCAAACACACTGCAAAAAAGGAAACTTTAGGTCAACTTTCCCAATAAACTTAGATGTAAAATTCTTCAACACAATACAAACAAAGTTAATCCAGCAACACATCAAAAAGCTAATCCACCATGATCAAGTAGGCATCATTCCTGGGATGCAAAGTTGGGTCAATATATGCAAATCAATAAATGTGATGCATCACATAAACAGAACTAAAACCAAAAACCACGTGATTATAGATGTAGAAAAGACTTTCAATAAAACTGAACTTCCTTTGTGTTAAAAACCCTTGACAAACTAGGCATCAAAGGAAGATAGCACAAAATACTAACAGCCATCTATGACAAACCCATTGCCAACATAATACTGTACAGGTAAAAGCTAGAAGCATTCCCTTTGAGAACCAGAATTAAACAAGGATACCCACTTTTACAACTCCTATTGAACAAAGTATTGGACATCTTAGGCCCATTCTATTTCCGCAGAAGAATAATGAGATGTTCAACAAAGCTGACGATAAGAAGCAATGGGAAAAGGATTCTCTATTCACTAAATGGTGCTGTGATAACTGGCTAACCATATGCAGAGGATTGATACTGAATTACTTCATTTCCCCATATCCCAAAATCAACTCAAGATGGATTATAGACTTAAATGTAAAACCCAAAACTATAAAAACCCTAGAAGAAAACCTATGAAATACCATTCTGGACATAGGTCCTGGCAAAGGTTTCATAAAAAAAAATCCAAAAGCTACTGCAACAAAAATAAAAATTGACAAGTGAACCTAATGAAACTAAAGAGCTTCTGCACAGTAAAAGAAACCGTCAACAGAAAAAACAGACAATCTACAGAATGACGGAAAATATTTGCAAACTATGCATCCAACAAAGGTCTAATGTTCAGAATCTATAAGACACTTGAACAAATTAACAGGCAAAAAACAAACAACCCCATTTAAAAAATGGGCAAAGGCCATGAACAGACACTTCTCAAAAGAAGACATATATGTGGCTAACAAGCATATGAAAAATGCTCAATATCACTAATCATAAGAGAAATGCAAATCAAAACCACAATGAGATACCATCTAATAACAGTCAGAATGGCTATTATCAAAAAGTCAAAAAATAACAGATTCTGGTGATGTTATAGAGAAAACCATTTGACCCAGCAATCCTATTCCTGGGTATATACCCAATGGAATATAAATAGTTCTAACGTAAAGACACATGCACTCATATGTTCTTCACAGCACTATTCACAATGGGAAATCAACATAGATGCCCATCAGTGGAGGACTGGATAAAGAGAATATGGTACATGTACACCATGGGATACTATGCAGCCATAATAAAGAAGAAAATTGTGTCTTTTGCAGCAACATGGATGGAGCTGGAGGCCATTATCCTAAATGAATTAATGCAGAAAAAGAAACCAAATACCACATATTCTCACTTATAGGTAGAAGTTACACAATGAGTACACGGGAACACAAAACATGGAACAGTAAATACCACAGCCTACTTGAAGGTGGAGGGTATGAGGAGGGTGAGGATTGAAAATCCACCTACTGGGTACTAGGATTATTATCCAGATGATAAAATGATCTATACACCAAACCTTCACAGGTACTCCCAAACCTAAAATAAATGTTGGAAAGAAAAAAAAAACACATTATTCCTCAAGAGTGTTTACACAAATAGCACACTTACTGTAAAAGCCAGAAAATGGAAATAACTGACCAATGAAGAAATAAATTGTGGTTCATCCATATGGTGTGTACTGAATTTAAGAGTATCCCCTTCAAAGTTATGTCCACCCAGAAGGTGTGAATAGGATCTTATTTGGATATAGGATCTCTGCGTATGTAGTCAAGTTAAGATGTGGTCATGAAGGATTAGGGTAAATTCTAATCCAGTGACTGGTGTCCCTATAAGAAGAGGGAAACTTCGACACCAATATACTCAGAGGAAAATGGCTATGTAAAGACAGAGGCTGAGATTAGATTTATGCTGCCACAACCTGAAGAAGAGCAAGGATTGATGGTAACTCCCAGAGGCTAGAAGAGGCAAGAAAGAATATTTTGATAGAGCTTTTGGAGGCAATATGGACTTGCCATACTCATTGATTTTGAACTTTTATTCTCCAAGAACTTTGAGATGATAAAATTCTGTTATTTTTAGCTGCACAGTTTGTGGTAATTTGTTATGGCAGCCTTAGAAAGTAGTACATAGAGGATGTTACCCAGAAAAAACATAAATGAACCCTTGATATACAAAACATGGATGTATTTTAAAAAAAAAATTTAAAAAGAAGTTGAAATGAAAAATGCATGTAGTATGATGTCCTTTATATACAGTTTTAGAAAGGTAAAACTGTTAATAAGATAAAGGAGACCAGTATTTTCCTTTGTTCAGATGTGTGAGGAATTCACTGCAAAGAGCATGAGGTAGTTTTATGAGAAAAAAAGAAATACTCAATATCTTTTTCTATATAGTTATTGATGTATATACATTTGTCAATATAAATCAAATTGTACACTTAAAATGACTGCATTTTATGCTATACAAATCATAGCTCAGTAAAGTTTATTTTAAACAGAAAAGAAATATATGCATTGTAGAAAACTTAAAAATATATTTAAAATGATGTTTATATAATTGTATTAGAAGGAAATCACTGTTAAATTTTGACACAATCATGTTCTATCCTAACTTTCTCACTTGTCACATCAATTTCCCAAATCAACAAGACACTTTAATAGGACTATAACTTTCTAATCTGTATGACAGTTGATATAGTTTGGGTGTCTTCTCTAAATCTCATGTTGAGATGTAATCCTCAGTATTGGTGTTGGGGCCTGGTGAGAGGTGTGTGGATCATGGGAGCACATCCCTCATGAATGGCCTACCAACATTTCCTTGGTGATGAGTGAGTTTACACAAGATCTAGTTGTTTAAAAGTATGTGGTACATCCCCCCTTCTCTCTTGCTCCTGCTCTGGCCTTGTGACATCCCTCCTCCCGCTTCACCTTTCACCATGAGTGAAAGCTCCCTTGAGGCCGACTCTGAAGCTGAGCAGTTGCTATTAATAGCACCATGCTTGTACAACCTGCAGAACCCTGAGTCAATTAAACCTGTTTTCCTTATAAATTACCCAGTTTCAGATATTCCTTTATAGCAATGTGAGAAAAACCTAACACCACAGTCTCATATTACAATTATATAATTTCTTTAAATTTTAAATATAGGTTTGGTAAGCTATTGATTATTGCCACAATTTCAGAGCCTGTTATTGGTCTATTCAGAGAGTCAACTTCTTGCTGGTTTAGTCTTGGGAGGGTGTATCCATGACCAGATGGATTCACAGTCGAATTCTACCAGAGGTACAAGAAGGAACTGGTACCATTCCTTCTGAAACTATTCCAATCAATAGAAAAAGAGGGAATCCTCCCTAACTCATTTTATGAGGCCAGCATCATCCTGATACCAAAGCCGGGCAGAGACACAACAAAAAAAGAGAATTTAGACCAATATCCTTGATGAATATTGATGCAAAAATCCTCAATAAAATACTGGCAAACTGAATCCAGCAGCACATCAAAAAGCTTATCCACCATGATCAAGTAGGCTTCATCCCTGGGATGCAAGGCTGGTTCAATATACGCAAATCAATAAATGTAATCCAGCATATAAACAGAACCAAAGACAAAAACCACATGATTATCTCAATAGATGCAGAAAAGGCCTTTGACAAAATTCAACAACCCTTCATGCTAAAAACTCTCAATAAATTAGGTATTGATGGGATGTATCTCAAAATAATAAGAGCTATCTATGACAAACCCACAGCCAATATCATACTGAATGGGCCAAAACTGGAAGCATTCCCTTTGAAAACTGGCACAAGACAGGGATGCCCTCTCTCACCACTCTTATTCAACATAGTGTTGGAAGTTGTGGCCAGGGCAATTAGGCAGGAGAAGGAAATAAAGGGTATTCAATTAGGAAAATAGGAAGTCAAATTGTCCCTGTTTGCAGATGACATGACTGTATATCTAGAAAACCACATCGTCTCAGCCCAAAATCTCCGTAAGCTGATAAGCAACTTCAGCAAAGTCTCAGGATACAAAATCAATGTATAAAAATCGCAAGCATTCTTATACACCAATAACAGATAAACAGAGAGCCAAATCATGAGTGAACTCCCATTCACAATTGCTTCAAAGGCAATAAAATACCTAGGAATCTAACTTACAAGGGACGTGAAGGACCTCTTCAAGGAGAACTACAAACCACTGCTCAATGAAATAAAAGAGGATACAAACAAATGGAAGAACATTCCATGCTCATGGGTAGGAAGAATCAATATCATGAAAATGGCCATACTGCCCAAGGTAATGTATAGATTCAATGCCATCCCCATCAAGCTACCAATGACTTTCTTCACAGAATTGGAAAAAACTACTTTAAAGTTCATATGGAACCAAAAAAGAGCCCGCATCGCCAAGTTAATCCTAAGCCAAAAGAACAAAGCTGGAGGCATCACACTACCTGACTTCAAACTATACTACAAGGCTACAGTAACCAAAACAGCATGGTACTGGTACCAAAACAGAGATATAGATCAATGGAACAGAACAGAGCCCTCAGAAATAATGCCGCATATCTACAACTATCTCATCTTGGACAAACCTGAGAAAAACAAGCAATGGGGAAAGGATTCCCTATTTAATAAATGGTGCTGGGAAAACTGGCTAGCCATATGTAGAAAGCTGAAACTGGATCCCTTCCTTACACCTTATATAAAAATTAATTCAAGATGGATTAAAGACTTAAACGTTAGACCTAAAACCATAAAAACCCTAGAAGAAAACCTAGGCATTACCATTCAGGACATAGGCATGGGCAAGGACTTCATGTCTAAAACACCAAAAGCAATGGCAACAAAAGCCAAAATTGACAAATGGGATCTAATTAAACTAAAGAGCTTCTGCACAGCAAAAGAAACTACCATCAGAGTGAACAGGCAACCTACAGAATGGGAGAAAATTTTCGCAACCTACTCATCTGACAAAGGGCTAATATCCAGAATCTACAGTGAACTCAAACAAATTTACAAGAAAAAAACAAACAACCCCATCAAAAAGTGAGCGAAGGACATGAACAGACACTTCTCAAAAGAAGACATTTATGCAGCCAAAAAACACATGAAAAAATGCTCACCATCACTAGCCATCAGAGAAATGCAAATCAAAACCACAATGAGATACCATCTCACACCAGTTAGAATGGCAATCACTAAAAAGTCAGGAAACAACAGGTGCTGGAGAGGATGTGGAGAAATAGGAACACTTTTACACTGTTGGTGGGACTGTAAACTAGTTCAACCCTTGTGGAAGTCAGTGTGGCAATTCCTCAGGAATCTAGAACTAGAAATACCATTTAACCCAGCCATCCCATTACTGGGTATATACCCAAAGGACTATAAAACATGCTGCTATAAAGACACATGCAGACGTATGTTTATTGTGGCACTATTCACAATAGCAAAGACTTGGAACCAACCCAAATGTCCAACAATGATAGACTGGATTAAGAAAAGGTGGAACATATACACCATGGAATACTATGCAGCCATAAAAAATGATGAGTTCATGTCCTTTGTAGGGACATGGATGAAATTGGAAATCATCATTCTCAGTAAACTGTTGCAAGAACAAAAAACCAAACACCGCATATTCTCACTCATAGGTGGGAATTGAACAATGAGAACACATGGACACAGGAAGGGGAACATCACACTCTGGGGACTGTTGTGGGGTGTGGGGAGGGCGGAGCGATAGCTTTAGGAGATATACCTAATGCTAAATGACGAGTTAATGGGTGCAGCACACCAGCATGGCACATGGATACATATGTAACTAACCTGCACATTGTGCACATGTACCCTAAAACTTAAAGTATAATAATAATAAAATAAAAAAATAAAATTTTAAATATAGGTTTTTAATAGTTTTTGCTTTAAATTATTCAATTCAATTTTACTTATTCTGATACACGGTTTCAGAATAAAAATAATTATTAATAGTGTTTTGCAGTTATGATATTTTTAATTTTATAATTATTTAAAAGTACCTTTTCTTATCTATTTACACATATTCTTGATTGTTTAGATATTATAATGTAGTCAAGGACTCGGTACATCTAGGCTGATAGCAAAACATTCACTCTTGTTCTGATTTGCCTATTATATATTTCAGTGATGATTCATGAAGGTTTTCTTGTTTTTACTTTTTAAAATAATTTCACGTAATTTTAGGTGACAGAATAATTTTTATGTTTCGAAATTAATAAAGGTGAATTAATGTCATGTGGAGATACATTATATATATATATTCAAGTGAATTCGTCCAGAAAGATGGAATTTTAAATTTCCATTTCTTAAGTCTCTCAGTAATTTCTAAAATTTCTTAAGATATTATCTATGTTATTTGTATTAATTTTTTATTTTATTTTACAATTTCATTGTTTCTTCAAATATATATTTCTATTATATTTTCTAACCTGTAATATCTCATTTATAAGGAAATTATTGATTTTGTATATTTAGTTTATAATCATCCAGTTTACTTCTATTACTTGCAGTATTTTGTAGTTGCCTCTTTTGCATTTTCTATTTTTCTAATCATAGCACCTTAAAATAACGATTATTTTGTCATCAATTTTCAAATAGGTAAATTACTGATTCTTTTCTTATTGTCTGAGCAATACACTCAGACTAGTATTAAATAATCCTGATGACAGTGCATATTATTTCTTGTCTTTTATTCCAATGAAAATAATGTTGGCTCTTAGGTTATGGTAAACTTGCACTGTGGCTAAGAGTATGTCCTATGGAGAAATTCTGCATTTCCTAGTTGAACTTTCAGTGACTCAAACTCCTGAGCCTTTTTCTTCATTTGAAATAAAGAAGCTGATAGTGCCTTATCTTATAGAGTTATTGTAAGGATTAAATGAGGTAACAAATGTAAAATGTTTACTACGGTGGCCAACATATTCTAAGGGCTCAATGTTAGTAACATCAGGTATGAATGCTAAATTAAATGTCTTTCTGTGGACATTTCTTCTGTGGAGCTATTTTTTTCTCATTCTATTTATGTTATAGATAAAATATGATTTAGTATAGTAACATATTCATAAAAGAAAATATAAAGCTATTTTTTCATTGATGAAACAATAATTTCCTCACCACAGAATAGCATCATTTTATACACAAATGAGTTTGATTTGCTAGGGGGGGTTTGTTGAAAATATATTTTAAATTAGCATGTGCATGATCAGGCTGTACAACTTTGTGTTATTATCTATAAGGTCATGGTATTAGTTTTAAACTAGCTTAGCAAAATATAAATCTTAGTTATTTTTATAAGTGACAGAAGAGTTTATACAGCATATTAATTATCCGATCTTGAAATTTTAAATAAATTCTCTGTAAAACCAAATGAAACTAGTGCTATATTTTTAGTAATGCTTTATTACCTTTTTTAATATTTTCCATTGTCATTGTTTCTTTCAAGACTTTTGCTTTAAGATAATTTTATTTTGCATAGAAACTTATACTTTAAATTAGAAATTATACTTATTAGCATATTTTATTGACAGTATTATCTTATAATTTTAAAATATCTTTATTGTGATTTTATTTTCTTAATGATTAAAATTTGATTTATGTTCGAGTTCTCTTCTTGATTACAATTTCAAAATACTTTTCTTATCATTCATTTTTTCTTATACATTTTATAAACAGTACATTATATTGTGCATAGTGTTTTGTATACTGCTTTTGATCAATTAAGTTCTTTAAACACCATTAATTTTACTTGTATATCATAATTTTCCTATATGTGGTGTTTTTTTGGGGTAATAGCCTCATTGGTATATAATTCACATACCATACAATTCACTTATTTAAGGAGTACAATTCAATGGCTTTTAGGATGTATACGAAGGTAAGAAACCATTAATACAACCAATTTCAGGAGATTTTCATTACTCTTAAATAAACATCCACACTCATTATTTCAATGCTTGCATACCATTGAATTATGCAGGCACAGTGTGGTTACTAAAATATTCTCAATTATTGAACAATTAGATTATTTATACATTATGATATTGTTCCCAATACATAGACATGATAAATATTGGATGTGATGTGAACCCCAAATACATTGACTTGATCATTACACATTCTATGTTGGTAAAAAATATCACATGCATCCTATAAATATGTATAAATATTTCTCAACAATTTTTTGAATTAAATATTCTGATGAACATTCCTGCAGCCAAACTTTGTGTAAGAACGCTATGAGCATACGTGCAAAAACTACCAGATATATACCAAAAGCCTTAAACATCTGGTAACTTTTCATGGAGAAATACCTTCCTTCTAGATCATTCAACCATGGCTATTAGCATTTTTTAAATGGTAAACATTAGAAAAGTCATGTTATATTTGTATATTATTTTGCCTTCCTTCAGGTGATACCAAGTGGAATATTTTTTATATTTTGATTAGCTGTTGTGGTTTATTTTCTGCCTCAGAAGTATATTAAAAGTTTTTTGTTTTTGTCCTTTTCAGTTTTTGAAAATAACCATGTCTTTTGTAACTGTTTTGTATCTTATTTCAGTTGCTGCTCTGTCTTCTTTTTTTAATTAAGGCAATATTAGCCTTATTTTTCCGTGTTTTTAATGACAATGCAGTTGTGTTTTTACTTTTTTAGAAATGATATTCCTAGTTTCTTAGGAACTTGTTTTTCATCAACAGTGGTAATTCATCAAATTGGTAATGAAATTTATCAACTGAATTTTTAGTATCTTTCCAGATTACCATTGATTTTACTTGATGATATATGTTATTACATTTATTGATGTTAAGCCACTTTGCATGTTAAGCGTAAAACCTTTTTCTAACCAACTTATATTTGGATGACATACCATTGTGTTTTATTTTCTAGAATTCTCATATCTATATTCAAATCTCATTGCAGTTTTTGTGTTATATTTCTGTTTTTTAATATACAGGTATTTCTTGCTTGGCAAAGTGATTAGCATGTTTTGATATTTTTTCTATTGTAGGAGAGTTTGGTTTAGAATTCATAATTTCTTGAAAGTATGGAGATATTTCAGTGTAAAGTTGTCTGGCTTTTCAGATTATTTTGAGCTAAGTATTTGACATAATTGTTTTTTAATTTTTTTTTTTTTTTTTTGAGACGAAGTCTCACTCTGTCACCAGGCTGGAGTGCAGTGGCGCAATCTCGACTCACTGTAACCTCCGCGTCCAGGGTTCAAGTGATTCTCCTGCCTCAGCCTCCCGAGTAGCTGGGACCACAGGTGCATGCCATCACGCCCAGCTAATTTTTGTATTTTTAGTAGAGACAGGATTTCACCCTGTTGGCCAGGATGGTCTCGATCTCTTGATCTTGTGATCCGACTGCCTCAACCTCCCAAAATGCTGAGATTACAGGTGTGAGCCACCGCGCCCGGTCCTATCTGAGATAATTTTGATTTTAATTTTAATTCTTTTGAACTTCTATTTTAGATAGGAGGGTATATGTACACGCTCATTACATGGTTGCATTGCACCCAGATAGTGAGCATGGTATCCAACAGGTAGTTTTTCGACCCATGACGTCTTCCTCTTCCCTCTAAAAGTCCACAGTGTCTATTGTTCCCATGTCATAATTTTTATTTTTTTCATAAGTATAGGTTGATTCACAGTTTAGAAGTTTTCTATTTTTTGTTTTGACATCCTGTGGTTTCCTAGAAAATAAGTCATATTTTCTAGATTTCCAAATTCATTAGCAAGGAGTAATACATATTTTCTCATACAATCAATAGTTATTAATACAGCTTCTTGCTATTCCTGATTTATTTGTATTTTATTATACATTATCCATTAAGCATGACAGAGGTTGCTGTAGTTTGTCTTTTGAACCAATTTATAGCTTTAAAAATAAATTAAAATATATTACTATTGTACAAATTGTTAATTCATAGTTTCATTATTTTTATTTACTTAAAAGTACAGATTATTTTCATTATTTCTCAGTAAAAAATGTAGTGATGCTACATGATGAATTTAATTTTGGCAGTTTCGGCTGTAGTCCATGTTTTAGTGAAAATCTTTGTTTTATAATCCTCTTGATATATATTTAGAATCAGTTTGGAATGAACATATGACTGATTGAGAAATGAATTCTGGAGGAATGAAACCAAAGAATACACGTTATTCAGTATCATATATATTTTCATTTGTGGTTAATTGGTACGATTCCAATAACTTCAGAGCTAGAGAATGTAAAAATAATATTGCAGTGTTACACAATCAAATTGAGATGGCATGAGGATTAAAATCTTTATGATAAAAACACAAACACAGAAACAACTCTGGCTTCATTTTTATGTCATGTGTCTTAACCTGGGGTTTAATAACCTAAAAAATAAATCTGGATACCACATCAAAGGGCTTTCAACGAGCTCTACAAAATGACATCCTGGCCAAAATTAGAGGTTTTGGTTTAAAAAGGGTGGAAAATAATTGAGGGTGTGGTGTGTGTGTGTGTGTGTGTGTGTGTGCAAATAGATAAATATAAGCCCTTTCTTTTATTTTGGTATCAATGCTAGTCCTAGGATACTTTCTCAGAGACCTATGACAAAGTAACTTTGGAAGTTTAATCATTTCTTACAAATTATTTTTTCAGAAAATTGACGTTTGAGTTACAAAAAAACATTAAACATTGCTCTAGTAACAGCATGTATATTGTCTTCACAAAATATTTAATGCCAAAACGATAATTTATGGAGAGAAAAATTGTATTTTCTTCCAAGCATGTGTAGTGAGTGTTTCAAAGGTAATCATGAAGCATAAGATAAACTAAGAAAAATGCATATACTGATAATGTATTTATATAGGAAATAAATAATGATAATACAAATTTACAAAGCTGAGAAAATTAAGGGAATGAATTGTGTCTGTTTTTATTTGAAAAGACTATTATAGTTAGTTGAGATGTAAGGGTTGAAATATGATTGCTATGATTCTTATACTTATCAGAATAATTTTACAGATGACATAGCATACAATTACTAGTATAATTACTACTCACTCCAGGAAATAATTGAAGTCATTTATTAATTTTGAGATTTTTTTTCCTTTTTTCCAAAACATTATCATAAGAGTTTTTCCATCTTTATATGGACAAGTGTATTCAGATTTTTCTCGTTTTTCAGATAGGAATAATATGTGCTAGGCACACAACTGATAACAACAACAAAAAAATAAAAACATGACAACAGGACTAGAGTATATCTACCCATGTGTACAAATGTGCCTGTGATATGAAGGGTGAAGTATTTGCCAACCAAATGGTAACTTGCCTTCTAAACTAGATTCCTTTCAAATCCAATACTTCCCCTTTATACTGACATGTTGGTTACCTACATTCAGAGGAATATTGTATATAGTCATACAACTAGTATTAGTCAGTCAGCATGCTAATTATAATACAATCATCTATGTGGTGAAAACTGCTGATGTAACATATTCAGCTCTGTCCACGTGGGGCTTTCATGCTTTTGGGTTTGATGTTCCCTACATCTAAAATGTCCTGGAATCGACAAACTAGCCTTAGAATAATTTCTCATCTTTCAAATCTGACTTTACGTGCCGTTTCACCTGTGAAGAATTTAAATTTTTTGGCCAATCTTAATTTGCCAAAGAAAATTGACTATGCTCTCTCCTTAGTCTTCAACTGTGCCCTGGCATGGCTAAAACTTAATTGAACGTACTTATTTTTGTAATGATAAATCCTTTGAAGTCAAATGCCATGTTCACTTGTTTCGATTCAACATTCCCAACACATTATCTCAAATATTATTTATTGATTGAATAAACGATTAAATGAATAAATGTATTAATGAATGAATAGAAATCAACAAGTCAATTAAGTTAATAAGCTGGTCAGATTTGTCACTTACACCTCAACCACCTCAAAGAAATTGGCTATTACCTTCAAAAGATGAAATATGAGCTTCTTTGGAAGTTACACGAGAAAACAGCATACTTGGTTGTTTTCTTAGGAATGTGTCACAATCATTTCATTATGACACCAACAACATCAAATTGGGCTCTCAATTTGCATTTAAGGGATTGACAAAACTAGGTGTATTACAAAGCTTCGCATGTTGGCTGAGTTGTAAGGACTCAAAAACAATAAATGGGTTCCTAACATGAATTTACCGTAAGACCCAGAAACTTCTCCTCTTTGGTTAATAACCAAACAAAGCAAAATGAGGTATTCAAACTAATCCCTCTACATGAATAATTATAGCAGCACTGTTCACAATAGCCAAAGGGGGAAAACAACGCAAATGTCCATCATCAACTGATAAATGAAAAAACAAATAATGAATTTCATACAATATCATGTTGTATAGCGATGAAAAGAAATGAAGTACTGATACATGCTACACTATGAATCTTCAAAATATTGTGCTAAAGGAAAAAAGCCAGACACAAGAGGTCCCATATTGTATGTTTTTATTTATATGAAATTTAAAGAATAGGCAAATCTGTAGAGACAGACACAGAAAGCAGGTTGATGGTTGTCAGGGGCTGAAAGAAATGGCTGCTTACTGTGAACAGAGTCTATTTAGGGTTGTTAAACAATTGTTAGAACTAGATAAAAGTGGTGGTCATACAGAATTGTGAATATACTAAATGCCACTAAATTGTATACTTTAATACAGTTAATTTTATGTTATGCGAATTTCACCTTGATTAAAAAAATACAGATGGCCGGGCGTGGTGGCTCCCGCCTGTAATCCCAGCACTTTGGGAGCCCGAGGCAGGTCGTTCATGAGGTCAGGAGTTTGAGACCAGCCTGGCCAATATGGTGAAACCCTGCCTCTACTAAAAATACAAAAATTAGCCAGGCTTCGTGGCACACACCTAAAATCCCAGCTACTTGGGAGGCTGAGGCAGAAGAATCGCTTGAACCCGGGAGGTGGAGGTTGCAGTGACCTGAGACTGTGCCACTGTACTCCAGCCTGGTCCACAGAGTGAGACTCCATCTCAAAAAAACAAAAAACAGGCCAGGCGCGGTGGCTCACGCCTGTAATCCTAGCACTTTGGGAGGTCGAAGCAGGTGGATCACCTGAGGTCGAGAGTCCAGACCAGCCTGGCCAACATGGTGAAACCCCATTTCTACTAAAAATATAAAAATTAGCTGGGCGTGGTGGCGTGTGCCTGTAATCCCAGCTACCTGGGAGGCTGAGGCAGGAGAATTGCTGGAACCCAGGAGGTGGAGGCTGCAGTGAGCTGAGATTGGGCCACTGCACTCCAGCCTGGGTGACAGAGTGAGACTACATCTCAAAAAAAAAACAAAACAATAACAACAACAACAGCAACAAAAAACCATAGATGTGGCTATAGGGGAAAAATCAATGAATATGAGGATACAATGAACTCATATGGGATTAATTGATGTTATTTCTCTTTTCTTTATTCACTTTACTAAATTCATGTTTTTGTCTAATCTTCTAAGAATCATGAGAATTGATCTAAGAGTTTACTGATTAGAAAATTTTCCCAAAAGGAAAAAAGATACTTATGTCTTTGTTTTAGGAGTAGCTTCTGCTTAGAAAATAAATGTGAATTTATTACTTAGGTGTCAGAGTGTTTATTTTAATTAGGAAAGAACCTGTCTGTCTCTGAACACTGTACAGCTTCTTTTTAAAAAGCCAAAATTAATTACATATGCCACTGTCATAATACGTAATATAACCTATTGACTCTAGAATTTGAGTTGTTAGCTCTGTCTTATAAATAAATATAATTTTATTGCTCAATGCTTTTTAAAGTGTGAAAGGGGCCATTGATGTCATATTGAAAATGCCTATAAGATGCTTTTACATCTGCAATCTACAAAGAGACATTGATAATGGGACCATAAAAGAATACTTGTGAAGCTAGTCCTTAGTGCCACTGACTTTTTGCAGTAGTTGTGAGCATGGTTCTATGAAGGATTTGATATATGTTGTTGCTTAAGTAGAAGGGTCCATGTTTCACTTGGAATTAATTCAGCCCTTTCTCTTACAGAGGAGCCTCTGCTTCTGTTCTGCTCTAATGACAGCATTCTCATTAGAAAGCCCAGAGGGGTTCTTTAAAAATGTAAATGAGATCACATTACTGGGACTACCCTCAAAACCCTCCAGACTTCCCATTTATTGGACAGAAAAGTTTAAAATTCTTACAGTGGCTTGCAAAGCCTTTTGCCTCTGACCTCATCTTCTATTGCTCTGTGTTCCAGAGATTTTGGCCTCTATGCTATTGATTGTGTATACTAAACATGCTCCCATCTCAAGGTTGTCACATTTGCTGTTTCTACTGCGCAGAATGTTCTTCTAGATATATTTGCATAACTCAGTCTCTTAATTTCTTCAAGTCTCTGATGGCATGTCACCTTATTATGGGCGTTTTCCCTAACTATTTTATTTAAAAACAGCAAATTCTCCAGCACTTCCTATTTGTTATTGTTTTATTTTCTCCATAATAGTCATAGCCATCTGACATATTACGTATTACAAATTTTTTACATTTATTGTCTGATTCCCTCATCTAGAATATCAGCTACATAAAGCCAGAAATATTTTTGTCTGTTTTGTTCACTGCTGTATTACAAGCACCCAGAAATAGGCCTGCCCTTAGTAGGCACTTAGTAAATACTGGTTGAGTTAATGACCTGCTCGGTAAGTGGTGATTCATTCAATCTAAAGAGTCTGATGATTCATTCCTGCCTGTCTTTAGTTATGAGTAATATTTTTGCCCCTGGTAACTTCCTCTCTGTAATTTCTTTTTGAAATTCCTATTAGTCACATTTATCCAATATGTTGTCACTTTTTTTTTTGTCTTTTGACTCTATTTTTTTAAGAGACAGCATCTTACTCTATCACCCAGGCTGAAATGCAGTGGTGCATTCACAGCTCACCATGGCCTGGAACTCTCACGCTCAACTGTTCCTCCTGCCTCAGCCTCCTGAGTAACTAGGACTACCTGTGTGTGCCACCACCCCTGGCAATTTTTTTTAAATTTTTGTAGAGACAGGATCTTGCGATGTTGTCCAGAATGGTCTTGAACTCCTAGCCTCAAGCGGTCCTCTCACCTTGGCCTCCCAAAGCACTGGGATTACATGTTGAACCACCACACCTGGCCTTTTAACTCTATTTTCAAGAGATATTCTTGATTATATATTTTATTCTTTCTAATGACTTCCAACTTTTAATTGGTGATGTTTAATTTCTATACATTCTCATTTGTTCTATTACATTTGCTTTTATATAAAATCCTGTCCCTTTTTATTGATGAAATTGGTATCATCCCAAATATACTTGAGTAGCCTAATTATATTTTGCTTTCATACTTCTTCCTTGAATTGTATGTATTTCTCCTAGTGTAAAATATTCAATTTAATCCTTATGCTCTTTCTATTTTGTACAATTTTTTTCAAATATGGGTTTATCTTTGATGGTTAGTCATTTTGTAAAAATCAAGGCCTAGGCTGACTATTTGTAGAGCAGATTGTTTCCCTAATAGGTGCCTTCCTTATCTGAAAGGGAAGAGTTCTGTGTAATTGAGTAAGTATTGTAGCCTACTCAACTTTTCTTAATTGTGCATTGGAGGATTGGTGAATAACCAACTCACTCTGTTTCTTATCACTTCATAATTAATTGAAACAGAATCGTGTGTGCTGAAAACCTTCCAATGAGCCTAACTTTCCCAGGCTGAACATATTATTATTATTGTTATTATTATTTTGAGACAGAGTCTAGCACTGTTGCCCAGGGCTGGAGTGCAATGGCGTGATCTCAGCTCACTGCAACCTCTGCCTCCCGGGTTCAAGCGATTCTCCTGCCTCAGCCTCCTGAGAAGCTGGGACTACAGGTGCGTGCCACCACGCCCAGCTAATTTTTGTATTTTTAGTAGAGACATAGTTTCACTATGTTAGCCAGGCTGGCCTTGAACTCCTGACCTCGTGATTCGCCCGCCTCAGCCTCCCAAACTGCTGGGATTACAGGTGTGAGCCACTGGGCCCGGTCATGAACACATTATTTCTTTAGAGAACAGTCTTTTGGTAGTAAGCACTGGGATGCTTCTGTATAAACCGGAATGGCAAGTGGCCAGTGTGGTCAGATGCAGCCATTCCTTTTATGTTCCTTTAAATATTCACCTTCTGTGTTGGTACTTCCACCTGCACATCTTCCAGTTCTGACTGTCTGGTATTCCAGAGCTGTGTTAGGAGGATTGGCTTCCACCTCAACTGTCAGTAGCACTTTCAGACTGGCTTCTTTCACTTAACAATATGCATTTAAGATTGTTCCATATTTTTTCATGGCTTGATAGCACATCCCTTTTTATCACTAAAGTATTCTACCGTATGAATGCACCACAGTTTGTTTATTCACCTATTGAAGGACATGTTGGTTGTTTCCAAGTTTTACAAATATAAATAAAGCTGTTGTAAAAATTCCTGTGCAGTTATTTCCCAGCTTTATTGAGATATTAATTGACAAATAAAAATTGTACGTATTCAAGTTGTATGTGATGATTTGATATACATATGCATTGTGTCATGATCACTACAATCAAATTAATCAACACTTCCATAACCACACATAGGTATGCTGTCCGTGTGTGTGTGTGTGCGTGTGTGTGTGTATAAGGAGGTGAGGAAACCTAAGATCTACTCTCTCTTAGCAAATTTCAAGTATACGATATGATATTATCAACTCTAGTCACCATGCTATAAATTACATCCTCAGAACTTCTTCATCTTATACCTGAAATTGTGTACCCTTTTACCATTATCTCCACATTTCCCTTAGGCTTTCAGGTTTTTGTGTGGACAAACGTTTTCCACTCATTTGTGTAAATATCAAGAAGTGTGAATTATTGAATTGTATGGTAGCGCTATGTTTAGTTTTGTAAGTAACTGACAAAATGTCTTCCAAAGTGGCTATGCCATCTTGGATTCCCACCAACGATGATTGAGAGCTCCTGTTGCTCTAAATCCTTGTGTTTTAATACAATTTTGTAAAAGTATTATAGTCCAAGAATACGAAATGTGCCCAATATAGAAAATTCAAATTTATCCCTAATCCTATTAAAAAAACTATTTTCTGCTACTATGTGTGTATTTATATATACACAGTCATACAGTGTATATATGTTTGCTTTCTGCCTTTTTCATTTAAAGACACATCATCAAAGAATACCATGTTTTTGCACACTCTTCAGAAGAGCACTTTTTTTTGGGGGGGTGGGCAGGCAGGGAGATGGAGCCTGGCTCTGTTCCCCGGGCTGGAGTGCAGTGGCGTGATATCGACTCACTGAAACCTCTGCCTTTCAGGTTCAAGCAATTCTCCTGCTTCAGCCTCCTGAGTAGCTGGGACTACAGGCGCACGCTTCCATGCCCAGCTAACTTTTTGTATTTTAGTATAGACAGGGTTTCGCGGTGTTGTCCGGCTGGTCTCAAACCCCTGAGCTCAGGCAACCCGCCCACCTTGGCCTCCCAAAGTGCTAGGATTACAGGTGTGAGCCACCACGCCTGGCTGGGGTAGAAGAGCACTTATAATGGTAGATTAATTCTGCATTATTTGGATTTGCTACAATTGAATAGCTATTTCTCCATTGTTTGGAATTAATGTGGTTTTTAATTACCTCATCATAAATAACAATGAGATCAATGTACTTGGGCCTGTTAGAGTCCTCCATCTAAAAATTGGTTGGATTTCAGAATATGCTCAAGTGCTTAGCACTTTTAAGTTTTGAAAGCAGGAAATAAATGTTAAATTAACATTTAGGAAGTTAGAAAAGGCCCAAAATGAGGATCACGGAAAACCCATATATGATACCTACTTTGACCCGGTATTCTAAGCACGTAATTGGTATTAACTCAAGTAATGCTCACAAGAATCTGAGGAGACTTTGAAGCATTATTAGCCCAATTTTACAGCTAATGAAGTTGAGTTTAAGTAACTTGCTTAAGGCATTGTACCTAGCAAGCATGGGATTGATGATTCAAATCTATACAGCCTGGCTCTAAGCAATGGTCTTCACAGTTTCACTCCATTGTTGAGAGAACATTTGACTTGCATGATTTAAGGTAGAATAAAAATCTTGATAGGGCCATATAGATCTCATTATGTCCTCTAGTCTTACATATGGTCTATTGTCTCTTTAGATTACCTGTCCTACATGTAGAGGCATTTGAGTTTGCAGCCCCATGGCAAAGTAATGAAAAACCTATTGGTTATGAGGTCACTAGTGCAGCCTAACAAAGACATGGCCCAGCTGCTTATGTTGCAAGTGTTGGAAAACTGATCAATTTTCTAACATCACTTCCCTAAAAATACATTTTGGTGTGTGGATGAATAATGCTGAATAAATACCAGATAGCTATGTATACTCACAGTTCTGAAAATACATGATCCCCAACACAATTTTAGTTGTGCCTTGGTGCAGACGAATTTTTTCACTTTTATTTCTCTGAGAAACTATTTTAAACCCACACCAACCTCATTAATTTCCACATCAAACAATAGGGCTTTGACTATCAGCAGATGTTTATACTATCTGTTAGCCATAAAAATTTAGGACACTACTCAAATTGTAGGTAACAAACTAATGGCTCTTTTTGCTTGTCATTATCCAACATTTTTGTTGAAAGACCCAAAGTCAAAGAGGATGGTCCATGAACTAAATGAATTACAAATCCATCTAAGGCCAAAACAGAAGAATGTAATTTTAAAGATACTGAGCCTATGCTTTTACAACCTGAACTCCCTACAAAAATGTGAATTCTTATGAAAGACAAATAAAAATTTATTTTCATAGCATAGATTAGGAAAATTATGCACATTTTATAGATTATAGACAAATTAATATCCACTTTATAATAGGTTATGGCTTACTAAATAAGTAATGTTTAATTTAAAAATTCAAATTGTAAATACTCAATAATATTTAAAATATTTGTATACTTTTTTTTTTTGAGACGGAGTCTCGCTCTGTTGCCCAGGCTGGGGTGCAGTGGTGCAATCTCAGCTCACTGAAAGCTCTGCCTCCCAGGTTCACGCCATTCTCCTGCCTCAGCCTCTTGAGTAGCTGGGACTACAGGCGCCCGCCTCCACGCCTGGCTAATTTTTTGTATTTTTAGTAGAGACGGGGTTTCACCGTGTTAGCCAGGATGGTCTCGATCTCCTGACCTTGTGATCCGCCCGCCTCGGCCTCCCAAAGTGAGCCACCGCGCCTGGCCCAAAATATTCGTATACTTAAAATAGTAGTCGAGGCTAGGCGCGGTGTCTCACGCCTGTAATCTCAGCACTTTGGGAGGCCAAGGTGGGCTGATCACAAAGTCAGGAGATTGAGACCATCCTGGCCAACACGGTGAAACCCCATCTCTACTAAAAAAAAAAAAAAAAAAAAAAATTAGCATGTTTTATGACTTTGTTTATGTTCTGGTTGCATATGTACATTCACTTTAAGAAAGTTATTCTAGCTTTACACTTATGAGTCTTGTACTTTTCTGAGTAGATACTGTATGTAGTTCAATAAAAATATACTTCAAACAATATATTTCTAAGGGAAAAGAGTTCTGAAATATAACATAACCATTTTGACATACTAAAATATATACTCCATGAAGCATTACGTTAACTGCAATATAGACACACACACACACATATATATGTATACACATATATATGTATTTCCATGTGTAGATATAAATTGACATAATCTATGATTGAGTCATACGTACTCAGACAGGCATGGTGGTGCGTGCCTGTAATCCCAGCTACTTGGGAGGCTGAGGCAGGAGAATTGCTTGAACCTGGGAGGCAGAGGTTGCAGTGAGCCAAGATTGCGCCACTGCACTCTAGCCTGGCGACAGAGCTAGACTCCGTCTCAAACAGAATAAAAATAAAAATGAATAGTCACTGTTTAACCTTTCTTGTCCAGTTTTTGTGTTTTTAAAACATCCTGCAGAAATGTGTATCTTTCCTTGGGGTTGCGGGGGTATACCTGTGATATGTGGCTTTTTAAAAAAGCTTTTGCTGCTTTTTTTTTTCCCCTTTTTTTGGAGAGAGAGTCTCACTCGGTTGCCCAGACTGGAGTGCACTGGAGCAATCATTGCTCACTGCAACCACAAACTTGCCTCGGCCTCTTAAAGCACTGAGATTACACGAGTGAGCCACTGTGGAAGGACAAGCTGCTTTTATTTATGCATATTAATTTCTTTATCACACATTTTATTTTTAAAATTATTTCTAGTGTCTTGAGTTTAATGTTCATTTTTTATTTTTCATCCATTATTTTTTCAAATATGAAAGAACTCAACACTATGAATTGTCCATGGAGTATAAATTTGGTTGCCTTTTATAGATTTTTATAGGTAATATTCTAATTATTTCATTTTATTAATATTTTCTAATGGAAGTTCCACATTTTCCAATTTTGCTTGAGGGTTGCTTATAAAAGTTTTGTTTTTATGGTTGTTTATTTTCACATCTGAGAATGTTTTGTTTTTAGTTTTGTGCATAATTTATAATTGGGTAAACTCTTCTGCAACATCATCTCTACCTCCTACCTTGCATGCTATTCTATAGCCAATCATTTTCTTTTATATTTACCAAATATCTCTTAAATGCAGGCCATAAGTCTGACACCTCACTAGGATGTAATAATATACATGAAGCATACAGTGTATCTGGATTCAATGATCTTACAATGTTGGTCTAGTGGCATACAGTAAACAAATAAGAGCAGGCATGGTAAACATATTGAGATCATATATATATAAAAGTTGAGTGGGGTCACAATTGAGAGACCGTGAGATTTCAGAGAAACTCTTCATAGAGATGAAAGATGAGAAGAGTTTTGAGGGGAGAGGTATTTACCTAGTAGAAAATATTTGGATGGAAACTTTCTGAATAGAGAACAACATTCTGTATTCTAAAATCTAATAACTTTGTAGAGGGCTCCTTCTTCTTCTGTATGATCTCCTATTCTGTGCTCTTTATCCTGTCTTACTTCCATCTCACACAGATACAATTTTTCATTCACTTTCTCTTCTTATTTTAAACTTTTTCCTTCTCACTCAACTCTTTCCTTCCAAATTTATGAATATATCCAGACGGCACTCATTCTAACACACATGTACACACACATTCCTCCTCTTAACTCTTCATCCTGTTCAGCTCTTGCTCTTGCCCATAATCAGAACTTTCTGTCATGATTTTCTCATTGTTCTTGCTTTTCTCAACTCATCATAATGTGACTCTTATCCCAGGAATGGCAGGAAGTTATTTCGCTGAGATCACCACTGACGATCTAATTGCAAAATCTAATGGGCATCTTTCATTACTCTTACTTTTGGAGGCACACGATCATATTATGCACATATATATTGCCGACACAATCCCGATATTATCTGGATTAAGATTGTTTGCATGTATGTCCCTTAATAGACTAGAAAAATGTGAGGGTAAGAGATATTATGTATTATCTATCTTTGATCTATCTTTGTAGCCCTAATGTTTAGATCAGTGCTTAGTACATAATAGACACTAAAAAATTTAGTGAACTCAGTGGTGCCAGCAATTATTCAGATATTGAGTTCTCCTGGGGAGATTCTTTGTGATGTGCTGATGCATTTAGGTCAACTCTGTCCAATTATCATTTTCATGTCCTAGAGTCATTCTAAACACTCTAGCTCCTGAGCGTATGTATTACTTTAATGATATCTTTACCAATGCTTTGGTGTGTTAGTCTATTCAGGCTTCTATTACAAACTACCATTGACAAGCTGTTTTACAAACAGGAGGAATTTGTTTCTCACAGCTTTAGAAAACCAGAAAGTTCAAGATCAAGGTGCCAGCAGAGTTAGTGCCTGGTGCTGGCCACTTCCTGCTTCATAGACAGCATTTTTTGTTGTGTATCCACATGACAGAAAGGGCAGGTAAATATCTCTGGAGCTTCTTTTTTAAGGGCACTGATCCCATTCATGAAGACTCTACTCTTGATGTAATTATCTCCAAAAGGCCCCACAACCAAATACCCTGACATTGGGGATTAAATTTCAACATACAGTTTTTTGGTGGAATGCAAACATTCAGACCATAGCAACTGACATAAATATGTTGAATCATTCCCTCATTCAAAAGGGGTTTTCCATCTAATGGATGTAGATGTTATGAGTAGAGAATCAGAGACCCCACTGCTGTGGAAGCAGACCCTCCAAATTAGGGCAATTTTTCTACTGGAAGGTTTTGAAAGCTTCAACAGGCCACAATAGTTTCATTTGAGACAAACTCTAATTCCATGTAATATATGTGTAATGTGTGATGTGCAAAGTGTGTTTGTGTGTGTGTGTCTGCGTATGCATAGACACATCCGTGCATGTCTGTTTATCTCATAGGGATCTTGGTTTTACACCCAAGAAAAAAGTATGGCTTCTCTTAATTCTGCTTCTTCTTACCAGCCCTTAGAATTCAACCTGCTTCCTGTCACAGAAAGGTATATGACTATCTTAAAATATGATTTTATTAGCCCCCTTTTTCTCTATTATGATCTTGGAAACTTGTCATTATTATTCAGATTAGCTTTACTACTGTATTAATGAGATAATTAATGTATGTAAGGATGTATGTGTGAGTGTCAGTGTGTGGGTATTTGCATGCATAATTTTGTTTTTTTCTTGAATTTCACTGAACAGATTTGTCATTTACATCATTTGGATACATAATACATTCCATTTGTGTAAGTGTTTTTTTTTTTTTTTTCATCTTTTGAAAATTAACAATGGCTATCTGGAGCCAAAGATTTTACCAGATAGAAATAAGGTTTCTCTTTATTATAGAATTGACATTTTCAATTTTTATTATAAAAAGCAAATTGAAGTCTTTAATTGCCTGGGTTTTATGAATGTATTGAATTTTCTAATTTCAATGTTAATGGATACATATTTCTTTCTAGATTTCTTTTCTTTTAAATAATAAGCAACTGGTTTGACATGCCTTTAATCAAGATTTATCATGACCTTATTAGAAAGTTAATGTTTGGAACATTTACTCTCTGATGAACCACCAATTTTGTATTTTACATTTATCTGCAATTTCCAACAGTGAAGAGGTTGTCTGCAAATGGAATTAATTCTTCTCCATTTGGTTATCATCTCCTTTGCTCCAATCCCTGGTAATAGCTAAGCTTGTTCAAGATATTAAAGAGGTAGATCAAGGATCTAAATGGTAGGGAAAATTTTCAATTTCTTAAATTTCATTTATTATGTTGATAAATCTGGCCTCTTTGATAGTTTGTCATTTTCATAGAATTGATTATTCATTAGCACCATTGCAGACCATATAGCTACCATCTTTGCTTAGGTTTTCTAGCCTCTGGATCTGATTGAGAAAGGAAGACATTTGAAAGCATATCTGAGTACACATGACTCAATCATTGATTATGTCAATTTATATCTACACATGGAAATACATATATATGTGTATATATATGTGTGTGTGTGTGTCTATATTGCAGTTAATGTAATGCTTCATGGAGTATATACTTTAGTATGTCAAAATGGTTATATTTCAGAACTCCTTTCCCTTAGAAATATATTGTTTGAAGTACATTGTTATTGAACTACAGTATCTATTCAGAAAAGTACAAGACTCATAAGTGTAAAGCTAGAATAACTTTCTTAAAGTGAATGTACATATGTAAACAGAACATAAACAAAGTCATAAAACAAAATTACTAGTGCCTAGAATCACCCTTATATTTCCTACCAGGCACTCACTTCTTACAATTACAACTTTTGACACCATGTATTATGACTGAACTTTTGTGTACTTCCAAACTTCACATGTGGAAATCCTAATACCCAATGTGATGGTATTAGGAGGTAGGGCCTTAGTTTTAGGTAATGAATGTGGATCCCCCACGAATGATGCTGTGCCTGAATGTTGGTGTCCTCCCCCAATTTGTATGTTGGAACATAATATGCAATGTGGTAATAGGTAAGGGAAAGTAATTAAGGGAAAGTAATTAAGTCATGGGGACTCTACCCCCATAAATGGGATTAGTGCTCTTATAAAAAAGTTTAAAGGAGCATTCTGGTTTCTTCCATGCCTTCCAGCATGTGAGGACACAGCATTCATCCCTTCTACCATGTGAGGATATAGCAAGGGTGTGCCATCTATGAGGAATGGGCCTTCGCCAGACACAAAACTTGTCAGTGCCTTCATCTTGGACTTTGCAGACTCCAAAACTGTGTGATATAAACTTCTGTTATTTATACATTATTCATTCTAAGATATTTTGTTATAACAGCTCAAACGGACTAAGACAAATGAAAATTGCCCTTATAAGAAGATAAACCACGGCTTCTTTTCTTGGTGTTTGGTTTTCAACATGTGAGGACACAGTAAAAAGACATCCTTCTGCATACTAGGAAGAAGGCCATAACCAAAATCCAGCAATACTGGCAATCTTATCTCAGACTTCCCAACCTCCAGAACCATGAGAAATACATTTTTGTTGTTTAAACTATCCAGTCTATGGTATTTTTGCTATAGCAGGTCACTGGGAGGATTCCCCTTCAATGGAATTGAATGCAATTCAGCTTAATCAGTGTTCAAGATATAGCGCTGTTTCTCTGATTACCAGGATTCAGGGGTTCAGACGGAAATTGGAGTGGTGGTAACATTCATTATTACCTCTACTGACCTACAGGCAAAAATTTTGTTTCCTGTTCCTGTGACTTTATGCTCTGCTAGCCTAAAGGTCTTAATTCCAGAGGGAGGGATGTTTCCAGAAAAAGACACAACAATGATTGTATCAAACTGGAAGTTAAGACTGACACCCAGCAATTTTGGGCTCCTCCTGCCTCAGTCAATAGGCTAAGAAGGGAATTACTTTGTTGGCTGGGACGAATGATCCCAACTACCAAGAAGAATATGGACTGTGACTCTACAATGGTGGGGAGGAAAAATATGTATAGAATAATAGAAATCTTGTACGGATTCTCTTATTATGACTGTGCACTGTAATTAAGATCAGTGAAAATCGAAAACAGCCCAATTTAGGCAGGACTATGATTGGCCTAGGCCCTTCTGGAATTAAGGTTTGGTTACCCTGCCAGGTAAAAAATGACAACCAGCTAAGATGCTTGCTGAAGGCAAATGGAATACAGAATGAGTTGTAGAGGAAGGTAGTTTGAAATACCAGCCTTGATGATGTGACCGGTTTCCAAAAGGAGGACTGTCATCATCATGAGTATTCCCTTCTTATTTTGTTATGAATACAGTTGTGTTTATACACAAATACGTGTGTGTGTGTGTGTGTATATATATATATATGTATATATGTAAAGCAAATGCCTTTGATTTATTTTCTCTGTTATTCTATAATAATTTAAAATAAAACATATTGACTTTATATTAGTATTTAAATATTGTCAATGTTACATCATAGTATTTAAGTTACGGGATGTCAGGAGAGGAGTAAACATCACTCATTTACTTTACTTTCTCTTGTGTGGAGATCAATGGATTTTTTGTTGTATGCAGAATAGCTGCATCATGTCAGGAGGAATTATGACCATTTTCCTGTCTTAATTTGGAGATTAAGTATGGCTTGAGGAGATGTGTACATGTGCCCAGTTGACAAGGGGTCTTCTTGTTATGGTTCATTTAATGTGTTGACCTGGACTGTGCTAAGGGATGCTCAGATAACTAGTGAATCATTATTGTGGGTGTTTCCATGAGGATGTTTCTGAAATAAATTAGTATATGTATTGGTGAACTGAGTAAATGTAAATGCCCCTGCTCAATGTAAATGGGCATCATCTAATCTGTTGAGGGCCTGAATAAAATAAAAAGGCAGAGAAAGGGTGAATTCACTCTCTATGCTTCAGCTGGGACATTCGTCTTCTGCTGCCTGTGAACATAAGTGCTCTGGTTCTTAGGCCTTTGCATTTGGACCGGGACTTACACAGTGGTTCCTCTGGTCACTGGGCCTTCATACTTGGACTTTGTCATTTAACATCAACTCCCCTGATGCTCAGGCCTTTGGACTTGGACTGAAACTATACCACTCTCTTTCTGGTCCCCCAGCTTGCAGATAGCAGAACATAGGACTTCTCAACCTCTGTGATTGTGTAAGCCAATTCCTTATAACAAATCTTATATAGCTAGACATAGATAGATGATAGATAGATAGATAGATAGATAGATAGATAGATAGATAGATAGATACATAGATGATAGATAGTAAGTAGATAGTAGATAGATCGATCTTCTCTTGCCCCTTTTTCTCTGGAGAATCCTAAGACAACTGGTTGAACATCTTTTCATGTGCTTGTTTACCATCTGTAGATCATTTTTCAGTGAAATGTCTGTTCATACCTTTTGACCATTTTCCAGTTAGGTTATTATTAATTTTTTACAGTTGACTTTTAAGACTACTCTACATGTTCTGGATATAAATCCTTTGTTAGATACATGGTATACAAATATTTTCTCCCTGTCTGTACCTTGGTTTTCTTCCTCTTAAAAGAATCTTTAGACTTTGATGAAATCTAATTTATAGGTGTGACCATTCGTGCAGTACCCCAGTATGTTGTTATGCTATGACTAACCTGCAGTAAAATCCATCTACCCAATTTATAATTTCATTTATTTTGTTTTTTCAAAATTTCTAGTTAAAACAATAAATTCTAATATTCTAATGAAATCATTCACTTTTTTCTCTTATCTGCCATTATTTGCCTTCCAACTATAATATCTGGAATACCTCAGCTCTGTTATTATTTTATTTGTTAATCTTCCTTTTGGTTATAGGATTCTGTCTTTTGGTAGGAGGAAGTTTTTGACGAAGGCAAGGTATTAGTTATAAACGAAGTTACACACTCCATGTGGTAATATTTTCCTGCACACATAGTTTCGAATTTCCTCTGCTAAGCAGAGAGAATGAGGACTGTTCACTTTAATCTTAACAGAGAGACTGATTTCAATAGGAGCTTCATTGCACTTTTTGTAAAGCTTGGTAGACTTCTGCTTTGACACTGATCCCAGGGTACATACTTTCAACTACAGTGTGACTGAGTCTAGACCTTACAACTGAGAGCCTGGTATCATAACTGAGTTCCCTTCACTGGCTGGTCCTCAGCTTTCCTTTTCATCTCCTGAGCAAAAATAAATTGCAGAAAACTTTACACCACTTTACAGAGAATATCAGCTTAGCTTTTCAGCACCTTGCTACTTGTAGCTTCAGAATTTGGCAAACTTTTTGAAAATAAAACAATACACATTCAATGCCCAGTTTTCTGCTATTTAATATGTTGAACATTTTGTGCCATAAAGCTTTCAATTTTCTCTCTAGTTTGTTGACACTGACAAACACTTTGCTTATACCTCTGTCTTTCAGCAACCATTCTGCCTGAGCAAAGACTGGATTTTGAGCTCTCAGTCCATTTATGACAAAATGGACTCCTGAGGTAAAAGTATCTACTCAACTCTCAGTGTTTCTTCTCTCTCCCAGAATCTTGAGCACTCTGGTCTTGTTTCTGTATTAGTTCCCTAATGCTTTTAAGAAAAAGTTATTTATATTTTATGTAACTTTTCTACTGTCTTTTTCTCTGTGAAGCATTGGTTGGCTTTGAGATACTTTATTTTTTTGTCTTTTTGAAGTACTTTTAAAACACTGAAGCACGAAAACAGAGGCACAATCAGTTTTGTTCATAGTTGCATCTTGCACAAGGATACTCGTATTACATAATAAATTTGGAAGATAAATTTGCTGTTTTCAAATAAGTAACAGACTGCTTTTGTGGAATAAAAAAGTGGAAAATTTGTTTTTTTTGTGTGTATTCACAGAGTCGTTTCTATATTTTATCTAAATTTGTATATTCTAAGTAGAATTGAATGGACAAATCATTTGTTTTGTCCATTATTCATATAATGGACAAATAATTAATCATTGTGTCAAATCATTTGAAGTCAGTAACAAATTTCCTGATTAAATTTTGTTTGCTGCTCTACACTTGAATTTTTAATAACTTTCCAGCTATTAAATTGCTATGTTATAACATCATTTTGAATATTATTGATAAGGATCTTGTTACAAACTGCAGAAATGTTACTAGGTAAAATGAGTGTTTGGCCTAGCCACCACATATGCAATTTAGAACAATGTGATTTCCATTCGTTCATAGAGGTGCGATCCCCACCTCTAGCCAAAGATCCACAGCCACGCAGGGTGCATGGTGGCTCCCCTTCTCACCCCCCTTCCCTCCTGGATGGGGTGCTTGGGCGGATCCACGGCACACACCTGTGTCTGCACATGTGGGGCGAGGGGTATGTTTGCAATGGCCATGCAGGGTGGGAGAGAACTGTGGCTGCTGCCCAGGCCCCAGGGCAGTCTCAGGGGCCAGGGGCCTCACGTGGCTAGTTGGCCAGCATGTCCCACCCGCCATCCCCTCCTGCCATGTGCCCATAGAGTCTTTCCTCCCCGGGCGAGAGGTCCGGCTTTGTCCGAGCCAGAGGAAGGATACAGTGATTTAAGGAATCCATTTGCATAGAGGAAGAGGTTCTTCTCCACCTAAATCGATTTTTTTTCTTTTTCCTTTTCTATGTGAGAGGTTTCTTTTCCTACCTCTGCACTCTGCTTATGATAGGAAAGCAACAGAGGAGCCATCCCACTGGCTAATAACGGCAAATTTGGCAAAGTCTGTCTGGGACTTAATCTAAATAAATCCATGCATCCCCCGAGACACCTTTTTGTCCCAAACTCAATTACAAACTTTGGTTGAAGCCCTAGAAAGGAAAACCAGATCTGAGGGATCCAAAGCCAGGCAACAGGCACAGAGTAAATGGGCAGGACTAATTCCTGTTGATTAAGCCCCTGCTTCATGGAAGGAGGCCATGTTCCATGTCATATATAGATAAGGCCTAGGGAACTCAAGAGATTTCATGACTATGAATTACAGTAAAAAATAAGTACTCTTGCAAAACACAGTTGGATTGTTTGTAACACAAAGAATAAATGCTTGAGAAGATGGAAACCCTATTCTACATGACGTGATTATTTCACATTGCATGCCTGTCAAAGCATCCCATGTACCCTATAAATATATACACTTACTATGCACCCACAAAAATTAAAAATAAAAAGTAAAAATTTAGAAACAAACAAACATACAAAAACCAAAACACATCATACTTCAGTTTTGAAACATTAAGGTCCCAATTATGTTTACTCAAAAATAGGTTTTTAATTTGGTAGTTTTTTTATTTTTGAGTGTGAATATAAGGCCAAGCTTGCTTCTATTCTTATAATTTGAGAATTTAACAAGCATTGTTTATTTGTGGACGTCAAACTCTTTTTTATTTGACATATACAATATAATATATATAATTATAATATTATATATTATAAAATCTCTACTAAATAGATATATTTAGTAGAGATGGGGTTTCATCATGTTGGCCAGGCTGGTCTCGAACTCCTGACCTCAGGTGATCCGCCCACCTCAGCCTCCCAAATTGCTAGGATTACAGGCATGAGCTACTGCGCCCAGCCCCTCACTATCTTTATGAGCAGACACAACAAAGATTTATTGAGTAAATACTATGTTCAGGGCACTATTCCATGTACTAAAGGATTTTTAAAGATAAATAAGACATGGCTCTTATCTCTGAGGTGTTCACATTCTCATGTGAATAGGACAGGCTTATATACAATAGTCTAACACGAGGCATTATGTGAAAAGTATATTTCTTCGCCTCTTCTCACTGCTTAGAAAAGTGTCTAGAACATAGCGTGCACTCAATTAATACTTTCTATTAGCATTAATATTAATCTTGTCATCATTGGAAAAGATATAATAGGAACTGACACTGGAGAAATAAGTCAGGTCCAAATTATAGAAAGATTACTATGGTAGTCAAAATCCCCCACTTCTCATCTCCACTGACACTCCAACCTTGATCTAGATGTGGTTATACCTCCATAATCTCTCACTTTGCCGCACAGTCTCCCCATTGGTGTCCTTGACTCTTAATGTGCACTCCTCCATGTTCAAAAAACAGAACCATTCTTAAAATATAAGTCAAGTCATATGATACTTGTGCTCAGAATCATCAATGGATTCCAAATTAGATAAAAGTATAAGCAAAAAAGCCCTATTTTGTCCTAAAATGCCCTACAGATCTGTGTTCCCACTATTTCTCTGACTTCGTCTTTTACTCCTCTCTTCTTTATTTTTCTCAAGTTACAATGCCCCATTGGTATTCCACAAAAACGGCAAACATACTTCTATCTCAAGTCCTTTGCCCTTGCTATTCCATCTCTCTGGAAAAACTCTTTACCCAAATATCAGCATGACCAACTCCTTCATTTAGTCCAAGTCTCTGTGCAAATACCTCTGTATCAGAGAGTCTTTACCTTATCATCCTATGTAAAACAGCACTCCAAATGACCCTCTTTAAATTTTCAGTATGCCACTCATCACCACCTCAAATATTGTATTCACTGTGTGTTTTACTTTAACTCTTCCCCAACCCTAGATTATAAACTCTGTGACTGAAACCGTAACTATTGTTTGCTACTATATTATCAGCAGTAGAACAGTGCTTGACTCATAGTGAGGTCTTGATGAATTTGGTTGAATGAATCACTTAATCAATTGTCCCAACTTTATAAACTCAAGTTTAAGGTATCTGAAAATTCTAGTCTAATCCCAAACCATATTGATGTATTGGTCCTTATTTAAACCCTTAAAAAATAGGCATTAATTGCTTTATCATGCAGTCTCTTTTAATTAGTGTAATTTTGACTAGATTGATATGCTGGTTTAGTAATTACTTTGTGATTTTATATGTATATGTTACATGCTTGGATTATAATAGAAATGCTAGATTTTAAAGTTACTGAAACCTATAAGAAAGCAGTTTTGTCTTATTTTTTTAAATATAACTCAGCCATCTTTTCTGTACACACACATACACACACAACCTCATAGATGTGGTTTTACCAATATCAATTTAAAGAAGGGCACTATGATGTTTGTTTTAGATCTGTACTTCCTAAATTATCTGTAGTCTAAGAACAGTTTTTCTCTCCATCTACCATGGATTCACACTTTTATAAAATAAAATAATTCATTAATATAAACTTAATAGAGAAAAGCAAAGACATGAGTCAAGTCTATGTTTTAAATGATTAGATTCAAGAGACATAAAGTTTTCTGTAAACATTTCTTTTTTAACATTCTGTTTCAATTTATGTACTTATCACAAACCAGAATCAAACAATTCCTGGATTAGCACTGGTATCCAGACCTAAATTTGAGTAGCATTGCTTTATATATTAAATTTCGAACACCTCTCTACAAAGTATTTATATTCCAGCTTTTTTAAAAGTAAAAACTGACTATAAGAGAAGTTAACGTAATACAGTAAAGACTATTTAACAGGAACATTTGATGAAGTAGATCATTCCCGTCTTCTAAAAACTTTCACTTTCTTTGTTTTTCATTACACCTTGTTCTTCTGATTTGTGTTTTTCCCCTCTGATTTGTTTCTTTTCTGTTTCCTTCACTTCTTCTTACTTATCCAAAGATTACAGTATCTTTGAAATATGTTTTGAACTCTCGTCTTTTCTACATCAAAATACACTTCCTGGCTCCAATTGTGAACTATAAAACATTGATTAAAAATGTATATCTAACTTCTGATCTCTCTGCACATTGTCACATTTGACTACTGTATTAATCATTTTTTTAAATGTTATGTATTTTATGATGTGTTGACATCTTACAAAGGCTACTAGCCATGTAAAGACTGCCAGGGCCAGGGCTAGCCAATTCTTTGAGTTAGTAAAGGGCCAGGTTGGGAGCATGTCTTGCATGTGCAATCGAGCCAATCTTTGGTCTATAGACCAAAGTCTATAGCTCCATTCACAGCCTTGTCTAACTCTTTACACACCAAGCCAAGATTTACCTTGCCCTAAATCACCTAGGGCCAAATATAAAAAAAAACTGGAGACCGTCTTTATACCTCAAGGCCCTTTCAAATTATTCAAACCAGCCAATATTAAGTTGTTTATTCTGTCCGGCCTTGCTTTTCCCATAGAAACCCCCATAAAGACTCTGGCTCTGGATTCCCTTTGCTTCTATCTTTTTCCATGTGAGAAAAGCCTAGCCCTCTGTGGTCCTCTGTGACATTTGGCGACCCTACTCTGTTGGACCTGTAAATATAATCAAACCTCTTCCTTCTAGGCCTTGTTCTTGTTTTCCTTTGCAGCTACACTGACTGTACCACACCACATTTTTCGAACTTTTATGCGTGCCCATATGCCTCACAAACATATATAATTCAACATACCCACTATTGAAATGAACATTGTCTCTTCAAACGTTTTCCTTCTGTTAATATTTCCTACATCAGCAAATGGAAACATACTCTTTCAATAAACACAATTGGGAAACTTTAAAGTCATCCTTGACTAGCCTAGTTTATCCATTTATCTTTTATTATTCAATCAATTGGTAACAAAGTTCTGCCTCCAAAATGTATCTCAAATATCATTTACTTCTCTATCATTTTTACAAATATCAGTATAGTCCAGGACACAATCATCTCCATCATGAAGTCCTGACTGGCTTCCCAGTTTCTGCTCTTACTCATCATTCTGATCTATCTTCCACTAACTGCCACGTAATCTACTTTTTAAAATAGGGTAAGATTGTATCTTGTTTTCCTGAGACAATTGTAATTTTCATCTATTATCTCATATAGTGATTAATGGTACCCCTTCCTTTCTATTAAGTGAGACAGTATGTACAATATATTCTATCTTCACGCTACCTAATAGTCATTAAAATAATTTATTGAGCCATGACAAAGTAATTGGCTCCAGAATAGTTTCATTCTCTTAAAAAACTAGAAAAGCATATTAAATAAGTTCGGGCTGTGGAAAGCAGATAGTAAAGGATAGCAATCACTAAGAAAAGTGAAAACACTGAAGTAAGTCCTATGATCACCCAGGATTTCTCCCTGCGGGTAACTGTAGGCTATGGTGCAAGGACAGGAAATCCCTACATATCGTAGTAGTTCTATTAAATTGAGGATACTGAGTTAAGAAAGCCTTACCAACTGGAATTTGTCAGATAGAGTAATAGAGAAGGGAGGGTGAGAGTAAAAAATAGATTCAGGTCCGGGTGCGGTGGCTCACGCCTATAATCCCAGCACTTTGGGAGGCCAAAGTGGGCAGATTACCCGAGATTGGGAATTTGAGACCAGCCTGACCAACATGGAGAAACCCTGTCTCTACTAAAAATACAAAATTAGCCGGGCGTGGTGGTGCATGCCTGTAATCCCAGCTACTCGGGAGGCTGAGGCAGGAGAATCGCTTGAACCCGGGAGGCGGAGGTTGCGGTGCGCCGAGATCACACCACTGCACTCCAGCCTGGGCAGCAAGAGTGAAACTCTGTCTCAAAAAAAAAAAAAAATAGATTCAAAAATGTACATATGGATTCCCTTGGGTCTTTCACTAAATGTTAAGCTGAACATGCACAGGGTGAAATTCCATAAGGCTAGACAGAGAGCAACTGGGAGACAACTGTATGCTGAACAATTCCCAGAATTCACATAGGCCTAAGAGGCATTTTCAGTAGCTAGAGTGGAAAAAACTTGTTTAGCACCTAGGGCATTCAGTGAAGACACCAGAATGGCTATTTCTAAAAAGTAGACCTAAAATGTCCTCAGAGTAAAGGATACTTCTGACTCATGTTAACAACACTTAAAAACAAACCTTAAAAGAATTGAGCTGATGCGCGAAATCTTATATCAACTATTTAAAGAAATAAAGCAAAATCCAGACAACCAATAATGTTACATTATCAAGAAATCAATTAATAATTAGAAGATGTGTTAGGAAGCAGGAAAATATAACATATAACCAAGGGGAAAATCACACAAAAGAAATGAACACAGAAATAACAAACATGATAAACAGAAAAAAAAACTTTAAAATGGCTATTACAAATGTGAAGAAGGCCTTAAAGGAATATATAAACATACTGAGAAAAAATAGAAATATTTTTGTTGTTTTTAATTGTTTTTAGACTTTTCTTCTATCCTTTTTTTTTCAACTTTTATTTTGAGTTCAGGGGTATATGTGCAGGATGTGCAGGTTTGTTACATAGGTAAACATGTGCCATTGTGGTTTTATGCACAGATCATCCCATCACCTAGGTATTCGGCCCAGCATCCATTAGCTATTTTGCCTGATGCTCTCACTCCCCCAACACCAAGCCTCCAACAGGCCCCAGTGTGTGTTGTTCCCTGCCATGTGTCTATGTGTTCTCATCATTCAGCTCCCACTTACTAATATTATTATTTTTTCCGAGGCAGGGTCTTCCTCTGTCGCCCAGGCTGGAGTGCATTGGTGCAATCTCAGCTCACTGCAACCTCTGCTTCCCGGGTTCAAGTAATTCTCCTGCCTCAGCCTCATGAGTAGCTGAGATTACAGGCACGTGTCACCCTGCCCAGCTAATTTTTGTATTCTTAGTAGAGACGAGGTTTCACCATGTTGGCCAGGCTGGTCTTGAACTCCTGACCTCATGATCCACCCTCTTCAGCTTCCCAAAGTGCTAGGATTACAGGCATGAGCCACCGTGCCTGGCCCTCAGCTCCCACTTATAAGTGAGAACATGTGGTGTTTGGTTTTCTGTTCCTGCATTAGTTTGCTGAGGATAATACCTTCCAACTCCATCCATGTCCCTACAAAGGACATAATCTCATTCCCTTTTTATGGCTGCATAGTATTCCATAGTGTATATGTACCATATTTTCTTTATCCTGTCTACTACTGATGGTCATTTTGGGTTTATTCTATGTCTTTCTTATTGTGAATAGTGCTACAATGAACATATGTGTGCATGTATCTTTATAATAGAATGATTTATATTCCCTTGGGTATATACTGAGTGATGAATTGCTGGGTCAAATTGTATTTCTGCCTCTAGATCTTTGAGGAATTGAAACACTGTATTCCACAGTGGTTGAAATAATTTACATTCCCACCAACAGTGTAAAGGCATTTCTTATTCTCAGCAACCTTGGCAGCATCTGTTTTTTTTGTTTGTTTGTTTGTTTTGACATTTTGATAACAGCTATTCTGCCTGGTGTGAAATGGTATCTGTATTAGTCCATTTTCATACTACTATGAAGAAATAAATGAGACTGGATAATCTATAAAGAAAAAAAGGTTTAATGGACTTACAGTTCTGAATGGCTTGGGAGGCCTCACAATCAGGGTGGAAGGAAAAGGAGGAGCAAAGGCTTGTCTTACACGGTGGCAGGCAATGTGAGAGAGCAAGTGCAGGGAAACTGCCTTTATAAAACCATCAGATCTCATGAAACTTATTCGCCAACATGAGGACAGCATGGAAAAAAACCCACCCCATGATTCAATTGCTTCCCACCGGGTTCCGCCCACAACACGTGGAGATTATGGGAGCTATAATTCAAGATGAGATTTGGGTGGGGACACAGCCAAACCATATTAGTATCTCATTGTGGTTTTGATTTGCATATCTCTAATGATCAATGATGTTGAGCTTTTTTTCATGTTTGTTGGCCATATGAATGTCTTCTTTTGAGAAGTGTCTGTTCATGTCCTTTGCCTATGGTTTTTTTTTTCTTGTAAATTTATTTAAGTTTCCCCTAGACCCTGGATACTAGACCTTTGTTAGATGGATACCTTGCAAAAAATTTCCCCCATTCTCTAGGTTGTCTGTTCACTCTGATAATAGTTTATTTTCCTGTGCAGAAGCTCTTTAATTTAATTAGATACCACTTGTTAATTTTTGCTTTTGTTCCAATTGCTTTTGGCATTTTCATGATGAAGTCTTTGCCCATGCCTATGTCCTAAATGGTATTGCCTAGATTTTCTTCTAGGGTTTTTATAGTTTTGGGTTTTACATTTAAGCCTTTAATCCATGTTGAGTTAATTTTTGTATATAGTGTAAGGAAGGGGTCCAATTTCAATTTTCTGCATATGGTTTGCCAGTTCTCCCAGCACCATTTATTAAATAGGAAATCCTTTCCCCATTGTTTGTTTTTGTCAGATTTGTTGAAGATCACTTGGCCGTAGGTGTGTGGTCTTATTTCTTAGTTTTCTATTCTGTTCCACTGGTCTATGTGTCTGTTCTTGTACCAGTACCATGCTGTTTGGTTTACTGCAGTTTAATTTGAAGTGTAGTGTAATTTGAAGTCAGGTAATATGATGCCTCCAGCTTTGTTTGTTTTTCTTAGGATTGTCATGGTTATTCAGGGTCTTTTTTGGTTCCATAGGCATTTTGAAATAGTTTTTTCTAGTTCTGTGAAGAATGTCAGTGGTAGTTTAATGGGAATAGCATTGACTCTATAAATTACTTAAGGCAGTATGGCCATTTTTACGATATTGATTATTTCTATCTATGGGCATGAAATATTTTTCCATTTGTTTGTTTTCTCTCTGATTTCTTTGAGCAGTGGTTTGTAGTTCTCTTTGAAGATGTCCGTTACTTTCCTTATTTTATCCTCTTCATAGCAATTGTGAATGAGAGTTCATTCATGATTTGGCTCTTTGCTTGCCTGTTGTTGGTGTATGGGAATACTAGCAAGTTTTGCACATTGATTTTGTATCTAGAGACATTGCTAAAGTTGCTTGCCAGCTTAAGGAGCTTTTGGGCTGAGATGATAAGGTTTTCTAGATGTAGGATAATGCTATCTGCAAAGATAATTTCGCTTCCTTTCTTTTTATTTGAATACTCTTTATTTCTTTCTCTTGCCTCATTGCCCTGGTCAGAACTTCCAATACCATGTTGAATAAGAATGGTAAGAGAGGGTGTGCTTGTTTTGTGCCACTTTGCAAGGGAAATGCCTCTAGCTTTTGCTCATTTAGTGTGATATTGGCTGTGAGTTTGATATATGTGAATCTTACTATTTTGAGGTATGTTCCTTCAATACCTAGTTTATTGAGAGTTTTTAACATGAAGGGATGTTGAATTTTATCAAAAGCCTTTTCTGCATTGATTGAAATAATCATGTGTTTTTTGTCTTTTGTTCTGTTTATGTGATGAATCACATTCATTGCTTTGCATATGTTGAACCAACAGTTTATACCCTCTCAGATATGAAGCCAACTGGATCACGATGGATAAGCTTTTTGATGTGCTCCTGGATTTGGTTTGCCAGCCTTTTATTGAAAAATTTTTATATCAAGGTTCATCAAATATATTGGCTTGAAGTTTTTGTTGTTGTTGTTGTTGTTTTGTATCTCTGCCAGGTTTTGGTATCAGGATGATGCTGGCCTCATAAATGAGTTAGAGGGGAGTCCCTCAATTGTTTGCAATAGTCTCAGTAGAAACGGTACCAGCTCTTCTTTTTACCTCTGGTAGAATTCATCCTTTAGTCCTTCTGGTGCTGGGCTGTTTTTGCCTTGGTAGGCTATTTATTAGTGGCTTTATTTTAGAACAATTTCTCAGTCTATTCAGTGACTCAATTTCTTCCTGGCTCCTTGGTAGATTGTATGTGTGCAGGAATTTATCCATTTCTTTTAGATTTTCTAGTTTATTTTCATAGAGGTGTTTGCAGTATTCTCTAATAGCTGTGAGTAGTTCATTGGGGTCAGTGATATCCCCTTTATCATTTCTGATTGTGTATATTTGATTCTGTTTTCTTTTCTTCTGTATTAATCTAGCTAGCAGTCTATTTTATTTTATTTTATTTCTCTTAAAAAAACAGCTTCTGGATTTGTGGGGTTTTTTTTTTTTTTGAAGAATTTTTTATGTCCCCATCTCCTTCAGTTCAGCTCTGATCTTGGTTATTTGTTGTCATCTGCTAGTTTTGGGGTTTGTTTGCTCTTGATTCTCTAGTTTTTGTTAAAAAAATTTGTGATGTTAGGTTGTTAACTTGAGTTCTTTTTAACTTTTTGCTGTGGGCATTTAGCACCATGAATTTCCCTCTGAACACTGCTTTAGCTCCATCCCAGAAATTCTAGTACATTGTCTCTTTATCCTCATTAGTTTCAAATAACCTGTTGATTTTTATCTTAATTTTATTATTTACCCAAGAGTCATTAAGGAGCGGATCGCTCAATTTCCATGTAGTTGTGTGGTTTTGAGTTCATTTCTTAATTTTAAGTTCAAATTTGATTGCACTGTGGTCCAAGTCTTTTGCATTTACTGAGGAGTGTTTTACATCTGATTATGTCATCAATTTTAGAGTAAGTGCTGTGGGGCAATGAGAAGTATGTATATTATATTTTGTTGTTTTTGGGTAGAGACTTCTTTAGGTATCTACCAGGTCTGCTTGATCCAGAGTTGAGTCCTGAATATCTTCGTTAATTCTCTGTCTCAATGAACTGTCTAATATTGTTGGTGGGGTGTTAAAGTCTCTCACTATTATTCTGTGGGAGTCTAAGTCTCTTTGTAGGTATCTAAGAACTTGTTTTATAAATCTGGGTGCTCCTATATTAGGTGCATATATAATTAGGTTAGTTAGCTTTTCTTGTATTGAACATTTTACCTTTATATAATACCCTTCATTGTCTTTTTTTTATCTTTCTTGATTTAACATCTGTTTTGTCAGAAACTAGAATTGCAACCCCTGCTTTTTTCTGCTGTCCATTTTCTTGGTAGATTTTTCTCCATCTCTTTATTTTGATCCTATCTGTGTCACTGCATGTGAGATGGGTCTCTTGAGGACAGCATACCAATGGGTCTTGACTCTTTATCTAGCTTGCCATTCTGTGTCTTTTAATTGGGGCATTTAGCCCATTTACCTTTAAGGTTAGCATTGTTATGTGTGAATTTGATTTTGTCATCACGATACTAGCTGGTTATTTTGCAGACTTGTTTATGTAGTTGCTTCATTGTGCCATTGGTCTTTGTACTTCAGTGTGTTTTTGTAGTGTTTGGTAATGGTTTCCTTTTTCATATTTAGTGCTTCCTTTAGAAGCTCTTGCAAGGCAGGCCTTGTGGTAATGAATTTCCACAGCATTTGCTTGTCTGAAAAGGAGCTTATTTCTCCTTCACTTATGGAGCTTAGTTTTGCCAGGTACAAAATTCTGGGTTGAAAATTCTTTTCTTTAAGAATATTGACAGCCAGGCGCAGTGGCTCACACCTGTAATCCCAGCACTTTGGGAGGCCGAGGAGGGCAGATCACGAAGTCAGGAGATCAAGACCATCCTGGCTAACACGGTGAAACCCTGTCTCTACTAAAAACATGCAAAAAATTATCTGGGCGTGGTGGCGGGCACCTGTAGTCCCAGCTACTCGGGAGTCTGAGGCAGGAGAATGGCACGAACCCAGGAGGCAGAGCTTGCAGTGAACTGAGGTCATGCCACTGCACTTCAGCCTGGGCAACAGAGTGAGACTCCGTCTCAAAAAAAAAAAAAAAAAAAAAAAAAAAAAAAGAATATTGACTATTGGCTCCTAATCTCATTTGGCTTTTAGAGTTTCTGCTGAGAGGTCCACTGTTAGTCTGATAGGCTTCCCCTTTGTAGGTGACCTGGACTTTCTCTCCAACTGCCCTTAGCATTTTTTCTTTCATTTCAACCTTGGAGAATCTGTTGATTGTGTCTTGTGGTTGATCTTCTCATGGAGTATCTTACTGGGGTTCTCTGCATTTCCTGAATTTGAATATTGGCCTGTCTTGCTAGGTTGGGGAAGTTCTCCTGGATTATATCCTGAAGTGTGTTTTCCAACTTGGTTCTATTCTCCCTATCTCTTTCAGGTAACTCAGTCAGTCATAGATTTGGTCTCTTTACATAACCCCATATTTCATGCGACTTTTTTCATTGCTTTTTATTCTTTTTTCTCTATTCTTGTCTGCCTCTGTTATTTCAGCAAGATCATCTTCCAGCTTTGAGATTCTTTCCTTTGCTTGGCCTATTCTGCTCCTGATACTTGTGATTGCATTGTGAAGGATCTCGTATTGTGTTTCTCAGCTCCATCAGGTTGGTTATGTTCCTCTCTAAATAGACTATTGTTGCTATCAGCTCCTGTATTGTTTTATTATGATTTTTAGCTTCTTTGCATTGGGTTACAAATAATTGTGTATTTTATGTGTCACAAAGTAATATTTTGATACACATACACATTATAATGATGAAATAAGTGTAATTAGTATATCCATCACCTGAAATACTTATCTGTGACAGGAACATTTAAAATTCTCTCTTTTAGGTATTTTGAGATATACAATACATTATTATTAACTATAGTCACCTTGCTGTGCAGTTGAACATCAGAACTTTTATCTCTTATCTAAATATAACTATACCCATCGACCAGCATCTCTAATTTCTCCATCCAAACGCTTACCCCCACAGCCTCTGGTAACCACCATTCTACTCTCTACTTCTATGAATTTGACTTTTTTAGATTTCATATATAAGAGATATTATACAGTATTTGTCTCTTTGTGGCCGGCTTATTTCACTTAACATAGGTTCATTCATGTTGCAAATTAGAGAATTTTCTATTTGTTTTCATCTTAATGACTGAATCGTATTCATTTTACAATTATATGTAGTACTTTACCTTTTAAAATGCCCATAGTTGGACATTTAGGTTATTTTCATATCTTGGTTATTGAGAATAGTGCTACAATAAACATGGGTGTGCAGAAATACCTTTGCCATACCGATTTTATTTCCTTTGGGTATATACATAGTAGTGGAATTTTATAATTATATCATCATTCTATTTTCGTTCTTTTTAAATTTTTAATATTTAATCCTTGTGGGTACATAGTAGGTACATATATTTATAGGGTACATAAGATACTTTGATATAGGCATGCAATGTGTAACAATCACATCCTGGTAAATGGAGTATGCATCACCTCAAGCATTTATCCTTTGTGTTAAAAACACTCCAGTTATACTCTTTTGATTTTAAAATGTATAATTAAATTATTATTAACCACAGTCATGCCGTTTTCCTGTCAAATACTAGGTCTTTATTCATTCTTTCTATTTTTTTTTCTTTTTTTTTTTTAACTCATTAACCATCCTCACATCCCCCCACCCCTGACACACACTGAGTACCCTTCCCAGCCTCTGGTAAATGTCCTCCTACTCTCTATCTCCATTAGTTCAACTGTTTTAGTTTCTAGCTGCCACATATAAGTGAGAACATGTGAAGTTTGTGTTTTCATTCCTGGCTTATTTTACTTATCATAACCTCCAGTTCCATCCATGTTGTAGCAAATGACAGGATCTCATTCTTTTTATGGCTGAATAGTACTCCATTGTGTATATGTACCACATTTTCTTTATCCATTCATTTGTTGATGAAAATTAAGATTGCTTCCCAATCTTGGATATTGTGAACAGTGCTGCAACAAACATGGGAGTGCAGATATCTCTTTGATATAATGATTTACTTTCTTTTGCATGCATACCCAGCATTTGAATTACTGGACTATACAATAGCTCTAATTTTAGATTTTTAAGAAACTTACATACTGTTTTCCAAAATGGCTATGCTAATGTACAATACCACCAAGAGTGTATAAGGGCTCTCTTCTGTATATCCTTGCCAATGTTTGTTATTTTTCACTTTTTGAAAATAGCCAGTCTAACAGATGGGAGGTAAAACTCATTATGGTTGTAATTTGCATTTCTCTGATGATTAAAGACATTGAACTTTTTTTCATATATCTGTTGGACATTCATATGTCTTCTTTTGAGAAAAGTCTATTCAAGTTCTTTACCAATTTATAAGAGTTGTATTTGTTTTATTGTTACTAAGTAGTTTGAGTTAATTGTACATTTTGGATATTAGCCACTTACTGGATATATAATTTGCATATATTTTTCCCATCCCATGTGTAATCTCTTCACTCTATTAATTGTTTCATTTGCTGTGCAAATGATTTTTAGGTTGATTCAGTGTCTTTTGTCTATTTTTGTTTTTGTTGCTCAAACTTTTATAATCATATCTAAGTATTCTGCCCAGTGCAATATTGTGTTAGGCCATTATTGCATTGCTCTAAAGAAATATCTGAGACCTGGAAATTCATAAAGAAAAAAGGTTTAATTGACTGACAGTTGTGTAGCTTTTATAGGAAGAATGGTACTGGCATCTGCTTGGCTCCTGGTGAAGCCTCAGGAAGCTTTTAGTCATGGTGGAAGGCAACGTTGGAGTAGTCATCTCATATGGTGAAAATGTGAACAAGAGAGAGAGTGGGGGAGGTGCCATACATAAACAATCAGATCACTACAGCAAAGACAGTACCAAGCCATGTGAGATCTGCTTCGATGACATAAACATCTCCCACCAGGCCCCACCTCTAACACTGGGATTATGTCCTTCTGAAATTTCAAAATATAATCATGCCTTTTCAATAGGACCCAAATTGTCAACACATTTTTGAATTAACTCAAAAGTCCAAAGTCTAAAGTTTCATTTGAGACAAGGCAGGTTCCTTCCACTTATGAGTCTGTGAAATCAAAAGCAAGTTATGTACTTCCAAGTTACGATGGGGTACAATGGGGTATAGCTATTGAATAAACATTTCCATTGGAAATTGAAGAAATCAGCCAAAGGGAAGGCCCTGTGCAAGTTCAAAATCAAACAGGGCCGTAATTAAATCTTAAAGTTTCAAAATAATCTCCGTTGAATACATGTCATGCATCTGGGGCACACTAGTGCAAGGGGTGGGCACACTAGTGCAAGGGGTGGGCACACTAGTGCAAGGGGTGGGCTCACAAGGCCCTAGGCATTTCCACTTATGTGGCTTTCCAGGTTTCAGTCCCCATGCCTGCTCTCACAGGTTGTTGAGTGGCTGCAACTTTTCCAGGTACAAGGTGTAAGCTGCAGGTGGATCTACCACTCTGGGGGCCTGGAGGATGGTGGCTCCTTTCCCACAGCTCTACTAAGCAGTACCTCAGTGGGTACACTGTGTGGTGCCTTCAACCCCACAATTTACCTCCACACTGCTCTGTCAGATGTTCTCTGTGAGGGCTCTACTCCTGCAGCGCACTTTTTCCTGGGGACCCAGGCTTTCTCAAACATCCTCTGAAATCTAGGCAGTTGCTGCCAAGTTTTCTTTACTCTTTTACTCTGTGCACCTGCAAGATTAACATCACATGGAAACTGTCAATGCTTATGGCTTAAAATGTCTGAAGCAGTGGCTCGACCTTATCAGCCTGGACTTTACCGTCCATATCACTATCAATATTTTGGTCACAAACATTTAACCAGTCTCTAAGAAGTTTCACGTTTTCCTTCAACTTCCTGTCTTCTTCTGAGTCCTCCAAAGTCTTCCAACCTTTGCCCATTATCCAGTTCCAAGGTCGCGTCCACATTTTCAGGTATCTTTATGAAAATAACCCATTCCTGGCACCAACTTTCTGTGTTAAGCTGTTCTTGTATTGCTATAAGGAAATACCTGACACTGGGCAGTTTATACAAAACTAGGTTTTATTGCCTCATGTTTCTGCATGCTATACAAGAAGCCTGGTACCAGCATATGCTCAACTTCTCATGAGGCCTCAGGAAGCTTTCATTCATGGCAGAAGGCAAAGGGAGAGCAGGCATTTCACGTGGCAAGAACAAAAGCAAGAAAGATAGTTGGGGGAGAAAGAAGAGATGTCATGCATTTAAACAACCAGATGACCATTACAAAGACAGCACCAAGCCATGAGGGATCTATCTCCATGACATAAACCACTCCCACTAGGCCCTACCTTCAACACTGAGGATTACATCACAACATGAGATTTGGAGAGGACATCGAAACTATGTTAAATGTCACACAGTTTTTTTTTTTCTGTTTTACTCTAGTAATTTTATTATTTTAAATCTTATCTTTAAGTTGTTGTTCTATTTTTAGTTGATTCTTATATAAGGGTGAAATCAGGGTTCTTTTTTTTCTTCTGTGTATGAATATCCGGTTTTCCCAACAGCATTTATTGTAGAGATTATCCTTTCTCCAATGTGGATTCTTAGCACCTTTGTTGAAAATCAACTCACACTAGTTACGCAGGGTTATTTTTGGACTCTCTTCTACTACATTAATCAACGTGTCTATTTTTAGGCCAGTATCATTCTGTTTTGATTCCTATAGCTTTGTAATATATTTTGAAATCCCATTGTATGATTCCATTAGCTTTGTCCTTTTTGGTCAAGATTGCTTTGAGTATTAGGTGTTCTGTAGTTTCATATGAATTTTAGGATTTTTTCTAGTTCTGTGAAAATTCCCATTGGAATTTTGATACGGATTCCATTGAATTTATAGATCAATTTGGGTAATATAAACATTTTAACAATATTAATTCTACTAATTCATGAACATGGGATATCTTTTTCATTTACTTGCACCTTCTTCCATTTCTTTCATCAATGTTTTATAGTTTTCAGCTTACAGTTTTTCACTTTCTTGGTAACATTTAATTATAAATATTTTTATTGTATTATAAATAACACTGTTTTTTAAATTTTTTTCTGGTGAGTTAATTGTTAGTGTGTAGCAACACTACTGATTTTTGTAAGTTGGTATTTTATTTTGTAGCTTAACTGAACTTTTAAATATGTTGTAACAGGTTCTTAGTGGAGTCTTTAGGATTTTCTATATGTACATACATTGACAAATCCGAAAGACTCTAATTCTGTAATGGTGGTGGATAAATTAATTATGTGTCTATTATAAAGTGTAAAAACAAAACTATTAAAAACAAAGCAACAATAATTTGTTAAGAGGCACATATTATAAAAAGATGTAAAGTATAACACCAAAACAGTAAAAAATGGAAAGAGAGTAAAATTACAGAATTTTTCTCTGCAATCAAAATTCAATTATTCTAAACTTGAAATAGCTTGTTACAAGTATAAAATGTTTCTTGTAAACCTCAGGGTAACCACAAAACAATATTTTATAACAAAACACAAAAGAATAAAAAAGATATCCAAACAATGCAGTACAGAAGGCCATCAAACATCAAAGCAAAAAAGCTAGACAGAAATAAAAAAAAAGGCCCTAATAAAACACCAGAAAACAGTTAACAAAGTGGCAGTAGTAAATCCTTACCTATAAACAATTACAAAAAAAAAGTATATGAATTAAGTGTTTCAGTTAAAGGGCTTAGTGTAGCTGAAGGAATGAAAAAAACAAAGCCCAGTTATATGCTGCCTACAATAGACTCATCTCAACCTAAAGGCCACTCATATTAAAAGTGAATTGATGGAGAAACACGTTAAAGGGAGACAGAAACTGAAAGAGATCAGGGTAGCTATATTTCATTTATAAAAAATAAACTTTAGGTCAAAAACTGTAAAAAGGGACAAAACAGTTAATGACAAAGTGGTAAGTTCATAAGGAGGAACTAACAATTATATTTGCTCCAAAATTGGAGTACTTAAATACAAAACAATAATAATAAATCGAAAGGAGACATGGAATGTGACACAATAGTAATAGGGTATTTCAACACTCCACTTTCAGCAACAGACAGATCATTCAGACAGAAAATCAATAAGAAAACATCAGACTTAAACTACACGTAAGAACAAATGGACCTAACGGATATATACAGAACATTCCACCCAATAGCAACAGGATATACGTTTTTCTCAAGTGCACAAGGAACGTTCTCCAGGATGGATTATATTTTAGGCAACAACACGATTCTTAACACATTGAAATAAAAAGAAATCATATCAAGTATCATTTTCCATCGTAATGGTGTGAAACTGGAAATCAATAACAGGAAGAGTCATGGAAAATTCACAAATAAGTGAAACATAACTAATACACTCCTCAACAACTATTTAGTCAAAGAATAAACTAAACAGGAAATTTAAATAATATCTTGAGAAAACAAGAATGAAAACAGAACATACCAAGGCTTATGGGATGCAGCAAAAGTAGTTCTAAGAAGGGAGTGTATAACAATTAAAATCTACATCAAAAAAGAAGACAGCTCTCAGATAAAGAGCTTAACATTACATCTTAAGCAATTAGTAAAAGAAGAACAGACTAGTCCCAAAGATAGCAGAAGAAAGAAAATAACAAAGGTCAGAGCAAAAATAAGTGCAATAAATACATGAAAAAAATAGAAATAAAGAGAATAAGAGTTGGCTTTTTGAAAAGGTGAATAAAATTGACAAAACCTTAGCTAAACTAACTAAGAATAAAAGAGAGAAGACAAATAAATAACATCATAAATGAAGAATGAGACATTACAATTGATAATACAGAAATACAAAGGATCATAAGAGACTATTGTGAAAAATTATATGCCAACAAGTTAAAACACCTGGAAGAAATGAATCAATTCCTAGAGGCATATAACTTACTAAGACTTAATCATGATAAGATGGGAAATCTTAACAGACCAATAACAAGTAAAGAGATTAAATAAAAATTAAAAAGTCTGTTCAAGGAAAAGCCCAGATCCAGATAGCTTCATGGATGAATTCTAATTAACATTTAAAGAACTAATGCCAATCATTCTGAAACTCTTCCAAAAAATTGAAGAGAAAAAGAGTACTTCCAAACTAACTTTACAAGGCCAGCCTCACCATGATACCAAAGCTAGTACAGTACACTACAAGAAAAGAAAAACTGCAGGCTAATATAACTGATAAACATAGATGCAAAAATCTTCAACAATATGCATATGGACTCCAACTTAGGGTGGTTCAATTTAAGATTTTTTAACTTTATCATGGGGTTATGAGGATAATATCTTCAACAATACATTAAAAGTGTCATCATTTACCATGATCAAGTGGGATTTATCCCTGGGATGCAAGATTGGTTGAACATACATAAATCAATAAATGTGATATGTCACATCAACAGAATGAAGAACAAAATCAACACCATCATCTCAATAGATACAAATGAAGCATTTGACAAAACTTAACATCATTTTATGATAAAGTCTATTAACAAATTAGGTAAAGAAGGACTATTCCTCAACATAATAAAGACTATATATGACAAGCCCACAGCTAACATCGTACTCAGGAATTAAAATTGAAGGCTTTTCCTTTAAAATCAGAAAAAAATAAGTATGCCCATTCTCACTACTTCTGTTAAATATAGTACTGGAAGTCCTAGCCAGAGCAATTAGGCAAGAGAGAGAAATAAAGGACATCCAAATAAAAGAGGATGAAGTAAAATTATCTCTGTTTCTTTGCAACCACACTGTTTTAATTGCCAGCAATGACATGATTTTAAATGTCAGTAAAAGGCAAATATGAATTTTTCTTCAAGTACAACAAAATCAAGGAAACTATGTAGTTACTCATCATGTTTTTCAAAGGCTTAATAGAAATTCATGAGACAAAATTAATAAAATAAAAATATAACTCAAGGCCTCAAAAATTTATAATGATTAAGCAATAGAATTATCTACAGTCAATCTAATGTATTTACCTCTACTTATCTCCCCATGGTCCAAAGAACCATCGTCTCAGACCTAAATTATTTCAAAAAAACTTCTAAATGCTACCCCTGCTTCTTCCCTTGCTACTCATCACAGATGATTTTTTACACCACAGGACAAACAGTCTTGCTAAAACGTAGGTCACAGAATCGTTCTTTGTTAAAAATTTTCAGTGTTTTTCTATTTCACTTTTAAAGAAACAAATACATTATAGATAAATTCTAACTAATATTTAAAGAACCACCACACCAAAAATCTCACAGTTTTTAACATCTCTGAATTCATTAATTATTTATTTGACCATGCTGGCCTCTCTTGAAAAAATAAAATAAAATAATATTCTAGGCACGTTTCTACCTCATAGCCCTTGCACTTGCTCCTCCTGCTGCCTGGAACAGTCTTCTCCCAGATATCCTCATGACTTTCCTCCTTACCAGATTCTCGTCTTTACTTAAATGCCCCCTTTTCATTGCAGTCTTCCTTGTCCATGCTACAAAATAATCCTGCCCCTTTATCTTCCTTTTCTACTTTACTATTTGATAGCTTTTATTCCATCAACTACACTACCTATTGCATTTATTAACTTTCTGTCTACACTAATACTACAATGTAATCTGCACGAGTATGTTCTGTGCACTTACGTTAAGTGACCAAATGGCTTAAATTTAGTAGACACTTAAATTTCAGTTGAATGAATAAATTTCTTTGGTCCTCTCTAGTGTTGATATTCTGACAGCTAATCATATTATACATAATTGTTTTGTTGATGGAACCACCCTGTTACACGTGATTTTAAGTCTATTCACAAGTCCAGTCCTGGCAAATGTTTAACAACAAGATTTCTGATGAAAAATGCCCTTATTTGTAGAATTTTATTAATTCCATGGTGAACATTCTCTCACCACAAACACGGGATTGAGATAAAATGCACACAACTGCTTTTTATGAGCTGATGTTGGCACAAATTATAGCACAAATTGCATTAACTCATTTAATGTGCTCAATCACCATGGGAGACAGGAGTTATTACTTTGGCCATTTTTCAAATGAGAAACTACAACACAGAGAGGTTAAGCATGTACCCAAGGTCACATAGTTAGAAAGGAATCTACCTGGGATATGCCTGATGATTGACCCGAGAGCTTGTGCTTAGAAAAATTCAGCTATACTTCAGGCCTTTGATAAATTACTTTAAATAAAATTCAGGTTTTAAAATGAAAAAAAAAAATTATAGCCATGCATATTCTTTAAGTGTCAGTCAAGGACCTATAAATATTTTTTAAATTTTTTGAATATTTAAAAAAATGTTAGTTTTCCAAGCAAAAGGCCAAGACTGTGTGCTTTGCTTAGGCCATTTTATTTTCAGACACTGAAAATATCTGTAAAAATGATAATACCTCACTCTGGTTTGCCAGAGCCAATTAGATTTGTCAGTATCAGTCTATATCTTATTGATCGAAACCGCAGGTAGTAAAAAACATTCGTGTGTTTTCTAAGTGTTCTTTCTTGTTTTGGATTCCTTGCTTAAATCAGAATCTTACTGAACTAGAAATAAGAAAGTTTAGACTCCCTCCTTGTTTTTAGGAATATAATGTACCTAGCTGAGTGGATTTCTATTTTTCAAAGGCACAATAATCCAGTTAAAATGCAGTGATTCTCTTAGGTACTACATAGATTTTACATTGTATAATCATTGCAATCAGCCACCAAATCCATAACTCTCATTAGAAAGCAGTGTTTCTTTTAATACCATTAATTTAGCCTGTTTTGAAGTCCTTATTAAGAATTCACCTAGCTAAACCATGACACTTATATGGATTCGACAAACTTGCTCTATTGCCTCTAGTTCTGAAAATAGATTTTAATTATCATATAAGATTAATTAAAAGAAAAATGTAATTCAGTATTACCTTTATTTTTTACATCATGAAGCACTGAGTAACAACATCTATATACTACGCATATTGTGTATAAAATCAATGAATGTATAATAGCTGTATGGAAAACAGGTTTAAATCTAAACCAATGAACCACAGCACTAAAAAATTAAGCAAATGTTTATTACATCATTTTGGATATTGACCTTTGGATATAGAAAGAAAACATTTTGAAGAAGAATCTGAGTCTCCACATTTTATTTTTAGAGGAGTAGGTACTTCTGGACACCATCTGGTCAGCCCATGGCATTCAAAATAAAACAGTGTTTGGAATATTGAAATTAATTATTAAAATGACAAGGAGAATTTTAAATTTCTAACTTGCAGACATGGGATAATTTTGACTATTTCTGGTATAAAATGACAGGAGGCATATCTTTCTGGCAGAGTTTTGATCTTGTGAAACAGCTGCAACAGAAACACATGAATGTTTTTCTAAAAACTAGATTTCAATCTCCACTTCAACTTACTGGATCAACATACATAGGTAAGGCTCTTCAAACCTAGAATGCAAGGATTTAACGATGCTGCTATTAAAAATAAAGTAACTAATTTCTTTCACATAAATCATTATTTGTTAATTTTCAAATGGATTATACACCCACATTTTATTTCTTTTTGGAATCAAAAATGGATTTAGGGCCAAGATTTTAGTAGAAAAGAGGTTTCTTTGTAGAAAAAAATATTGCAGAAAAAATACTAGTAAAAACATTGGACACAAAAATATTAGTAAAAACATTGGATGTGATAGAAACAGAAGTGTTAAAAGAAATGAAGAACAAATCGGGGCATGGAAAATGTATTTCTTCTTAAAAATATTTGTAAAAGCATGAGATGCAGCTATCTTTACAATTAAATTAAATGTGTATAAATGGAGAAGACTGAACTATAATCCAAATACTCAGTAATTCTAGTGAAATTTGACATATGATAGATCAATATTTGTGAAAAGAATAGTTTAATCAAAATACTAGGTCAAGTCTCTTCGCAATTTTTCTTTATATAGTTGAAATTAAGAGGGACAGCCTGGAGAATATTCTAAGTGTGGCGGGGCCTATAATCACAATAAAATATTGATCTGCTTTCTCAGATGATGGCATTTTGGATACACACCACTCTAAGAAATTAATCGTACAAAAGCAATAAATGTTCATTTGTGAGATAGTATGTAAAATTCTGATAGAATTTGGTCACTTATTGTTCATTTTTAAAGTCAAGGAATAAAGAAACAGTCTATGAAGAGTTTCAGATAAAAAACCAAATGATAGGCTAAACGTAAAGCTGAGCATTAGTGTTACTTGACATTCTCAGGCAACCTGCAATGTGTTATGAGGCCCTTACTTAATTTTCAGTTGAGATAAGAAAGTTAAATAAATTATCATTCATAGAAGTCATTAAAACAAACTACACCCATGCATTTTCCAGCCAGAATTCACTGTAAAATTTTCATTATGTGAAAAAAACCTGATGAATAAGAATAATGACTTTTTCCATAAGTTGGCACACTTCCCAGGCTAGAACACAGGAGAACCTATCTACCAAAAACTATGTCCTTCTACTCCCTTCAATGAATAAACTACTGTTTTTTTTAAAAAAAGTTTATTTCTCTCACACATTAACAAAGATTAGAAGTAAACAGTTCAAGATTTGCATGGCAACTCTGTGATTATCAGATTATCCTTCTACTGTCAAAATGTCATTTCCACCTTCTGGACCAAGATGGCTGCCTGAGGTCTAGTCATCAGAGCTGCAGTATGATGAACAGGAAAAAATAAAGGATGAAAAAGGGAGCATCCTCGTCCTTTAATGACTCTTTCACAACGTTGCAAACATCAAAGAGTGAACTGATCTTAATCCTTCAAAATAAACAAGAGTCAGGAGGATTTCAATTTGAATCCCAAGTGTATTTTGGGAATATTTTATAAGACTAAAACAAAGTGTTTTATGTTCCATGCCTCAGTTTCTCTAGCTACAATGAAAATATAAAATTCTGTATTATTCATCTTCCTTACTCAGGGGCTAGAGGTGATAACAAGAAGAGATTGATATGCAGTTCAAATATAGACATGTGATAGTGATACTTCATAACATAAAAACAATATTTTATGACTAATGGGCAGAATAAATCCTTCGTCTTTCTGGCACAATATGCATAACTTAAAAGAATGTCAGAGAAAAAAAAACAACATTAGAATGGAAGTTGTTAAGAACTATTTAAATGACTTTATAACCGTGTATAAACTTACCTAGAATAGGGATGCATTGAATTGTTTTAAATAAAAAATTTTCTTAGGTCAGAAGGGAAATCATTTTTGTGACTGTGTGAAAAATACATTCTCACATTGGATACCATTCCACAATTAATCTACTGCCCTTTTTCCTTATGCCCATTATATTACGTATGTATTCTTGGCATTCAAAGACTGCACATGGTATTACTCTGTTTTGCCTATACTTTTAACAATATATTTCAGGACCTTTTTACTGTGATTCTTCAGGATATTTCAAAAAGTATTATGAAAGATGGTAGACCTAGCTGCTGGATAACTGTATTTACTGACAATAAAAATTGGTCCACTTAAATTTTAAGGAGATAAGACAATCTCAAGTGAAATGAAAATCAATAACTGGTCCGTTTTTATCTGACATACTAGCTAAGCCACATATTAGAGATTAAAGTTAGAAATTAAAATGAACACAATATGGTAATTTCTTTTTTGGTGTTAGATGTTCTTTCCTCCATAGAAGAGATGTGTTCTAGACATTTTTTTGTGTGAAATGAATTTATGTTAAGTGAATCTTCCTTTCTGATAGAAAATTAAAAATTTATTCTGTTGATTATAAAACAAGTTCTTACGGACTTGACCTTTGACAAATCTCCTATTGGTGCTTGGTACCAGCATGAGCTAACTTTATGGCCCAAAGCAACAGGACAGTGTGCTGAGGTCTGGGAGCACCCTCTCCAGAGAATCCCTAATGTCCAAAAATTGGTCAAAATCTAAAATTTATTTTGCTGTACAATTCACCTTTTTTTCTGGAGTTGTATTTGCCTTCAACGAGTAAGGCAAGATTTCCTGCTTCTGTGATGATGGAAGGCCAATAACTCCTTTATGAAGTTTGATTTTGCTCCTGCAGGGAAGATGAGTTTGAGTTTTTTCCTGTTTCTAGGATGATAGAGAGCAGTCTTCAGCCTGAGACCCATCCCTAGGTAAATAGCTGAGTTAGGGTTTTGTCTTGGCTAAGGTGTAACAACCAGCTGGTCTTAATTTCTCTCTACCATTAGAACATTCTGCGATCATATTGTTGGGGTATTTTGTTGTTGTTGTTGTGTGTTCTGGTCTTTCTTCCATCAGATTTGACCAACTCTACCTGACATGGTCAAATTCAAGTGAGAATTCCAAATTATAGGTAATAAAGCTGCTCTAATCTGGTCAAACTTCTTCGCAGCTTCAAAAGAAGAAAAACAAACAAACAAACAAACAAACAAGAAACAAACAAAAGTGCTCGGTTTCTGTGTTTGCTTCCTGTCTTTAAAATAAAATGTTATTTTGTGTACTTTTCTTCCACCCTATATCTCCTTCTCCCTTTGCCATCTGCAGTACCAAAAAAATCTGAAGAAGGCTTCTAGTGACTTGAATCCCTTTAAAGAATTCAAAACAAAGGCACCACCCACTCCTTTTGGGGTGTTCTGTTTTCTTTGTGGAGTTTCAAGAGTCATAGGCAGATTCTTCTTAGGTCTATTGCTCTGTTTTCTTATGTGAAAGGAAAATATCTTGGGCCCCCAATGTTACTAAGCTAAAGAAAAAAATAAAATTCAAGCTTGGAATTTCTTAGGGCAAACCTGCCTTACGTTCTATTCAAAGTCATTTCTCTGTTCACTGAGATAAATGCAAATCTGATAACTTCCTTTAAAAAGGTTAATCAGAAACTCAAAAGACTGCAACTGTTTGTCTCCCACCTACCTGTGACCTGGAAGCCCCCTCCCCACTTTGACTTGTCCTGCTTTTGCTTCCAGTTGTCCTGCCTTTCCGAACCAAACAAATGTTTATTTTACATACGTTGATTGATATCTCATGTCTCCCTAAAATATATAAAAGCAAGGTATGCTCTGACCACCTTGGACACATGTCGTCAGGACCTCCTGAGGCAATGTCACAGGTGGACCTTCTCAACCTTGGCAAAATAAACTTTCTAAATTAACTGAGATCTTTTTTTATCCCATATATGAGCAAGTATTGTACCTAGAGTGGACAAGTCCCTCCTCTTACTTTCAGGAACACCCTACTCTGTCTATAGAGTAGCTGTTCTTTCACCACTTTACTTTCTTAATAAACTTGCTTTTGCTTTGCACTGTGGACTCGGCCTGAATTCTTTTTTGTGCAAGATTCAAGTACCCTCTCTTGGGTCTGGATCAGGACCCCTTTCTGGTAACACTGTTAAAACACAGAAAAGTATTGATGTTGCACCGTTCACATTACCTGAACGTATTGGTCTGTTTTAAGGCATTTCTTGAGATTATGCATGAATTTTTACAATTGGCTTGGAAGGGAGGCAATTGAAGTATGAAAGTGAAGTGTAAGAAAATATATCCTGGACTGGTAGTGCCCTGGCAACTGTCTGCTTGTGTTGAGTCCTCTTCTCCCAATGTAAAGACTTGTTATTTGACATTCAGAGGTATCATCATTAGGACACATTAGCAAAATAGTGTTTTTGATATTGACAAAAGATTATCATGATGCTAAGACTAGCAAAATATTGAGAATTAGCTAGCTTCAACAAGCCTGAAGTGAAGTTATATATGCATATATTAGTTAGCGTTGCTTTCAGGAAAATGAGTATCAAGTTAGATATTAGCCAGTTATGAATGTCTCATTTTAACTAATGCAAGTGATGTTACTGAGTTTTCAACTGAACACATGCAGTTGATGTATTTATTAATATTTGAAGGTAGAATTTGAGACTATTTGATTTCCTGAAGTTTGAAATACGTTTTCATAAATCCTTATTGACAAACATGTATATGTCTAAAATATGTTTTAATTAGCTTAATATTTATTAATGTAACTTTTGACTATACTATAAAAAGTCAAAGGGCACTAAAGCGCTTATGGAGAATAGCAGTCCCATGTGCCACTCCTCCAGAGCAAGCACTTTTAAGTTTTATCTCTTAATTCATGTGTTTGCTTCCACATTTTTGGATAATAGCTTTGATTGCTATGTTTGTATTTTTTCTTTCCATATAATATGTATTGACTTCCTTTTTTGGTAGATGAGAATTTAGTTATCTCACTCTACTTTATCTCTCTTTCAACATTATCAATAGAATTACATTTCAATTTTTCTTAAATTAATATTCAGTGGTTCATTTGTCAGGAGTATGTAAATACTGCCCACAATTGGGCCACATAGGGTGCTGTAGTTACATTTGCTTTTTTGTACAACTCTTTGTCATATCCCAGTGTTAACTTTCCATCTTTTTATTGGCCTAATTCAATTTAATTTAAACATTATTAAATATGTTAGATCTGTAAAAGACCTTTTAATATTATTTTTTCAGGCATTCAAACAAATGAACTCATTGATTCATTTCTTTTCTTTCTTTTTCTCTCAAGGGTTTCTTTTGACATTCTCTGGTCTTCTTGATCTCAGCTGGATCTGGAGCTCTCTAAGATGAAATTGTAGCTGACAATGACTTTCCTCATAAATCTATAATAGCTTAATATAAGCTATTATGTAAGCCTAATAAAGCTTATAAGGGGCTTTCTATATTAAGCAGCTATTCTTTGTATTGCTTACCCTTCTCTTTTCCTAATTTACTACCCGATTTTATGAAGCCCATATGTGGTTGGCAAAATTATTTGAAGGCCTCAAAGATTCCTGACTCCTTATTCCAGTTACTTATCTTGTCCCAGTTATTCAATCAAATTCAAATCTAGGTACTGCTGTGTAAGGATATGGCAGATATATTTAAGTGTTTAAATCAGTTGATCTTAAGATAGGGAGATTATCTGGGTGTGTCAGGGCTAATTACAAGAGCCCTTTAAAATCAGAGCCTTTTCTCCAGCTGGTCATAGAAAAGAAAGTGAGAGTTATGAAGCACAGGAAGACCTCAAGTCAGTGTTACTGGTTTGAAGATGGAGAAGGTCGCATGCTAAGGTATATGGGAATGTGGGCAGCCTCTAGGACATGAAAACAGGGACATTACATCTACTACCATGAAAATTTGATTTTTGCCAACAACCTCAATAAACTGGAAAGCAGATTCCCCCTCAGAGCTTTCAGATAAGACCAGTCTTTCTGGCGATATTGATTTCAGTTTCATAGGACCTTAATCAGAGAATTCAGCTAACTCCAGCCAACCCCAGCTCAGACTTCTCACCTACAGAAATTTGAGATAATAAATGAATGTTCTTTTAAGCTGCTAAATTTGTGGTAGTTTATTATGCAACAATATGAAACTAACATGACATCATTCATCAGTTTCTTGAGATAATTTATAATTTCTTAAATGCTTAAACCTATATTTGATACTGTGTTTAATATCTTAGTTTTTACTTGTCAACATATTCCATATTTGAATATCAAGATACATCTAATGGTCACATACTAAAATAGATTTCTTAGGTGTGTTTGAGGTGAGTACCTTTTTAATCACCTAAGATATGGTGATGGAGTCTGTATAGTGTTGATTCAATTAAAGTTTACATGCCATCAAATGTACCCAAACTTAAACCTAGGAAAAGTGGTAGCAGCATCTTGAAGATACTGTGTTATCTTTTTTGTATAAGTTTATCTATCATTTATAAATACCTATTGTGTTCTAAACATCATGATATAACCTGCGAGGAAACAGCAATTAGCAAGATTAAGTGTGGACTCTAGTGACCAGAATATGCTTTGCTTTGATGTTTTAATAATTATGCAAGCTTTTTTCAAGAATAAGGAATGCGTCGTATACTCATACCTCCTTTCAAAAAGTTGAGCAGTGAAAAAAATTAATCAAAGAATGTATTGTTTTGACTCTATAATGGTAAACAATCAATTTATTTTTTTCTTACTAAATGACTTTGTTGGTGAAACGTAGCAGTTGTCATATTACGACTTCTCTTGCTTCAGAAATTAATGAAAAACACACTAGTCTCCTGAACAAGTCATCTCAGATAACTTTAACAAATCTATTGAAAATAACATCTTGGTTTTTATTGATATTCGAAATAGCACTGGATAAATAAATGCATAAACCTTCTCAGTTTCCCGTTACTCTAAATGGAAAAGTTGTAAAACCATTCCTTTATATTCGCCACAATGGCAGATCTGTTCCATGAATGGTAATGCATGTTTTAAGGTATTAACAAAATTGATTATGTAACCCTAGATATATAATGGAACAGAAGGCTAATGCTTATGCCGATTCTGCCTTAAGTAAAATCCATCTGTTTACTACTAAGGTAGCATGCAACTCAGCTTTGTTTGAATAGAACAAGATGAATACTTGAGGCTATTTTCTATCTGCTAAGACAAAAGTGTAGGGAAACACATAGTAAAACTTATATTTTTTAAAGACACGGTTCCCAGCAAACTCTAAGTATTTACTGTCTCTCGAATATGATCAACCCAGAAAAGCCACATGATAGGATACTTGCAAATCTTCCCATAAACCCCAGTCAACAATCATGTGCATACAAGTCCTGGAGACACTCACAGAGAAGCAACTGATTATTGAATTTTATGTGGAAGGAATTGAGATGAACAGTTAAAGGGAAATTTATATTAGATTTTTTCTTATAGGTCTGCAGATGTTTTCTTTTTGGACCATTATAAAAGCATGAAGCATAGCTTTGAAAATGTTATTTTAAAAAATATGTTTCTGACATAATCATTTATTTCTGAAGAAAATGCTTTGTTCATATTATAGTTGATATTTTCAATGAGATGTTTTGATTAGCCTTATCAACTCTTCAGTATTTGCCAAATACCCTCCACCCACAGTCATGTTTCTTTTGTGTATATAGTTCTATTAAAGTCTGGTAATTTTTGAGATCAAGATCAAACAATATTTCATTTGTGAAACCTTCTATAACTGCTGTGCTTTCCTCTGCACTTGACTATGTTTGCTTAAACTTCTAATAGAGTGATTATTTCCTTTTTCCTTGCTATGTTTTTAATGATGTATATTTCCCTCAAGTCGGTCAAATTGCAAGCTCCTTGAAAACAATGATATGCATCAGAACCAGAACCTTCATACAAGACTCACATAGTGGTGACTTCATAAATGCCCTGTTGAATTGAATCTTAAAAAGTAATCCATGTCATCCATCAGCAAGGAAAGAACAATTAGTATATCTTGATTGCGGATCATTTGTTTCCTTAAAATTACCCAGGGAGAAAAAATTGGATGAGGCCAAGAGTATTCCTCATAGTCTGCTAAATATAGCCACAACCTAGGGTTTCATAGGAATAGCAAGAAAAGCTCTTGGACACTTGAAAGAGAAAGAGAAGATACAGCAATGCAGGACTGAGGCTGATAATAATCAGCAAATTTACAAAAGACAGAAATATTTAAAACCCGTAGATTTTATCTCTTTGAATTACTGTTTTATATTTATGTCTTATGTATTACCTACCAGAATGTTGTTCATATTCACATTATATAAATGTGAAAATACTTTGTGAAATTCTAAGGTTACATTGAAATGACTTCTATCATTATTATATTACCTAACCAAATATTGGCTTTGTAAGCATCTCTTTCTGACATCTCAACAATCAATCCCCAAACAACCAATTTCTTTTCTAGTATCCTGCTCTTTAAAAGCACCAAAGTATAGGTCTATACTGTTTCACAGGCAGAAGGTCCCAAAGAAGTTATTAAACATCCCCTCACAGGAAAGACCCTGAAGAAATATCCCTTTGAAGTCATGGCAAACATAATAATTGGCTTGGTAATTAAGGTTTTGTATTCATGTAACAAAGTTTTCAGTAAAGCATTTATTAGCATTTATCAGTACTTAAAGAGGAGTACTCTCAGTTTCAAGAAGACCTCACTATTGTCATAAGATAGAATTGAACCAATATATAATTTGCACCGCAGTATGTAACAAGTCTCTTTTAGAAACAAGACAACCTGCATCTCTTATTTTTTATATTTCCGTTAAAATAATAGATGAGTCGAAAGCCACTTAAGAATTTACAAGAGTTATATTTACAAACAAATTCATACAGATAACACTGTTGTTTTGTGCATTTACAAAACACAACACATTTATTTAGTCTTCCGCATGAAAAGCCAGTTAAAGTAGCTTGTTACCAAAAATGTGTTTCAGGAGTTGCCTGGCTCCCTTATAACTTACAAAACTTAACCATTTGTTACCTAAACTAAAAAAGTAGATCAATAATTGTTTTATTTGGAGGAAAGAGTAGCTTCCACGTTAAGAAACGATATCTAAGAGAATATGATCTTCACATCAGTGCTAAGCTCTGTTTCTGCATCTGTGAGTTAAAGTCTGTTAAAATTGCTTCATTATAAATGACATTCAATGACTGAAGGTCTACACAAGAGGAGAAAACGGAGTTCTAAAAAGCCACTGGTACATGCTGAAGAGTTCAGACAACTAAGCAATCATTTTGCCAAACAACTGTTTTACCTATGCCAAATTTCTATCAGGTTCTCGAGGCACAATGAATGCCTTTTTATTTTTAAAACAATTTTTATTTTATTTTTTTAGGTTCCGAGGTACATGTGCAGAATGTGCAGGTTTGTTACATAGGTAAACATGTTTCATGGTCATTTGCTGCACCTATCAACCCATCACATAGGTATTAAGCCCAGTATACATTAGCTGTTTTCCCTAAAACTCTCTCCCCCAACAGTCTCCCCCAACTGGCCCCCGTGTGTGGTGTGCCCCTCCCTGTGCCCATGTGTTCTCATTGCTCAGCTCTCACTTATAAGTGAGAACATGCAGTGTTTGCTTTTCTGTTCCTGTGTTAGTTTGCTGAGAATAATGGTTTTCTTGAATTTAATACAAAATAACTTATCTCAAGAGAAAATACGGATAACCTCTTTTGCCCAACACTGAGAATTATGCAACAAAGACAAGGTTGCATTCTAGATGTTGCAGGAAAGTTTCAACTTTGTGATTTATGTAATTTTCAGATAATACATTTCAATTTGTGTTCAGTATATAGAACTGATGTACCTCAACATTTCTCCTATGTTTTTCTTTTAACTGATAAGAATGCAGAATACTCAATTCAGAGCCCAATTATTGTATGTAATTATCTGCTATGATTAACAATATCAAAGTCATTGTTTTCATTTTATTGATTTTGTTGTAATTTTATTTTTGATTATTCTCTTTTGCATTATGTGTAAATTTAAAAGCCACAAATCATTTTTTGAAAGAATATAGGACATCGTAATAACTTCCAGAATTCCTTGGAAATTTCCTGAACTCTTTTGTTTCTTAGCCTATTTAATAAAGGCTGTGTACTTTCATAGAATTCACATTTTGTATTTTAATTTTAATCCTAGAATTTGGTTTCTCAGACTTCAATTAATGATTCCTGGAGGGCAGTAAGAAAGGCAGCCTGCAATTTCACAAAATCATTGTTCTATTTGATGATTTGTTATAATCAAATAAGCATTTTTTTAAAATTTATTTATGTCTTTGAGATGGGGGAAAACTTATAAGTAGATAGGCAGTGATGGAACTTAAACATTACTGTATACATTTGAACAAATATATTTAATTGCTAGTTAATATTGTTAGGTTCTGTGTTCCTACCCAAACCTCACATTGAATTTTAATCCCCATAATCCCCACATGTCGTGGGAGGGAACTGGTGGGAGGTAATTGAATAATGGGGGCAGTTTCTCCCATGCTGTTCTTGCGACAGTGAGTTCTCACCAAATCTTATGGCTTTATAAGTGTGTGGCATTTGCCCTGCTGGCACTCACTTTTTGTCCTGCAGCACTGCAAAGAGGTGACTTCCGCCATGATTGGAAGTTTCCCAAGGCCTCCCCAGTCATGCAAAACTGTGAGTCAATTAAACCTTTTTTTCTGTATAAATTACCCAGTCTCGGGTATTTCTTTATAGTAGCCTGAGAATGGACTAATACAGTAAATTGGTACCGAGGTAGTGGGGTGCTGTGGTAAGGATACCTGAAAAATGTGAAAGCCACTTTGGAACTGAGTAACAGGCAGAGTTTGAAATAGTTTGGAGGGCTCAGAGGAAGACAGAAAAATGTGGGAAAGTTTGGAACTTCCTAGAGACTTGGAGGCCTCAGAAAATAGGAAGGTGTGGGAAAGGTTAGAACTTCCTAGAGACTTGTTGGCTTTGACCAAAACGCTGATAGTGATATGGACAATGAAGTCCAGGCTGAGGTGATCTCAGATGGAGATGGGAAACTTGTTGGGAACTGGAATAAAGGTGATTCTTGCAATGCTTTAGCAAAGAGGCTGGTGGCGTTTTGCCTCTGCCTTAGAGATCTGTGGAACTTTGAACTTGAGAGAGATGATTTAGGGTATCTGGGGGATGAAATTTCTAAGTGGCAAAGCATTGAAGAGGAAGCAGAGCACAAATGTTTGGAAAATGTGCAGCCCGATGATGGGATAAAAAAGAAAAACCCATTTTCTGGGGAGAAATTCAAGCCTGCTGCAGAAATTTGCATAAGTAATGAGGAACCAAATGTTAATCACCAAAAGGGAGAATGTCTCCAGGGCATGTCAGAATCCTTCACAGCAGCCTCTCCCATTACAGGCCTGGAGGCCTAGGAAGGAAAAATGGTTTCTTGGGCCAGGCCCAGGGCCCATGCTTTGTGCAGCTTTGGGCCACCGTCCTCCAGACCCTAGAATGGTAGGTTAACCAACAGCTTGTGCTGTGCCGTGCACCGGAAAAGCCACAGACACTCAATGCCAGCCAATGAAAGCAGCCAGGAGGGGGGCTGTATCCTGCAAAGCCACAGGCACGGAGCTGCTCAAAACCGTGGGAGCCGAACTCTTACATCAGAGTGACCTGGATGTGAGACGTGGAGTCAAAGGAGATAATTTTGGGACTTTAAGGTTTAATGACTGACCCGCTAGATTTCGAACTTGCATGGGGCCTGTACCCCCTTTGTTGTGGCCAATTTCTCCCATTTGGAGCAGGTATATTTACCCAAAGCCTGTATCCCAATTGTATCTAGGAAGTAAGTAACTTGCTTTTGATTTCACAGGCTCATAGGCAGAAGGGATTTGCCTTGTCTCAGATAAGACTTTGGACTTGGACATTTGGGTTAATACTGAATGAGTTAAGACTTTGGGGGATTATTGGGAAGTCATGATTATGTTTTGAAATGTGAGGACATGAGATTTGGGAGGGGCCAGGTGTGGAATGATACATTTAGGCTTTGTGTCCCCACCCAAATCTCATCTTGAATTATAGTCTCCATAATCCCCAAGTGTCCTGAGAGTGACCCAGTGGGATGTAATTGAATCATGGGGACGGTTTCCCCTTTGCTGTTTTCGTGATAGTGAGGAGTGAGTTCTCATGAGATCCGATGGTTTTATAAGCGTGTGACATATCCCCTGCTGGAACTCATTTTTTCTCCTGTTGCCTTGTGAAGAGGTGCCTTCAGCTATGATTGTAAGTTTTCTGAGGCCTCCCCAGTCATGAGGAACTGTGATTCAATTAAACCTCTTTTCTTAATAAATTACCCAGTCTCAGGTATTTCTTTATAGCAGCATGAGAACACACTAATATGCTAGCTTAAATTAGCAAACCATTTAAAATCAACTACCCCAATGTGGTGAATCATACCTTTAGCCCAGATATTTCCTCTGAATACCAAGGACATGTTTCAGTGGGCCTATTCAAAATCTCCACTTGGATGTGTCCAGGGCTTCACATGCTTAAACTCCTGGTAGATGCTATTATCATGATCCTCTTTCACATGTAGTACTCCAACAGTCTCCTAAGTATTCTACCTTCCAATTTATTATCTCTGCAGTAACAGGACTGCCTTTTTTTCAAATTGCAAATCTAATCAAACCTCATCATCATCTACAATCTTCTACAATTAAATAACTTCACATCACTCTGTGGTTAAAAGAACAAAAATAAAAACTTTGGATCATGACCTTCAAGTACCTGTGGCTTCCCCTTACCACTTTAGCTTCATCTTCAACTGTTTCCCCATGATTTCTACTCTAGTCATGCTGGCCTTCTCATATGCCCTTGTACTTGGAAAGTTCCTACCTACCATGGGTTCTGGAATAGTCTTCTCTTCCTCTTTCTCTTCTTATTCATTCTTACTTTATAGATATCACCTCCATCAGCACAGTCCCAGAACTTCACCTTCCCTGAATTCCAAGTCTAGGTCAAAACCACTCATGACATCAGGTCCTTCTCTTTGTGGTTATTTTATTAATATCTATTGCTTCTTATGAGATTTTAAGTAATAATGTAAGGAATTGTGTCTATTTTTTCTAAAAGTTGTATCTAATTTCCAAGCCTAATGCTTGGTTTATAGTAGGTATTCAATATAACATTCATTGGATGAATGAATTGGGGTTAATAGAAAGATGTCAATCATTCTAAATGAAGTCATTCTAAATGTAACAATCATTCTAAATAAAAAAAATTATTTAGTAATGATGTTTAATGAAATCTTATTACTTTATTTCTAAAACCTAGCTAGTAAAAAATTGACACTAAAATGAAGAGAAAAAACATGTTTTAGAAATATGGGTTTAAACCAATGATTTGAATAAAGCACTGGGGTAAGCAAGAAAGGGTTTTGGATAAGTCCAGGATAACATGACAAGTGCTAGGTAATTTGGAGATGGAGGAATTCTAAATCAAACTCCACCTCTTTATAACTCTCTGGAGGCTCAGTTTCTCTATTGATGCTTACAGTGAAACAGCATCCTTTAATAGCTATATTGAATTTTTAAACCATTGAGTAATTTGTAGCAGCTTTCTATACAAGTTAGTGGTCTCAGCTGTCAGTGGATAAGACAAGTTCTACTAGCTTCTGTCTTAAAACATAATTTTAGAAATGAAAATTCTGGAAACTGTGTTTGATGAATGTAAATATAGCCTAGCTGAAACTCTAAGACATTGGAACTCTGATTCTCCTTGAAGAGAAATTGCCATTTGCTACAGAGAATAAAATACATGGAGATTAAAATATGCTGTGCTGGTGATTTTAAAAAGCCATCAAGAGAATTAAGTTAAAAATCAAAGATGAAACTGATGAAAGCCAGACCCCTGTCTCATTGGGTACTCCTCTCTAGGGTAGTTAAGATACCTGGATGGCCAAAAGAAAAAGTTACATAGGCTATGTTCAGAGAATGTGAAAACAGTATTTCTGAATAATAGGATCTTTACAATTTTTATTTCATTAGTGAAAGTCTTTCATTATTTCCCAGTATTCTGCTTTCATCTATAATTTTCCCTCAGATGGCCACCTACATTAAATAAAACAAATGGTACTATAGTGTCACTGACTGAGAATTGTGAAGAATTTGGGGATCTAGAGTTGGAAGAACTCTAATCCAATTTAGTCAACATCAGTGTACAAATATGCACATTGAATTAGATTATGGTTGTCCTCCAGGTGGTAGCATTTAACCTCTGAAGGAGGGGTAAAATGTGATTTTAAATGTTCAAGTATTCTGGGACTTCTTAAAGGCTGTGAGATATTGTGAAGTTTAGTTATATTAATAAAGATATTGGTAATGCATTTGCAACTATGATTTTGTAGAAGAAACCTTGCAGAAAAAAAGATACTAAGTAAAATGTAGATATGAAGTTTAGATGCAATTACAAAAATTGCTCATATTAAAATATTATTGTATTAATAATGCACCCTTGTAAAGCATGGTTTTAAATGTTGAAGTAAAACAAATTACTTTTTATCATATGAAATAGTTTCATTTTTAATTGATTCCTTTACACTGAAATAAATACAGCAATTAAATTACACTTAAAGATATGACATAATAAAAATATTTCTTGCCTTTAGTTTGATACGTAGGTATAGATGGTTTTTAACCTTTTAAATAGTGTTCACCTTTCTAACTCTTGCTTTGGCAAATATGGAAAATATTAGGAGGAAATGCCTTTGAGAATTACTATTATCTAGCGTGAATTTTAGGACACGGTTAGTAATAGAACTGAGCATTTAATTATAAGATAGCTGGTGATGGTAAGACACGAGAATGAAAAAAATAACCATTAATATAATTATTTCCAAAATATAGAGATCATTAAAGTTTAGAATCTATTAATAAGCATTTTTACTCAAACTTCAAATCTTATATTAATTAATTTTGCCTTTATTCTAGCTAGAATAGTGTAATACAGCAGACCATTTCTGAATAATAAAATGTGGCATAAATGAGGTGCTGCCACAGCACGCATTGGATTAACAGAGGATAATTTGGGACCCTGACATCTTAAGCCAGGATAACAGACGCAGGCTACATTTACCTTAAGTGGAGATGAAAACACTAATCATTATAGCCATTTGCTGTTAACAGATACTTTACAGTATTTATTGCTTTTCTCCAAGAATGGCTTCATAACAAACATTATAAACACGTTGCAGGCCCACGGGAAAGATTTGCAGTCAAATGCTGTCTCACGCTAAATTAGATTAACAGTTTCTTACTCGTCTCTAGGCCACCCCCCACTTTGTATATATACCAGCTCATCTCATGTCCTTAGCAAATACCGTTTATTTTTACACTCAGAATTATAATACATATGCCAAGATCAACAAATAGAGAGAAAGTGAGCCATAGGTTCCTCCCCCCAGACATATGATAAGTATTAATAATTGAGTACAACACTCCTTTCCACTGATCTTTATCTGATCTTCATGCCAAAACCTTTCTCAGTGTAGTATTCCAGGAAGCTACTAACAAGTGATGCAACCTCATATGTTGAAACCTCTTTGCTATTGTGGGTCTATGCCAGTACTTTCAAGTCTCTTTGACTTTATAGCACATGTAGGTCATGAAAAATGTGGACAATACTTTGCATTAACAGATAAGGCTGCCCATAACTAGAGATCATGAATCTGTGGGTTAGAGACCACCCAGAATGCTCATGAGATACGATAGCTCAGAACCCACTTGCTGAGCTCTGACTGATCAAGGTATTGGCACAGTCTATCCAAAAGTAGAAACAACACTGGCAGGGCAGGATCTGACATCAAGTAAGGTTTTCTTTATTCTGTATTTGCTGTGAGTGTTATTAGCTGTCAAGCTGTCTTCATAATTGTAAGACAGTTCACAACATCATAAAAAACTTATTTTCCCAAGCCATGGATTAGGTCTTTGGATTCAATTAATCTGATACAGGTATGACAAAGCATTCTCTTTTCAAACAGTTTATCTTAGAGATACCTGCAGAATTTCTATTAGCATATATTTCCGTCTACTCTAGTGCTAATGATCCCATTATCTGGCTATGTGTTACTGTAATTGAAATTAGCTACAGTTATATCCATCATCTTAGCCCTCATAGTCACAGATAAACAATGTGGATTTATAGCAATTCTACCTTGGCATTGAAAAGGTATCCCTTTCAGTTTCTGCCTTCAGGTAAAATGTATACTATGTGGCTTACTATTTCTGATGTGTTGATTCTATACCCTTTTGAAACATTTTTTTTTTGAAACTAGTATTTTGGATCTGATATTAAAATTCGTTCTGACCTCAAATTCATTTGCATTACAGTGTAATATTTCCTCCGTAATTTATGTCATATATGATCTAGAAGGGGAGGTATGTATTAAAATAATTATCTCATTCAATGCAGATAATAGCTTTAAAATATATCGACATGCTTTTCCTTATAATTTTTTGTATTCAGCTTGAGCTCCCCTCCCCTGACAAAGAGCCACCCACTTATTTCCTGAAAGAAGGGGGTGGGTGGGTATATTAAGATTATTATAACAAGAAAGCAAAGACAGATAGTTTGGTTTTTAGATTTTGGTTCCCAAAACAGGGCACAGTGGTCAGATGTGGGTATATTGGCTTCTTCCTCTGTATGGACACACTACAGAGGAGAGTTTGGCAGTATTCTCAGAGCAGGGAAAGTCTGACAGTAGCCTGGGGAAATGGAAATAATCATAAAGATTCCCCACATTAGCCTAACTCTGGAGCGACAAGGTGCCACACAGGCATTAAGTTAGGAACGCCTGAGAAAGACGTCTTGAATCTGCATTTAAGGGCAGACTCTAAACAACCCTATTCATTACAGATTGATAGGAAGAAAGTAGCCAAGATATTTTTACCAGACCCCTAAGGGTTGGGAAAACCAGTAAATCAAAATTAGTCTGGGACTGATGAAAAGAAGCCACAAAATACAGAGATCTCACAGTCATAGGCCATGGCAGGAACATGAACTTCAGCAACATATATCTGCGTGGAGGACAAAATTTTGTAAGAGGTGCAGCCGCATTTCAGTGTGCGCTGTCACAGGACACGAACAGAGACACCTCACTGAACTGGAGACCAGTAGATATTCAGAGCACATTCTGCAGTTCACAGGATTCTTCCCTAAGATACTAACTTTGAAATAGAGAATATGGCAGGCCTACTGAAAGCAGGAAAGAGCATCCTGATAGGAAATTTGAATGTTGTATTAAATCCGAAGTGTCAGGTCTATGTGAAACAAACACCAGATAAAAACAAAATAAGACAAAAACTATTTCAACTTGAATAAAACAAATACTTTAAGAAAAAAATCAATTGAGCTATAATTTACATACCACCAAATGTATTCATTTTCAGTGTACGATTCAATCATTTTTAGTAAATTTACAGAGCTGTACAGCCCTTACCAATTCCGATGATGAGGAGGGGTGGAATGGGGGCAGGGAAATTAACAATTAAAAGTAACTCACTTTTACAACATTTCAATCACTTTATTATACATACGCATACAGTTATGCATATATACACAGATTATATTTATGAACATTTATATATATATAAACATAATGAACCTCTTCTATAAAAAAGTGTTTATTTTTCATTATTTTATCAATTATTTATATAATTCATTCATTTAATGATTTTTATATTGAGAAATATGGAGAACACAAAGTAGAATAAAATTGTCTTTCTGTTTAAGAATTTCATAGCTTGGTGTGAAAGATAGTCACGAAAACAAATAATGACAGTACTTGATGAAAAGTTTTATGACAGATGTATTCCCTGGAATTATTTCATCTCTTTCATACTCCTTACAACCCTATGAAATAAGCCAAGCATATGAATATCTACATTATATAGATAAAGACTCTGTAGACCACAGCAGTTATAGTAGCAAACATAGTGAGAGGAAAAAACAGAAGTTAATTCTAGATTTTTTGATACTTAAAACATTCACATATATTTGGCCTTAAAGACAGTAGATTTTCTCTACCGAAATGTAACCCAGTTTTTATAAATGTTACTGAGGCATGCTTTTTTTTTATTTTTGTGGAATTTGTTATTATTTTTCAACCTACAATAATCTATTCAATACCCACTCTGCCAAATACCGTGCTAGCCATGTGGCGCCTCCAGGATTAGAAGTTCCTTTGCTGTTATCAGTTCTTATAGAGTGATGTTGAATTGTAGGAATGTGAGAATTTGGCCTCCTTACTGATAAGAAAGACTATTAGGAAACTTTCCAACCTGTTGGAGGCAAATGAGCGTTAATGCAAAAGTTGACTTAGAAAAAGCTTTATTCTAATTCCAGCTTGGCCATATTCTAGTTGCGTGAATTTCAGCAATTTGCTTTGTCTCTCTAAGCCGATTTTTGCTTTACAATGGGGATACAAATACCAACCTAACAGGTGAAAAGTAAATGTTATATAATAAAAGTGCTCTTTATAGTACCTTCCTCATAGGAGGTACCTCTTGATTATTTTTAATGAATGCATTAGTACACCTAAATCACCTGCATATATTTCTGAACCCTCTAAGCGGTATATTGTGCCTTGATTTTTTAAAAACATAATAATAACCTGTAATCCTAGCACTTTGGGAGGCTTAGGCCCAGCTATTCAGGAGGCTTAGGTGGGAAGAGCACCTGAGCCCAGAGAGGTTGAGGCTGCAGTGAGCCATGATTGCACCACTGAACTCCGGCCTTGGTGACAGAGTGAGACCTTGTCTCAAAAAATAAAAATACAAGTATAAAATAATGATGCAATCCCTGCCTTCTGGTAGCTTACATTTGATAAATTAAGCTGAAAAGAATTGTGGGTATGCAAATGTCCAACAATGATAGACTGGATTAAGAAAATGTGGCACATATACACCATGGAATACTATGCAGCCATAAAAAATGATGAGTTCATATCCTTTGTAGGGACATGGATGAAATTGGAAACCATCATTCTCAGTAAACTATCGCAAGAACAAAAAACCAAACACCGCATATTCTCACTCATAGGTGGGAATTGAACAATGAGATCACATGGACACAGGAAGGGGAATATCACACTCTGGGGACTGTGGTGGGGTCGGGGGAGGGGGGAGGGATAGCATTGGGAGATATACCTAATGCTAGATGACACATTAGTGGGTGCAGCGCACCAGCATGGCACATGTATACATATGTAACTAACCTGCACAATGTGCACATGTACCCTAAAACTTAGAGTATAATAAAAAAAAAAAAAAAAAAAAAAAAAAAAAAAAAAAAAAAAAAAAAAAAAGAATTGTGGGTATGAAATAGGAAACAAGCAGACAAGTTACATGAGTCACTTAGAACTTGAGTTCTTCTTATAATATGGGTTCAAATTACCTGTTGCCAGGTTTAAGGTGAATCGTTTACCATACTGTTTTATTTTCCATGGTCTAAACTGAAATGTATGCACTAAGGTCAGAGAACCAAATATTAGCTTTAATTACACAATAGATATATTAGAGAATGCCACAGACTTTTTACTGTTTTCCTACAAGTCTAAACCTTGGCCCCTACATGTGGGGATAATTGGGTCTGCAATCTAGTTGCTTGCATAATCCTAGCTTGCCTTACAGTGTAGTGAGAGCTCCAGGTAAAGAGCACAAGTGAGCTTCAACATTTATTCATTTTCCCCTCGCACTGGGGAAACTCGCACCAAGGGGTTAGAGTCAGATTCTTGCCATCTAACAAATCAGATGAATCACTCCTGCTCACATAGGGAGAAGCTTGTGAGAGATAGAGGAAGAGCAACAATTTCTACCTACAGAAATTATTTTACAGCCTGCCATTAGGTGTCCAAGGAGAGAGAGAGAAAGTTTCACTCTACACATCTGAGGTAGAAGTTTGATAAGAATTAAATGAGGGTGTATATAAAACACCGAGAAAACTGCCGCCCCTATATTACCTGCTCAGTCAAAGGTAATATACTCTGATGTGTACACAATCTACATTTGCAGGAAGAATCCTGAGACCCACAGCAAATCAGCAATGCTCCTCATGGGAGAACTCCAAATCATACCCCATCTCTGACTCTTAGGACCTTTGATAAGATGGTTATCTTATCAAAGATAAGAAGGGGAAGAAGGGGTTGCTGTGGGCTGTAGGAACTGTGAGGGCCTCAGAGAAGTCATATTTTGAACTGGTGAGTCAAACCTTGAGGAGAATGTTAACATAAAGAGCTTCTCCTGTCTCCGTCAAGAGACATAACCTCTCCAGTCTCCGAGCTAATTCAGGGGCTTGAACCCATGGCCTTTGGTCAACTTCGAGCTCTAATATCCAGAGGTGGTATTTGTATTGGGTTACCTGACAATGACTGGACTAACTTCCTCCTCCGACACACACCAGCAGGTGACTGGGCCTCCCTAAACACCTCATGATTCTTCTTCCACAGCCTGGCTTTTGAGTAGGACTTATTCCACAACTGAACAGTTGGAATTGCTTCTGATCATATGTGCTGAACTGCTTAGCATTTATTTAATTCTCATTTCTTACTGTGTCCTTAAATCTCTCGATTCTTAACTAGAAAAGTGGAAGTCAAGAGGGAGCACTACTTTGATTGTCTCCACCCATTTCAAAATGTCAGGAGGTAATAAAGGGGGCTGTCTGAAACCTGAGGAGCTTCTGTACTGTTTCTGACTGAGAAGTAGGGATCAGAGCTGAGTGTCAGGTATGAAATTATTTTCAGTCTCTGGCTTGCTCCAGCCTCCAAGTTCTGTTCACGTCATGCCTTCTCAGACTATTAACAGAAGGAAAAGCTGAGGTTGTTTTTATTGTTCTTTGTTTTGTTTTTTTAAAATAAAGTAAAAACAGAATGATCAGAACATAACACTGCTGCTGAATGCACAAGGAACCATCTTATCAAAGGTCCTAAGAGTCAGGGATGGGGTATGATTTGGAGTTCTCCCATGAGGAGCATTGCTGATTTGCTGTGGGTCTCAGGATTCTTCCTGCAAATGTAGATTGTGTAAACATCAGAGTATTGGCTGCCACAGTCAGAGGGAATGTAGGCATTTCAAAGAGTTTTCAGTTTATGCGTCAGCAATTGCTGAAAACTCACCCTTCAAAGTACAGATATTACTAATGCCCTGTTTCTGCTCTTAATTGCTAATTATACAATCTGTGTAAATGCAAGATATGTGACTCCTCCAGCTCTGCAAATGTCTTTGCAGCTGCCTGTACACTCAAATTAAAGCCCAATGCAGCTGTCCTAGAGGTAGTTTTATGTGATTCCCTGAATGGACAAATTCTATTTTGAATGCTGTTAGGAGTCTCTCCCTGCACCACTCAAAAGTCACTTACATTACGGTTGCTTTCTTCCTGTTCAGCATGTCTTCTCTTCCTGGATGAAGTGAGAAATTGCCATTTTGCTGTTCCTTGCTCACTTAAATGTGAGTTACACAAGCCTTTTTAAAATTTCATTTCCTCTCAGGAAATGTTTTAAAATATATAATTTATTTCTTTTGGTACCCATCCAGAAAAGTATATTTAGCTCTTTTTAATGCATTGCCTATATAGAATGTGATTTTTTTCTTGAGAGCCTTATTTCATTGAGTACAAACCTCCCTTTATATTTCTAGCACATTAATGTTATAAAAATTAGTACTTTCCCGTACCCTGAGGAATCCAGGTGTCAGCAAGTGTTACCAAAACTTGGGCATATGATTAATTGGCTTGAGCCCGGATGACACACCCTGTGGTAGCCTAACACACTCTTCAAGACGTTCATCAGTTCACGGAGATATTTTAATGATCACCACTGACATGGGAATCTTGCTCCGATGAGTCCTGTCTCTGTTCCCTCATAGTATCAATTCAAATACATAACACAGCTTCTCTCTTGGTTTTCATAAAACATGCCACAAACTCTTTGGAAATGTAGTCGAGTTTATTCAAGGTTTGTGAAGGATAGAGACTGAGGAAAGAATTTGCATTTTCAAAGTACCAAAAAGCTTAATTTCAGTATTAGATATCTGTATTCTAAAAACGCTCACCAACCACCCGTCTCTGGAGTATTTGCACAGACACTTTCCTTCCATGCAGTTTCTAACATCACACCATCATGCCATACTGGCTACTTTCTCTTCTCTTCCTCTTCCCACTTCTCATACCCTCCATCCAGTACTGCATGGAGAAATCCAAATTCTTTGCCTCATGTTAGGCAGATGTGTTTGTCTCTCTCAGCCTTGATTCTCAAGCCTGCATATCCAAACCCATACAGCTACACAGACGTGAAAAATGAATTTCTAAGTAGAAATAGACGGGATTCATCTTTTTAGAGGAGACTTGTAGGTACAAAGAATTATTTTTCTTTCACTGTTATACTTGCATCAACTGTTTGTTGTGAGTTCTTTTATTCATTCAACAAATACAGCTGTCCTCTCATTCTCTGTATCCACTGATTTCGCATCTTTGGATACAATTAACCACAAATTGAAAATATTTTAAAACCCCAACAAAATAGCAATTACAACATAAAAATTATACAGATAATAAATGATAGAGTACAATAACTATTTGAATAGCATTTACGTTGTGTTAGACATCATACGTAATCTAGAGATGATTAAAGTATACAGGAGAATGTGTGCAGGTTATTTGCAAATACTATACCATTTCATATAAGGGACTTGAGCATTCCTGGCTTTTGATATCCACAGGGATCCTAGAAACACTCTCCCATGGATAATGAGAGATGATTGTATTCTTTTAATGCCTATTATGTAGCAAATTTCAAGTTAGCACTTGTTCTGGGATAAATTTGTACCTGTTAATAGGAGACAGTATAAACATAGTAGAAGGAAGCCTTAGACACAGAGGAACTTGATTCTAGTTCTGATTGATTCATGCTTTCACTTTTTCTTTCCAAAAATGGTTGATGTAACCTACTCTGTTTCAGCAAGATATTAGATACAGGGAATGCTGAAATTATTTAGAGCCCCTACTCTCAAACATTGTAGAATAGAGTAGGAAAGACAGATGTATATGCTGGACCGTAAACTGAGCAATCTGACCTTTATACAAATCAAGGTTGAATGTGTCTTTTTTTTTCAGAGCCTGTGTTTACTTTTGACTAGCGAAGAGCTTTCAGAAAATTAATGTTTTCTCAAATGAAATCGATTGGCAGAAATCAGAGGGATAGAGGAAATTTATTCAATGCAGAGTTGACTTAAACTGCGGTGAATGTTTACTTTCTGGGGTCAAAAATGCATGTACCGGTTTCTTTTTTGTTAACATTTAATATTTCCTGTTATTAATAAGGAAATGTTGCACCTGAAGTAAATTAAATCAAGATGGAATGTATAATTTCTTTGAAAACAATAAAATTGTTATTGCAGATGTTATTAAACTATTAGTCAATGTAATTTTGTCAGGATTATGTACTATTGATTAGGAAATAACCTGATGAATCATTTGGAAGGATGCTTTTTATTTTTAGCTTTGACTAACAGGAGTGTTTGACAGAAGCAAGTTAAAATAGTGTGTTATACTGCTACAGCTATGTGAATTTACATTAAATGCTTTATTTCAGTATTTTAGTATTTGCTGTTAATAAAGAAAATTAGGAATCTGAACTCATTTTAGTTGGCCTTTGAACACTTTGAGTTTATGAGTTTGAAAACAACTTCAAATTAAAGATACATTGTGATTTCACTGGGGAACTTTGGGTCTTTAAAAATTCATCTGATGGAGCATGGTGCAGTTAGGCCAAGTTTGCAAAGACATATGAATCTGGATCATATGGACCAAAACATTTGCTTCTCAAGTAAAATCTAGCTAGTCCCTTTTTTCCATGTTACATATGTCTGAATTTAAATTCCCTATGTCTTCCATCTCGAAGATACCAGGTTGTTTTTTTTTTAGCTCTGAATTGTTTCCACCCATTATCTTTTTAAAGAATTCTTCGATTGTATTTCCCTTTTATTATAAAAGCACTGTTTTATAACTTTTACATACCAATCTGTCTCCAGTACCAATACTACCTCTTTTATGAACAACCTTTGTTTAGCTGTCTTATTCACATATGTACCTATGTGCCTTTGCATATTTTCAACTCTCAATAAATGCTTTTTGAATAGAATTCCCATAGCTAATTAAAAGTGTCAGCTGTTAAAATGGACTTCACACTTCTTTCTCTTGAGGTGAACAATGCACACTGGGGTCTGAGAAGGTGGTTTCTTAATCTCTTACTCTTAGCAGGATACCCACCTTTTCTTAAGTGCATTCTAAGTTTCTGGAGATATATAGGATTGCAGTCCAGAAGCTGTGCTGTAACTACCAATTCTCCTTAGATTTGAGTGAGGTTAACAGAGTAAAAACATGATGTTTTGTGAATGCGCCTTCTGTATATATGGCACCTTTCTTTATCTTCAGATAGGATCAGTGTTAGTAGATATGGGTTTTCTGTGAAGATAATTAAAAGCCATATAATTTCACAGGTATATATTTGGAGAGGTTTTAAAGACCACATGTCCAAATATATAAGCTTTTGTTTCCACAAAGTCTGGATCCACTCCTTGTGATTAGCCCCATTTTACAGTTGAGAGACATTAAAAGATTATGACTGATCCAGAATTCCAGAGCAATATATTGAGAAAAGTAGAAATAGTACCCTGATTGACGCTTCTTAGTTTCTAGGAGAGAGAAAATTACATGAACCCTTTACAAAAAGAAGACAGAAGATAAAATTCAGAATTTATATCAAATTATTTGGCTCTGAGTCAAATTTCATCTGCAAGAATATTATGTTCCAGGTGTTTGCCATTGGGACAATTTAATGTGTTTAATTAGAAAATATATTTTAAAATATTACTAGGTCGCTCAGCTGTCAAAATTATGTAAATAAAATGGTAAGTGAAAATAATTATAAAAATATTTAAATGTCCTTATATGGCTTTTTAGGAAATGTGCTTCATTTTCTTTCTACACAACCCAAATGTCCAACAGTGATAGACTGGATTAAGAAAATGTGGCACATATACACCATGGAATACTATGCAGCCATAAAAAATGATGAGTTCATGTCCTTTGTAGGGACATGGATAAAGTTGGAAACCATCATTCTCAGCAAACTATCACAAGGACAAAAAACCAAACACCGCATGTTCTCACTCATAGGTGGGAACTGAACAATGAGAACACGTGGACACAGGAAGGGGAATATCACACACTGGGGACTGTTGTGGGGTTGGGGAAGGGAGGAGGGATAGCATTGGGAGATATACCTAATGCTAAATGATGAGTTGATGGGTGCAGCACACCAACATGGCACATGTATACATATGTAACAAACCTGCATGTTGTGCACATGTACCCTAAAACTTAAAAGTATAATAATAATAAAAAAATACATTTTTCCTGGGTTCTTCGGGAATGTGATTGTTATAGTTACAAATGTATGCATATTTTTAAAGAAAATAAGGTTGAGTTTCAGCCTAGGCAAACTGCTGAACCCAAAAATCACTGTGAGAATTTTGATTAGTATTCTGTAGATGGTTTTCAGTCTATTTTTGATATTTTAGCTTAGACTTTTGAAGACAGTTGAGAAAGCATTTTTTAACAACGAGAAATTCATTATTCCTAAATTAAAAGATAAAGAGTGGAGAGTAGATGTATGGTTGACATTTTACAAATCAAATACTTTAGAGTTAATAATTTCTACCTGACACTCTATGTAACACAGCATTCAGTTGATGGTAATTTGTTATGTTTACTGATCACTATTAAGCTATTAAATGTTTTTAAAATTAATTATTTTATTATTTTCTGCCATGCTAATTGCTTAAAGAAGAAGAGCAGTGATTGGAGTGGTGAAATAAAACAAAATAAAACACAGACAGTTTATTGTCATAATATTTCTAAATTGGAAGTAAGTATAGCCGAATGCCTCTTATACAAGGAGTCAGAAGATCTGCAGTTGTTTTCACATTTAAAAACCTCAGCATCCTTGCACAAATCACGTTGCTTTTCTGACTTTTCAATTCTTCATCTATAAGAATAAATATATATTACTCTTACCTTATCTTCATAGCTTTTGTTAATATCAAATGAGTAATGGAAATGAATAACCTATACAATTGTAAATTAATAATGATGTGGTTGAAGACGATTCAAGGAAATTTTAACAGTCTGTGTAGTGATCCAAATTTGGCTATTCTAAACAATTTTCTAATATTTAAATTGTAAGCCATGCACATTTCATGATTTAAATATCAATCATATGTCCACTTACTCAGCTAATATTTATTTAGCACTTACTGTGGACCAGGCACCATGCAAAGCTTTAGGGGCTCCATGGCCCACCTACACCGCACATGATCATCTTCTAGTGGAAAGAGCTGGAGAGTAACATGTGTGACTCTCATATTATCTATTTTGCTAGAAAAGAGTATGAACATATATGTATACTTTTATATCTTATTGTAATATCCTCTAACTGAAAAATTTATCCAGTAGTTTCTTCTCTATTTTGTATACAGGTCTTTGGCCTCACATATGTAGGACATGGCCCCAGGAGTTTAATAATCACTCAACTGAGTATGTTAATTAGGAATTAAGTAATTGTATTAACAATTTTTTGATTGAAACTAGATTGAGAGCAAAAATTATATAACTATGTGAGATCACCAAACACCCAGAGAAGTCCTGGGAATAACAGTAGTTCAGTAAATGTGGAATTTGCATTTTAAAAAGGAAACTTGTCTGAGGCAGGCGGATCACCTAAGGTTGGGAGTTGGGGACCAGCCTGACCAACATGGGGAAACCCTGTCTCTACTAAAAATACAAAATTAGCGAGGCATGGTGGCGCATGCCTGTAATCCCAGGTACTCAGGAGGCTGTGGCAGGAGAATCGCTTCAATGCAGGAGGTGGAGGTTGCAGTGAGCCAAGATTGCACCATTGCACTCCAGCCTGGGCAACAAGAGCAAAACTCCGTCTCAAAAAAAATAAAATAAACTAAATAAAAAGGAAACTTGTTTATATAATGAAGTACTTAGACCCTGTTATTTTTGCCCTGATATATTTTACTTAAAGGAACTTTCTAAATATATACGTGTGTGTGTGTGTATATATATATATATGTATATTATATATATTGTATATATATGTATATTATATATATTGTATATATAATGTATATTATATATATTATATATATATGTATATTATATATATTGTATATATATGTATATTATATATATTGTATATATGTATATGTATATATGTATGTGTATATATATACACATATACACATATATGTGTATGTATATATATGTGTGTATATACGTATATATACATATATACAATTTTTGTATATATACATATATACACATATATATGTGTATGTGTATATATATACACATATATGTGTGTGTATATACACATATATATGTGTGTGTATATATATACACATATATATGTGCGTGTATATATATACACATATATATGTGTGTATATATATATATCTCCCTTTTCAACCATATTCCACTATCTCCAAACAGTATGTTTAATATAGTCACTTGTTCTATCGAGATCCCCACTGTTTTCTTGTTACAGCAATGTACATAACTCTATGTGATATGGAGCACAGAAATTTATAATGCTTGTTTTCAGTAAAAGTGGAGAAAGAAGCCATTTTAGGGTATACATAGCACTAATCACAATGCCTAAATAACTTCATAATAAATAACATATAAAGAAGAATGAAAAGGTAGAAGAAAAGAAGGAAGTGAGGGAGGAAGGGAGGGAAAGAGAGAAAGGCAAACTACAGTGGTGTGTACAGAGGTTCATTAAATGATAGAAAGGTAAACAGTGCTCCCTACTAAATCTTTTCATTCTAGTCTCCCAAAATATTAGTGTGGCATCAGCCAATTTCATGTCTAAAAAACTGTCTCAGTTTATTACTAATCACACCAAGAAGCAAGTGTGTTAATAATTTATAATCTATCATCGAGACAAGCTTTTACTGTTTCTAAATTATTTAAAATGATCTGTTTTCTTTGTCTGCCTGTTTATTTAATCAATTTAATTCTTATATATTGTTCTATTTAAAACTTCACTAGTTGACATTTAGTCATTTGCTGTCCCAAGTTTGAGTTGAAGGATGGAATTTTTAATGAGATCCTTTCAATCATTCAACAAATATTTTTATCACCTATACTTCTGGATACTTAGCATATAGCAGTGGAATAAAACGGAGGAAAAAAAAAACTATTATTGTCCTCATTGAAGTTATTTACTAGTAGGAGAAGTGATATGGTTTGGATCTGTGTCACTGTGCAAATCTCATGTCAAATTGTAATACCCAGTGTTGGAGGTGGGGCCCGGTGGGGGTGATTAAATAATGGGGGTGGATTTTGCCCTTGGTGCTGTTCTAGTGATAGTGAGTGAGTTCTTATGAGATCTGGTCATTTAAAAGTGTGTTGCAGCTTCCCCCTCGTCTCTCTTTCTCCTGCTCCAGTCACGCGAAGTGGCTCACTCCCTTTATGCCTTCTACCATGACTGGAAGCTTCTTGAGGCCTCCCCAGAATCAGAAGCCACAATGCTTCCTGTACAACCTGCAGAACCATGAGCCAATTAAACCTCTTTTCTTTATAAATGACCCAGTCTCAAGAATGTCTTTATAGCAGTGCAAGAATGGACTAATACAGGGAGATGTACCCAACGGATGAACGAGTGAAATATTTAAAATGTCAGAAGAAAATAAATACTATGCATACAGATGAACAAAGTAAGGAAGATAGCCTGTGACAATGGAGTGATTTTATTTTAAGTAGGGTGGCCAAAGGACGCTTATTTGATTTAATATTTGAGTAGTGACTTGACGAAAGTGACAAACTGACACATGCAAATATCTAAGGTAAAAGGTTACAGGTGGAGGACACAACAATGACTAAGGCTCCAAGGTGAAAATGTACTTGGAATATTGAGGTAAGTCAAGGAGTCCAGTCCAGCTGGAGCTCAGTAAGCAAAAAGGAAAAGGTAGGAGGTAAAGTCAGGAAGTCAGAAAAAAAATTATATATATATAGGTTATTATAAAGACATTGTCTTCTACTGAATGAAAGTGGAAGCCATTGAAGGGTTTGGAATATAGGAATGATAGAATCTGACAGGATCTGACTTTTGTTTTCAGAGACAAGGTCTCACTGTGTTTCCCAGGCTGGAATGAAGTGGTGTGATCATAGGTCACTGTAATCTTGAACTCCTGGGCTCAAGCCATTCTCCTGCCTTGGTATCCCAAAGCTCTGGGATTATAGGTATGAGTCACCATGCCTGGCCAGATCTTACTTTTTAATGTAATGATTCTGGGATTTCATTCAAGATAGACTAAAGGGTGGTAAAGACTGAAGTAAGGAGACTAGTGAAGAGGCTATAGCAAGACATGGTGGTGACTTACACCAGTATCATAACTGCAGAAGTAATGAGAAGAATTTCCTAACACTCATTCTTGTATATGAGACACACACAATGTCTCGAAGATGACTTAAAGAGTTTTGCCTTGAGGAAATGAAAAAATGTAGTTGCCATTTAATAAAATATGTAAAATTTCAGGAGGAATAATTTTCTGGCATTTTGGAATGGAAATCAGGAGTTGGTAGCAGTCATGCTAATGTTTGGATGTTTACAATTTCATAATGTAGTCTCTATTAACCTTACAAGTCCTGTGGTATTGAACATAAATTTCTATTATCCTTTAGAAGCTTCAAAGCACTAATATTTTATAACCATTAAATTTTTACTTGAAACATTTTGGATCAAATTTCTTATTGTTTTTGTTTTTCTACTTTTCACATAGAACTCAAAAAATGGACTTTTAACCTTGGTAGTAATCAGAGGGAGTCTTGAATTTGAAGTGATGCTAAACACCCACACTTCATTTGCATTTATTTACTGCCTTTATTTTTGCAATTTTTAATTTCATAAAGTGTCTCAGGACTTCCTATAAAGGTGTACGTATAAAAATAGTCTCATATAATCACACCTTGCAGAGATAACTATTGTTTTCATTCATATTCTTTCTTATCACTCCATAATCCATTCACAACTCACACTTGTGTATTTATTGTGAGAATGTTATATACCAGGAACTGTACTAAATGCTTTACACGGATTGGCTAGTTTAAGTCATACAACAGCCTTTTATCAGTCATGTTATTACTTGCAGATAATGAAAACAAACCACGTAGTTTACACATTAAAAAAAGTATTAAAGAATATCAACTTAAAGATTTCCCAGAAATTGCAAATCATGCTGAGGTGCTGTACAGATGGACAATGTCCAAGACTGCAGGACATATTTGGTCTGATAGAAAGGTCACAATTGCTTCTGCGATTCACAGACAATGCATGTGACACCACCAATTCTCCTAGCACTGGACACTGGATATTACCTCTGAAATGTTTGCATCTGCTTTCCATGGACACCTATACATGATAAATTTTCTTACAATAGAGTAAGTGTGTTCAAATTCTGGGAAACCAAAAATACTACTGGAATGGTCCACGTCTTAGACTGCCCAATACCAGTGTATTAATATGTACTCAGTAATAGAGACTCAGATAATAAAACCAACCCCTGATAAGCAGGCAAATAGGAAAGCAAGACTAATTTATTGTCTCTGCAAAAGAGGGTCATCCAAATAGTTATTATTTTTATGTTGAGCTGCAGCTCTCATCAGCAGGTGATTGTGATTCTTCTATAATTTCATTACAATTTACCTCAAGGGACTAAATTGGGAAGGTCACCACCATCAATGAACTCCTTTTTAAAAAATTACTAGGGAAAAGAGAGAGGAGAAACACACAAACACACACACACAATAGTTAGCATAGCCAATCATATACAAGACCCTGCACAGCATCCATGCTGGCAAGGGTGGTGGCAGTTACCTCCAGTATTCAAAAGCATCAAAAATACATAGTTATTAGGTTATTAAACAGAAATACCAAAATTTATGATAAGCACTGCCGAGGAGTGGGTTATATTTCTAGCTCTGAAATCTAGGATCCATCTCTTACGTGTTCTGTGTGCTGGGGAAAGTTGCTTAACCTCACTAGCCTTCAGTTTCTTCATCTCTAAAATAGAGACATCAATAATATACCTATCTGATAGAACTATTATTGTAATAATATGAAATAATGCATGTGTCTTCTATTCAAATGTAACTTGTTTGTGAATTAAATTACACTATGGGTACATCTGATTATCTGACTGGCCCTGAAGAGGACCATGTTTGGCTGCTCTTGCGAGTAAATCAGTAACTCAACAGTGGCAGTAGCCAAATGAGTGATAATGAGGTGAAGTTTCAACAGCAGAGGTTGCAATACTTTACGTGTTGTATATAACTCAGGATTCTTTCAGCAAAAGAATTGTTATGACTATAAAAACTAAGAAAACAAATTTAAAAATAGTTTTCTAGTGGAAAAATGCAAAGATATACTTTATATCTGTTTTGTTTTTGTAGCATATATAATAGAGAAGTAGTGTGGGAAAGGTCACACATTGATACAGCAGAAGCATTGGAATAATAATTATGTCTAGCAATTAGCAAACATCTATCATAGTTCAGATACTATACTAAGCACTTTACATATATAATTTCGTGTAATCAACATAGCAATTTTTGAAAATTGTGGAATTGAATATTAGAGAATATAAGTACCTTGCCCTAAAGTACACAATTTAAAATGGCCATCTAACTTCTATATTATCGTGGTAAATCAGGCACTTAATGATCAGATATGTAATATCTACTTTCTGCCATAGTGCATTCCTATAAACTGCAAGACAAAGCAAATAATTGTAAAATGAATGGTATTTTCACAAAGAAACAATGCCATTATTGAAAATTGTGTTCTTAACCAATAATATGACATTGAAGACATCATGTATATATAATCAAGAATATGTCATAAGAACAAAGAAACCGTGACCATAAAATGTGCTAAATCTGATAGATATTAATTAATTATGTATTTGATGAGTAATAATGCTGCTTCTCTTTTTTGAACTTAGGATCTTGAGGAATATTTTCAGTGGCTTTTATCTCTAAGAAAACTCTCAAGTGGGGAAAAAAAGCAACTTCAAAGCTTTCTTCTTTCTTGATAAATGTCCTTTACTTTTGTAGTCATTTAGAACTACTCCACTGACTATCTTTTTAAGTTGCTATGATAGCATCTAATATTGGGGAAAAAAAGAAAAAAAAAAGCTTTGAATGTAGTAATGTAGAAGACCTAATTTCTAGGTTCGTCTCTGCTGGAAATTACCTACAACGCCCAAGCAGTAGTGCTTCTTTTCTGTTCCTGACTTTCTCCATTTCTACGAAGACACTAGATTTGGTGAACTCTAAAGGCTCTTTCAGGGATAGAACTTTCTAGAAACTGGTATAGAGTACCCAGTCCTTGGATACTGATCTAAGTTGTTGGAGAGCAGACGTTTTCTCAGTCTGGTTCTGTTGACTATTGATTCTTATTTGTCTGTTCTTACCACAGGATCAAATCATGAAGGGAATCTCTTCCAGGTTATATGACTTGCTTTGGTCATAACTAGTGTTTACAGACACATAGTATGATATGTCATAGTAAAATAAGAAGGAATCTAGAAGTTTTGAATTCAAATCCTGTTTCTTCATTTACTGAGTGACCTTCAACTAAGTCACTTAACCTCCTTAAACCTAGAATTTCCCATTAATAAAACAGAGGGGATAGTTCTTTTCCTACAGGGTAATGATAAAAATTATGTAAATAATGTATGAAAACATCTTGTGTGTATCTATCTCCTTATGATAGTTATAGGCTGATGTAGAAAGTCAAACCCACGGGCATCTTGATAATTTGTTAGAAAGCCACTCCCTAATGGGACAATGTGCCTAGACAAAAGAGTTTGGAAGTAAGGTAGAGATGCTAATTAGCTGTCAACTGATTTTGAACTGATCAACATAACAAAGCTTAAATAGACTCTATTGCTATTATCAGTGCCTGTTAATTCACTCAGAGTATGTGAGCAAACTATAAACCTGCAAAGGATTACAGAGGATGCTTAGCGCAGTGAAGCCCTGTACTGAATGAACAAATAAGCCCCCAGGGAAGCTTTTAAAAATTACCAGTTTCTAGAGCCGGTCCCTGGACATTATGATTCAATAGATGAAGTGTGGTGGCTAGGAGTTTGCATGTTAAAGAATCTTCGTAGAATATCAATGAACAGCCAAGATTGAGAACACCTGAACTGATCAGATTCCTCATTTTACAAGTGAGGAGTATCTGGCAGAGGGAGGAAGATTGAGATCCCAAAGCAGGAACTTGAAAAAAAGTTCTCCTGATACTTAATCCTTTGTTCTTTCCATAATATCACATGGCAAAAGACAGATAGTAGAGTCAGTGGTATTTCCTGCAAGCCAGGACCATTGTATATGGTATCCTGGCTGTCTATGCTGAAGTCAGGTTTATGTTCTCATGCACATAATGTGAGCCATGGAGTGCTGGGGCCATTTGTCAGAGACAACCTTCTACAATGTCACATTACCAGGTTGTCAATAGTGTACACTCACCTGAGGTAGGCTGCCACATTAAAATGGGACACAATGACAGGGGAGAATCTAGATGTAAAATTGAAAGAGTCAGAAACTGCCCACAGTCAGAGGAAGAAATAAGAAGTGGAAGCCTGGAGGCATTTTCTGATATTGCCTTGGTGTTTGATTGTGATTCTGTTTCTAGGCATAGCAAAAGGAAACAAGACTGACTTGATGGTCAAGGTGATGTAAGTAGATCAGCTGGCTTCCCCAATTTTTTTGAAACCAAAAAAGTAGGCCCGGCACGGTGGCTCACGCCTGTAATCCCAGCACTTTGGGAGGCTGAGGCGGGCGGATCACAAGGTCAGTAGTTTGAGACCAGCCTGGTCAACATGATGAAGCCCCGTCTCTACTAAAAATGCAAAAAATTAGCTGGGCGTGGTGGCGTGCACCTGTAGTCCCAGCTACTCAGGAGGCTGAGGCAGAAGAATTGCTTGAACCCGGGAGGCGGAGGTTTCAGTGAACCAAGATCGAGCCACTGCTCTCCAGCCTGGGCAACAGAGCTAGACTTCGTCTCAAAAAAAAAAAAAAAAAAAAAAACCAAAAAAGTAATAGGTTTATATGTATAGTAACTAACATATTATAAAGTTCATTACCAGAAAGTTTATATCTTGGTCAAATATATTTACCTAAAAAGTGGAATATGAATATTAAGATACAGTATTAATAAAGTCATTAAAACTCATGATTTGAGAGAAACTAGATCTGTAGTTAGAGGCAACAACAGTTTATTGCATGGAAAAATCTTTCCAATTTTTAGTTCTGGTTAAAATCCTTCTGGGGTAGCGGCTTTTTGTTTCTAACTTTAAAAAGTTCCCATACACAATCAATTGTACTATTTTATTCATTTTGAAATGTTTGACAGTGGAAGGACTGGGAATTGAAAGACTTTGATTGCAATCCTGACTTGCCGTGGACCAATGTCATGACCTTGCAGAAGTTCCTTTTCCCTAGACTGGTCCCCATTGTACTCACTGGAAAGACATGATCTCAAAGGGCTCTTCAACTCTAAGAGTCAGTAAGAGCAAAGGTTTGGGCAGAGATGAAAATAAGATAGCAGGGTGCATCTGGGAGGTGGAGGATGGAATTGAATCTGATCCCAATGCATCTGTGGGGATCAGAGCTAAAATCAATAATGTATGCTGTTGTTTCTTTTTATCTTTTTTTCTTTTTTTTCTCCTAATGTCTTTCCCCATCTTTTCCTGCCTTTTTAATATTATGTCTCCTAACTCTAGCTTTAACTCCTGAATTATATTAGGATTTTGTTAAAGTTCATACATTTTAAGCAAAGAGATGTAGAAAATTGTTAAGGCTTAAAATGAATTTCAACACTCAGTAATTGCATATCCTCTGCTTCCTACTGGAAGAGAAAGAAACTTTTCGTGGACTGGAGGGCAGGAGAATGAGAAAAAATGTGTTTTCTTCAAATTTCTATGAAAATGTGACAGCATTCATAGGGAGACAAAAAAAATAAATTAGAAAACCTGATAATCCTTCTGGAGCAGTGCTTTTTCTTTCATGAAAGGCATTGTGAATCTTCACCCATAGAAACATTTTGAGCACAATTGAATGCATTTGTAATTTTTGAATCCTATATTTGAAAAACATTTGAAAGCCAAAGTACTAAAATCTAAAGAAAATGCTTTTCTATCGGCCTCCTATCATATTTTTATACTGTGATAGTTACATAACTTGAAACATGGTGTTTTTAATGTAGTATTCTCAAGCAATTGTTTAGGGAACAAAGACTCACCGTATGGTACACTGGAAAATACAGCAGAAATTTTGAAATCAGAACAAACTGGACTGCAATCTCCCTCCCACTTCATAGGTATAACAATTTTGGAAAATCACTAAGCTCCTAGTTTTCTTACTTGCTTCTCGTGAAGGTAGAGTGTAATATTTGTACAAGCTCTTTATGAACAATACAGGTTACAAGAGAAAGGGAATGTGTTGCCAGCCAATCAGCTCCTCAAATGTGCTTTCATTGGGTGGCAACATCTCTAATGTGAAATTGATATTATCTATATGTGATTACTAAGATCATGACGGAGGTGATTCTTTTGAAGTATCCTCAGTGCAGGGTTTGGCACAGACTAGTTACTCAATACATATATTCTAGCCTTTTCTTTTTTTGCTTACACAACGTTAACTTATGGGTATAATAGTTTAATTATCACATGATCACACTTGAGTTGTTATTCAGAATAATTTTGTCCTCAGCAAATAATCAGAACATTAATAGGCAATGCAGATAGAGAGTTTATGAGTGAATGACAGCAACTGGCCCAACTTCTTCAGCACTAGGTTTCTAATAATTCAAGCCTGCAGATTGTGCTGTATTTTTATTCATTTGCACTGCAAAGTTTTTTTTTTCTGTTAAATCCTTGTTATTTGGCCCTGCATCATTTCAGTAAAATAAACTTGGCTCCATCAAATTCATTAGGCAAGCTATGATGTGGGAAAAGTCAAAATTTATCTTCCCTGAAGCTACTTTCAGACAGTACCTTAAGCTGGGCATTTTAAAGTGGTGTCAGATAAACTTGGCAGCCGTTTCTTTCCACAGATATTCTTAGTTGAAGCTTTTGGTCTCTTCTTCACTCATGGGATGGTTCCTCTTGCCCTGGTTGCAGAATAGCGTTCGAGCAGTGAGGATTCTCAGCTTTTCTGTTTTACAGCCCTAGAGACTTGGCTGCTGCAGCTGGGTATCAAGCAATGATTTTCACATGCCTTTTTCATCACTTTTTTTCTAGGAGAAGATTGCTTTTGACATTCATTTTTAAGTTACATGTCGTTTTCCAAGAGTATATCTCTCACAAAAGCTTTAGAATGCCAGTAATAAATGTATTAGTAGCTAAGAAGCTCAGTCTGGCAACTACCTTGTCTGCTTTAAGTCAGTGTGAAATACTTCCAATAATTTAACTCTTCTTAAACAATCACTTGATGTAATATTTAAATCTAAACATTAAAATCTTCTGTGGTTTTTGATCTGTATTAGTTCAGTACTACATAGATTAAATATTTGATATCTGTACCTGAATTTGATCTATACTCAGCCAGCAGGAGAAATCGAAGGGAGCATTAGATACTCGTTTATTTATTTATTTTAATTTATTCTGAAAAATGATTAACTTACTTATTTGTCAGAATTGATTGTTTAAATGAATTGACTTGATTGTACTCATTTTTTGGTGTTCGGTTAGAATACCCTCAATTGACAGAGTCACTGGTCCAGCAGCTTACAAGTATAATCAAAATGGCTATCTTATGTAGAAAAGGCAGTAAAGGAATGATATTCACTGGGAGGCCCCTTGTGTAGGTCAGGAACTATGTTAATTATTACATCTTATTTCATTTAATTCTTGCAATGATCTTAAAAGGTAAATATTATCCTAATTTTCAAAGGAAGCATTGGAAGCAGAGAGTATGAGTAACTTCTGCAACACTCTAGAGTCAGGATTCATACTTAAGTCAGACTCCAGTCTACAGGAATGGGCCACAACACCAAGCTCCTCAATGACTTGTTTTGCTCTTGTCCTATCTTTTGTGCACTTACATCTTTATCACTATGTTCAAAACTAAAATACAATTTTAGTGCTTATTTTATCCAGTTTTATTTTTTCAGGTTAATACCAGCCACAGAGCAATTTAGATTCCCCATCTCCCTTTGAAAAATATACAATTCAATAACCATACATGTGCATGTGTCTTTATAATAGAATGATTTATATTCATTTGGGTATATACCCAGTAATGGGATTGCAGAGTCAAATGGTATTTCTGGGTCTAGATCCTTGAGGAATCGTCATACTGTTTTCCACAATGGTTGAACTAATTTACACTCCCACCAACAGTGTAAAAGTGTTCCTATTTCTCCATTGCCTCACCAGCATCTATTGTTTCCTGACTTTTGAATAATCACCATTCTGACTGGCATGAGATGGTATCTCATTGTGGTTTTGATTTGCATTCCTCTGATCATCAGTGATGATGAGCTTTTTTTCATATGTTTGTTGGCTGCATAAATGTGTTCTTCTGAGAAGTGTCTGTTCATATCCTTTATTCACTTTTTGATGGGTTTTTTTTTCTTGTAAATATGTTTAAGTTCCTTGTAAATTCTGGATATTAGACCTTTGTCAGATGGGTAGATTGCAAAAATGTTCTCCCATTCTGCAGGTTGCCTGTTCACTCCGATGACAGTTTATTTTGCTGAGCAGAAGCTCTTTAGTTTAATTAGATTCCATTTGTCAATTTTGGCTTTTGTTGCAATTGCTTTTGGCATTTTTGTCATGAAGTCTTTGCCCGCATCTATGTCCTGAATGGTATTGCCAAGCTTTTCTTCTAGGGTTTTTATGGTTTGGGGTTTTACATTGAAGTCTTTAATTTATCTTGAGTTAATTTTTGTATAAGGTGTAAGGAAGGGGTTTATTGCAGCACTATTTACAATAGCAAAGACATGGAACCAACCCAAATGCCCATCAGTGATAGATTGAATAAATAAAATGTGGTACATATACACCATGGAATACTATGCATCCATAAAAAGGAATGAGATCATGTTTTTCCTGGGATGTGGATGAAGTTGGAAGCCATCATCCTTAGCAAACTAACACAGAAACAGAAAACCAAACACTGCATGTTCTCACTCATAAATGGGAGTTGAACATTTAGAACATATGGACACAGAGAGGGGAACAACACACACCAGGACCTGTTGGAGTGTGGAGGGTGAGGGGAGGGAACTTAGAGGATGGATCAATAGGTGCAGCAACCATCATGGCACACATATATCTATATAACAAAACTGCATGTTCTGCATGCATATCCCATTTTTTTAGAAGAAATGAAGAAAAAATAAAATAAAAAGACTTTAACTCAGCTTCGTATCCTCAAAAAAGAGAAAAATATGCAATTCAAATTTCCCTATGTACAAACTAAATTCTTAAAAAAGTTAAAATTTTGTCTTAAATTACAAATTATAAATGTAAATCTTAAATTATAAATTCTTAAAAATACATGTCCCCCGTAGTGAGAAAGAGCTGCAGTTAAAACAGTGGTTAGCAATTCCCAGTCTAGTAGTCTAACAAATAGATACCTTGTACATTCAGTGTTTTATTTTGCTTTTCATTGTGTTAAATAATTTTTACTAATATTCACAGATTTCAAATGAGGACAATTTAAAAATATAATTAGCTCAGAGCAGAATTCCACAAAATTAGTCCTTCATGCTTGAACTGAGTGACCTGTTCATGTACTAACAAATATTTCAGTGTCCATCTCTGAAGGGCAAGATTTCAAGTCTCAAAGCTTCTCACATTGCATGTACTGAGAAACTATACTCCTATGTGATTGTCATAAAACTGAATCCTACCAATGAAGACGAAATGATAAGAAATTCATAAGTCCTCCTCAGAGACAGAAAGTACATTCCCACCCTTATCACCTCCCATAATTGTTAAGGATGACAATTATTATAGTTATATTTATTGAACTCATACTATGTGCCAGTAATTGTGCTAGGTGCTTTATATACACCCTACTGGCTGCCTTTTTAGGAGGTATTAGTAACCTTATATTCTTTGATTCAGTAATTTCAAATGCGGAGGCTTACAACATTTGTCATTCAAAAAAAATCACTCACTGACTCTAAAGTCCATGTTTTTGTCACCATGTTGTAGCTGCTCCATTTAAATAAAGGTGAAAGGAGTTGAGAGATGTGTCTGCTATGTACAGCATCTGAGATTAAAGAAAAGAAAACAACAGAACAACTAAGAAGTGTCCTTACATTTTTTTTATTCAGAATCAGAATCAATCAGTGATGGTTTGTAAACATCTACAGATATGTTTTGCTTCTTTTGTTATTACTTAGGGTGTTGAGAGTTACAGTTTATAGTATCATGTCTTTTTTTTTAAAGAAAAAAACAATTCTGTCTTTGGAAAAAAAAAATGGAAACCTACTTATAGTTTAAAAGGGTCATTTATATCAAAGCACATAGAGCCAGTTCCTGAGAATTTTCACTGATTTTGTGTATGACTTCCCAGAAAAGCCTTGTCCATTCCAATAGGTGACATAAGAAAAAGTGATATTCTGACATTTTCTATTTGCTATAGATACATGATTATTAAAATAAATTCATATTGTATTCAATTTTTAAATAATTTGGTAATGTCATTTAATGTCAGTTAGTTAAATCATATAAGCTTATTTGTAACTGTTCCTTATATTTTAGAAATGTTAATCCATTATTATTTGTTCTTTTTACTTTTGAGGGTTTTATTTAACTTTTAAGTTCAGGGGTACAAGTGCAGGTTTGTTACATAAGTAAACTTACGTCATGGGGGGTTATTGTGCAGATTATTTCATCACTCAAGTATGAAGCCTAGTACCCATTAGTTATTTTTCCTGATTCTCTCCCTCCTGCCACCTTCCACCCTCCGATAGGCCCGAGTGTGTGTTGTTCCTCCCTATGTGTCCATGTATTCTCATTTTTTCACTCCCACTTATAAATGAGAACATGCAGTATTTGGTTGTCTGTTCCTGCATTCGTTTGCTAAAGATAATGGCCCCTAACTCCATCCATGTTCCTGCAAAGGACATGATCTCATTCCTTTTATTGGCTGCATAGTATTCCATGGTCTATATGTACCACATTTTATTTATCCAGGCTATCATTGATAGGCATTTAGGTTGTTTCCATGTCTTTGCTCTTGTGAATAATGCTGCAATGAACGTACACATGCATGTGTCTTTTTAATAGAATAATTTATACTCCTTTGAGTATATGCCCAGAAATAGGATTGCTGGGATGAATGACATTTCCATCTTTAAGTCTTTGAAGAATCACCACACTGTCTTCCACAATGGTTGAACTAATTTACATTCCCACCAACAGTGTATAAGCATTCCCTTTTCTCTACAGTCTCACCAGCATCTGTTATTTTTTGAATTTTTAATAATAGCCATTCTGACTGGTTTGAGATGATGTCTCATGGTGGTTTTGATTTGCATCTCTCCAATGATCAGTGATGTTGAACTTCTTTTCATAGGATTGTGTGGGTCACATGTATGTCTTCTTTTGAGAAGTGTCTGTTCATGTCCATCACCCACTTTTTAATGAGGTGGGTTTTTTTTTCTTGTAAATTTATTAACTTTCTTATAGATTCAGGATATTAGACCTTTGCTAGACGAATAGTTTGCAGATATTTTCTCCCATTCTGTAGGTTGTCGGGTTACTCTATTGACAGTATCCTTGGCTGTGGAGAAGCTCTTAATTTTAATTAGATTCCATTTGTCAATTTTTGCTTTTGTTGCAATAGGTTTTGGCATCTTCCTCATGAAATCTTTGCCCATGCCTATATCCTGAATGATATTGCCTAAGTTGTCTTCCAGGGTTTTTTTTATAGTTTTGGGTTTTACATTTCAGTCTTTAATCCATCTTGAATTAATTTTTGTATAAGGTGTAAGAAAGGGGTCCAGTTTTAGTCTTCTGCATACACACAATCCTTTCCCCATTGCTTGTTTTTGTCAAGTTTGTCAAAGATCAGATAGCTGTGGGTGTGTGGTCTTATTTCTGGGTTCTCTATTCTGTTCCTTTGATCTATTTGCCTGTTTTTGTACAAGTATTGTGCTGTTTTGGTTACTGTAGCTCTGTAGTGTTGTTTGAAGTTGGGTAGTGTGATGCCTCCAGCTTTGTTTTTTTTGTGTGTGTGTATGTGTGTGTGTGTGTGTGTGTGTGTGTGTGTGTTTTGCTTAGGACTTCTTTGGCTATTCAGGCTCCTTTTCAGTTCCATATGAAATTTAAAATAGTTTTCTCCAGTTCTGTGAAGAATATGAATGGCTGTTTAACAAGAATGTCATTAAATCTATAAATTGCTTTGGATGGTATGGTCATTTTAATGATATTGATTCCTCCTATCTATGAGCATGGAATATTTTTCCATTTGTTCGTGTCATTTATGATTTATTTGAGCAGTGTTTTGTAGTTCTCCTTTTAGAGATCTTTCACCTCCTTAGTTAGCTGTATTCCTAGGTATTTTATTCTTTTTGTGGCAGTTGTCAATGTGAGTTCATACCTGACTTGGCTTTCAGCTTGACTGTTGTTAGTATACAGGAATGCTCATGGTTTTTGCACATTGATTTGTGCATACTGAGACTTTGCTGAAGTTGTTTATCAGCTTAAGAAGTGGTTGAGCTGAGACTACAGCATTTTCTACAGATAGTATCATGTCATTTACAAACAGTAAGAGTTTGACTTTCTCTCTTTCTATTTAGATGCCTTTTATTTCTTTCTCTTGCCTAATTGCCCTGGCCAGAACTTCCAATACTATGTTGAATAGGAGTGGTGAGAAAGGGCATCCTTGTCTTTTGCTGGTTTTCAAGGGGAACGATTTCAGCTTTTGCCAATTCAGTATGATGTTGGCTATGGGTTTGCCATATATGGCTCTTATTATTTTGTGGTATGTTCTTTCAATAACTAGTTTATTGAGACTTTTTAACATGAATAGATGTTGAATTTTTTCAAAAGCCTTTTCTGCATCTATTGAGCTAATCTTGTGGTTTTTGTCTTTAGTTCTGTTCATGTGATGAATCACATGTATTGATTTTCATATGATGAACCAACCTTGCATCCTGGCGATAAAGCCTACTTGATCGTGGTGGATAAGCTTTTCTGATGTGCTGCTGGATTCTACTTGCCAGTATTTTGCTGAGGATTTTGCATTCATGTTCATCAAAGATATGGGCCTGAAGTTTTCTTTTTTGTTGTATCTCTGGCAGGTTTTGGAATCATGATGTTGCTGGTCTCATACAATGAGTTAGGGAGGAGTTTCTTCTCAAATTTTTGGAATTGTCTCAGCAGAAATGGCTCCAGCTCTTCTTGGTACAGCTGGTAAAGTTCAGATTTCAATTCCTCTGATCCTGGGCTTTTTTGGGTTGGTAGACTACTTATTACTGTCTCAATTTCAGAACTTGTTATTGATCTGTTCAGAGATTCAATTTCTTCCTGGTTCAATCTTGAAAGGGTGTTATTTGTCCAGGAATTTATCCATTTCTTCCAGTTTTTTTTTTTTTTTTAGTTTATAAGTATAGAGGTGTTCATAATATCCTCTGGTGGTTGTTTGTATTTCCGTGAGGTCAGTGGTAATATCCCTTTTGTCATTTCTGATTGTATTTGAACCTTCTTTTTTTTTCTTTATTTGTCTAGCTAGTTATCTATCTATTTCATTAATTTTTTTTTTCAAAAAACAAGCTCCTGGATTCACTGATGTTTTGAATAGTTTTTTGCATCTCTATCTCCTTCAGTTCAGCTCTGATTTTGGTTACTTTTTTGTCTTCTGCTAGCTTTGGGTTTTGTTTGCTCTTGCTTCTCTAGTTCTTTTAGTTGTGATGTTAGGTTGTTTGAGATCCTTTTACATTTTGATGTGGACATTTAATGCTATAAATTTCCCTGTTAACACCGCCTTAGCTGTGTCCCAGAGATTCTGGTATTTTTTTTTCTTTGTTCTGATTGATAAATTACAAAGAACTTCTTGATTTCTGCCTTAATTTCATTATTTCCCCCAAAGTCATTCAGGAGTAGGTTGTTCAATTTCCATGTAATTGTGTGGTTTTGAGTGAATTTCTTAGTCTTGATTTCTAATTTGATTGTGCTGTGGTCTGAGAGAGTAGTTGTTATGATTTTAGTTCTTTTGCATTTGCTAAGGAATGTTTTGCTTCTGATTATGTGATTGGTATTAGAGTAAGTGCCATGTGGTGATGAGAAGAATGAATGTGATATGGTTTGGCTGTGTCCCCATCCAAATCTCATCTTGAATTGTAGTTCCCATAATCTCCATGTGTCATGGGAGGGACCTAGTAGGAGGTAATTGAATCATTGGGGTGGTTACCCCCATGCTGCTCTTCTTGTGATAGTGAGTAAGTTCTCACGAGATCTCATGGTTTTATAAGGGGCTTTTCCTCCTTTTGCTCAATGCTTCTCCTTGCTGCAATGTGAAGAAGGACATGTTTGCTTCCATTTCCATCATGATTGTAAGTTTCCTGAGGCCTCCTCAGCCATGCTGAACTGTGAGTCAATTAAACCTCTTTCCTTTTTGAATTACCCAGTTTCAGGTAATTCTTTATAGCAGCATGAAACCAGACTAATAAAAAATGTTATGTTGTTTCTTGGTGGGGCGTTCCATAGATAAATATCAAGTCCATTTGATACAGGGCTGAGTACAGATTCTGAATATATTTTGTTAATTTTCTGCCTCGATGATGTGTCTAGTATTGTCAGTGGGGTGTTAAAATCTCTCACTATTATTGTGTGGAAGTCTAAGTCTCTTTGAAGGTCTCTATGAATCTGAGTGCTTCTATGTTGGGTGCATATATATTTAGGATACTTAGATCTTCATGTTGAATTGAAACCTTTACCATTGTGTAATGCCCTTCTTTGTCTTTTTTTATCTTTATTGGTTTTATGTCTGTTTTGTTAGAAACTAGGCTAGCAACTTCTGTTTTTTTTTTCTGTTTTTCCTGTCCTTGGAAAGACTGGAATTTTCCTCCATTTTTTATTTTGAACCTATGTGTGTCTTAGCATGTGAGATGGGTCTCTTGAAGACAGCATGGCAATGGATCTTGGTTCTTTATCTAGTTTGTCATTCTGTGTCTTTTAATTGGGTCATTTAGCCCATTTACATTTAGTATTATTGTTGTCATTTGTGGATTAGATCCTGTCATCATGATGTTAGCTGGTTATTTTGCAGACTTGTTTATGTGGTTGCTTCATAGTGTCACTTGTCTGTGTACTTCAGTGTGCTTTTGTAGTGGCTGGTAATGGTCTTTCCTTTCATATTTAGTGATTTCTTCAGGAGCTCTTGTAAGGCAGTTCTGGTGGTAACAAATTTCTTCAGCATTTGCTTGCCTGAAAAGGATCTTATTTCTCCTTTGATTACGAAACTTAGTTTGGCCAGATATAAAATTCTGGGTTGGAGATTCTTTCTTTAAGAGCATTGAATTTTAGCGCCCGATTCCTTCTGGTTTATAGAGCTTCAGCTTAGAGGTCCGCTGTTAGTCTGATGTACTTCCCTTTGTAGATGACATGGCCTTTCTGTCTGGCTGCCTTTAACATTTTTTCTTTCATTTTGACCTTGGAGAACCATGTGGTTATGTGTCTTGGTGATGATCTTTTCATAGAGTATCTTACTGGGGTTCTCTGCATTGCCTGAATTTGAATGCTGTCCCCTCTAGCTAGGTTGGGGGAAGGTTTCATGGATGATATTCTGAAATATGTTTTCTAAGTTGGTTCCATTCTCCCCATCTATTTCAGGTACACCAGTCATATATTCAATTTCATTACATAATCTCATATTTCTCAGAGGTTTTGTTCATTCATTTTCACTATTTTTTCTTTATTCTTGTGTGTCTGTCTTATTTCAGAAAGGAAGTCTTGAGCTCTGAGATTCATTCTTTTGCTTTGTCTATTCTGCTATTACTACTTGTGGTTGCACTGTGAAATTCTTGTAGTGTGTTTTTCAGCCCTATCCAGTCAATTACATTCTTCTCTATACTGGCTATTTTGTCTGTTGGCTTCTGCAATGTTTCTTTTTTTATTATTTGAATGAATATTTATTTAAAGTTTCCAAAATATTACCAAGACACTGTGCTAAGCTGAAGGTGGAATATGCAATATAAAAGCAGACATAGTCCCTGTCCTCAGGGAGCTTACCATCTCATTGGGGAAACAATCAGTAGACAAATAAAGAAAAATAAAATTAGTGTCTTAATAGATAGCAAAGTCAATTCTTTAGGAAGAAATCATATTCTTCTTTAACTTTCTTTGTAATGAGATATTTATTTAGTTATTTATTTAAATTCCAATAGTTTTGAAGGAACAGGTGGTGTTTCAGAAAGGTAGTGTTTAAGTTCTGAGTTTCTTTCCTCCACTTTGTCTTTTCTGCTATTACTACTTGTGATTGCATTATGAAATTCTTGTAGTGTGTTTTTCAGCTCTATCAATCAGGTCAGTTACATTTTTCTCTATCCTGACTATTTTGTCTATCAGCTCCAGTAATATTTTATCATGATTTTTGTCTTCCTTGCATTGGGTTACAATGTACTGCTTTAACTCAGTAACCTTCATTCCTCTCCACATTCTGAATTCTACTTCTGTCATTTCAGCCATCTCAGCCTCAGCATGTTGTAAACACATTCTTTAATCCATTATCCCATGTAACTGTAATATTTGTTTATGGTTGTTAGTGTTTGTTCATGAGTTTTGCAATTTGCATTGCTTAAATTCTTTCTATGCAGTCAAAACTAGGTATCTCTTTCTGTATTAAATTTGACTTAGGTATTAGGCTTAAAATCCATTTCCCATCCATTTAAAAATAAAACCATTCATGAATATATTCTCCTTGTACTTTAATGGTTTAACATTTAAATTAAATTTAATAACTTTTCATCAGATTATAAAAATTGATATGTAATCATTGTGAAAAATTCAAACAACACAGAAAATTGTAATAAAGAAAGTAAAAGGAGCCAAAAATAGTAGCATTAAAAATTTTTGATATGTTGAAAATGTCTTTTCAGATGTATCCTTAGTCATATATACACCATGTCTGAGGATGCAGGTGTGTGTGTTGTTCTAAATGCTCTATGCACACTGCTATTGACACTCCAAAATATGTCGTGGTGCCTTTTTATGTCAATTAATACAAATATTTTTCATTACCACCAACGGTTACATGGTGCACCATTTTATGGACTTGTTACAATACATTTCATTAACCATCTGTTTCCAGTTTTTTATTATTTAGACAGTTATTTGATAAGATCATTTGTTTGCATATGTGTGTGCATGTATACCTCACCCAATTGTCAGGTTAATCCATTTTTATATATTTCTAGACTTTGAATTTTTGACCTAAAAAGATTGCAATTTAAAATGGTTTTACGTATATTTCTAAAAGATTGCTATAAATATTGAGAAATGTTTACTTCTAACATCTGCTTAATCTTTACAAATTTGATACTTAAAAACTTATACATCTCATTAAAAATATATCTGAATGTCAGAGAAGTTAGCACACATACACCCAAGTATAACATTTTATTAAATCCTCAATTTAATTTTCCAAGCATAAGAAGTTTTTACCTGAAGTGAAATGGCAACACAAGGTAAGAACAGATGTAGCATGTTTTGATGTATTTTTTCTTTTGGCGCCATGCAGTTGCAGTTATACTTTCTGGACAAATTTGCATCTTGCTTGATTTGTGAAGTTCCGCACTTTCTTTCCCGCTACTCTTTTATACTCAGAGCTAGTAATTTTATTGTGAAAGAACAGAGCAAAGCAGTGTATCCTAGACCATTTCAGGGCATGTGTGCATGGTTTTAAAACTAAAATTAGTATCAGAAAAGCTACATTCTCATTCAGGTGGTGGTAAGGGAGGGATTGAATAATTTGAATGTGTCAATAGAGGATCCTGATATCATTAAACAGTATCTGCCTCTATCTTTCCGGTATTTCTAGATAAAAATAAACAAAGAGAGTATTCCATGAAAAAAAAACAACAAAGATATGAGAAAAATCATGAAACAGTAGAGAGAATATTGGTATCTACGAAAGTTGTCATCCCAACAAATATGGTTGTACACAACCAAATGCTATGGCTCTATGAACTTCATTGCTGCAGTGGTATAAAATATAAGCCAAGAAGCTTTAAGAAATGAGGATTAGAAAAGCTTATGCTCTATTTTAAAAGATTTGACTTTATTCAACATGTAACGGGAAACCATTAGATAATTTTAACCCATGAAGTAATACATGCATGTTTGAATTTCAGAAAACTCCGATATTTTTGTGGAGACTGGATTAGAGAAGTACTCACATAAAGAAAAAGTAGAGAGTGAAGAGTCTGTTGAAATAACACTGGCAAAAATTAATGTTTGAATGAAGAAAATAAACTTTTAAGAGGCAAAATTGGTAGGACTTTGTAAAAGATGTTATAAATAAAGAAGGGAAAAAGTGTCAAAGATTACTGGTTCATATGCTGAATAGGAAACATCGGATTTAATGCAAGTTTTACTTTTATCAAGAATATATTATAAAATGGTAAGTTCAAGAGTATTGAAGATGTGTACAAACGGTGATTATTATCATTCAAAGTCAAATTTAAGATAGACAAGGAGGAAAGAAAACATATCAAATACATGATAGTCAAAAGATAAAAATATTTATGGTCCTGGTGGGAGCAAAGGATGTTGGAATTGTAGTTCTAGAGGAACTGAGCCAGAAAGATAGGAAATGGCGATCAGAGGGTGGGTTACTTGCCATTGAGATTACCTAGCATTTGCAGTTATTGGTAGTTATTTTCAGATATGAGTGGGAGTGAGTGGCTGAAGTGGGATGGAAGGCATAATCATTGGAAGAGAGAAAGTTCAGGAACTGAGAACCCCTGGTGTTGAGATAATTTTCCATATGAATGTTAAAATCGCTGAGGATCAAGACAGGAATAGGGACTACAGAGCGCAGAGTTGCACAGAACATAGTTCTGAATTAGCGAAAATTCTAATGGTATTAAAAACTTTAAGAGGTAATCATGGTATTGTTTCTTAGAGATTCCCAGTGTGATCATACAACCTATATCATCACTTTTAAAAATATTCCCAGTCCATAGCCTATAATAAGGGCAAGTTTACACATGCACCATATAATGATATCAATCCCTCATCACAAACGAATGGAATACAGATGGACACCTGACCATTATATTCTCATCAGACCACTCAAATACTCTTCACTAGAAACTTTAATTGGGGTCCAGTGACTGGGTCAGTCATTAGTAGGAAATTTAGTTCAAGAGTCATGTAGAGTCATGGGCTGAGGCTCCAATTCTGGGGTATCTCTGATTAGTCATGTGTGTTTGCTGAGAGTTAAGGAGAAAAGGCTTTTCTGAGAGAGAAGCAGGAGAATGGAGCAGCAAACAGACATAAACACACACATACACACACACAGAAAAATTGTCTTGATTCTAAATTCTCATGAGGTCATGTTACATTTCCTATCACTAAATTCTGTAAATTCTCATGTATCCTTACCATACTTCTAATATTTAGCTATGCTATTTTGATGGGATTCCTCCTCCATGCAATCAGATTTGCTTTATGAGAGCAGCTATAATTTACTCATTCATTCAATAAGCATTAAATGAGCACTTACTAAGGGCCTGGACTGTTGGAAGCACTATGGAAGATAAAAACACGAGCAAAATATGGTTTCTGTCAGTCAGAAAATTAATAGTGGAGAAAACAAATATAAAATATAATTAAAACACAATGTAATGAGTGCTAAACTAGAGATGAGCGGTAAATATTATGATCTCATTAGGCAAAAATACAATATGTTAGCTAATCTGAAAGATCTGGTAGAGTCAGAAAAAGCCGGTAGAGTCAGGTCAAATGAGACAAAATTTAAAAGTGTCTTGAGCAATAAGCACATATTTGCAAAGTGAAGATGTTTGAATGTCTAGATGGAGAAGTGAAGGTAACTTAGAACAAGAGCTTTGAATAATTCCAAGATTCAAGGGTGTGTTAGTCTGTTTTGCCTTGGCCATAAAGACTATTACTGGAGACTGGGCAATTTATAAAGAGAAAAGTTTTTTTTGGCTCAAGATTCTGCAGGCTGTAGGAGCGTGACACCAGCATCTACTTCTGGTGAAGCCTCAGGAAACTTATAACCGTGAAGAAAGGCAAAGGGAGAGTAGGCATGTCACATGATGAAAAAAGAGCAAGAGAGAGATGGGGGAGGTCTCAGACTCTTTTTAACAAGTATATCTCACATTCACTCATTACTTCAGGAGGGCGCCAAGCCATTTGCCAGGGATCTTCCCCCATGGCATGACCCAAATTCCTCCCATTAGTCCCCACCTCAGACATTTCAAGATGGGATTTGGAGGGGACAAACGTCCAAACTATATTAGAGGGTTAGGTAGATTGGATAAGTTAGCAAAGGAAATGTGAAAGAAAAGGCAAAGGGAAGAAACTAGGGGACTGTGATGTCATACAAACTCAGGGCAAAGAGTATTTCAAGGAGGTAGATGTCAATTACATTGGACATTACTGTGACATTAAGAAATACAATTTTTGAAGGTTTACATTACATTGGTGATACTGGTTTCCTTAGCTGGAGGAAGTAAACTTAGTTGGAGAAGTTTCAGTACAGCAGTGAGAGCAAAATCTGGTTGAAACACCTTAGTAGTATGTGGGAAGTAAGGGATTGGAGAGAGTTAATATGGACAATTAATTTTTTAAAATGGCTTTGAAGGTCAACAGAGCAGTAGCCGAAGAGAGAAGTAAAATCACAGGATAATTTTTTTAAAGATGTAAATATTTGAGTGCATTAAAATGGAGCTAAAGATTCTATCATATGTCAGTGGGTAGAGAAAGAATAATTAAATGATCTTGTGACAATTAGTAAAAGGTTATAGAAATAGTAATGAAATGATGTTGTGACAATTAGCAAAAGGTTATGCACAGAGATGTTAAGCTTGGCTTTATTTACAACAGCCCAGAAAGAAATGAGCCTTAATGTCACAAAATGTCCCAAAATAAATGACGAAAATCTTGAAGATTTTTCATAGGATTTGGGTAGGTTATTATGAAGAATTTAAAAATAATATTTCACAGTAACATTAATGAGAAAAATTATAGTGGCCAAAAATTAATCAAGTGAAAAATAAAAAGTACAGTGTAATATATAAAGCATATTAACTATGATTCTTATTTTGCCATTCACATACGCACAAACACTGGACAAAGACTGGAATAAAAGAAAAGAAATTGTTAAGCAGCTATCTGGGTAGTAAGATTACTGGTGATTTTACTTTAAAAAAACTCAACTTTTAACTTTCAATAATAAGCATGTATTATTTTTATAATCAGAAAGAAACAAGTATTGTTCTATACTAGATGAGTTAAGCATGTTACATATTTCTCTAGTAGACAAAAATCCTATGCTTCTAAGAATGAGACTTATTTTCCCATCAATTTATTATATCATTATCATCACCACCATCTCTCTTCTTAAAATTTATCTCCTACCTCACCCAGACTGCATAATCCAAATATTTAAAAACTCTGAACATGAACTACTAGGCTTTTCAAAATGTATGTGTAGTGTGTGCGTGCACGTTCACATTTAAATGATGGCAAAAATGTGTTTCAGGGTCTTTTTTTAACTCAAACAATTTCACACCTACTTTAATTTTTCAATCCTGCATTCAGAAGCTAATATATTTAGAATAAATTCTAATGAAGCCATGGAAACTATTTAATGTTATGTCAATTATTGGTGATTGTGTGGGCAACAATGCAGCCTGTGTGGCTGATTGGAAATTATTTCTCTTTTATAAAAAAGAAATCTTGAAGGGTTCCAACTTGCTACGATTAACGATACAAGTAAGCTTAATTTATAACTCCAATAAGAGCAAAGAAAGATATTTTTTCAATGTGGACTGGAAAAACTGTGAAAATCATGATACCAAGATGTTACCTTCCCATTGTATTCTTAAAGATTTCAGTTTCTTATTTTTGAAATAATTTGAGGTGAAAATACCCAGTATTAACATTGAAAGTAGTAAGCTTTTCTGAAGTGTCTTATTGTTTGCAAGTCTTTAACTGAACTTAGAGCCTCAATGTGAACACTATCAGGGTCACGTGTTGTCCCTAGCACCATCTGGTCACACAGAGAAGTCCTTTAGAACTACTGTAGCCTTGGGATTGGAAACACATGCTGTGTTCTACCTGAAAGTGTTAGCTTTCATTGTGAATTACCCATACATATCTCTGAAATCCAAGATGGTTATTTATGGTGGGTGACTCTGAAATGAACCAGATCAGCAATCTAATATGACAGCGTATCTCCCAATGAAGATGATGACAGCCCAGGATTTTCTGGATTTATTTAGTATAGAAATGAGACAGAGAGAGAGAGAAAGAGAGAGAACTCAGGATGGTCTTTCACAAAATAGATTAAGAACAAACTATTTACTTGATTGTGCTGTTTGAGTCAATCATTGAATAGAAAGATCAGAAAATTTAAATTTAAAAATCAGCACATTCATAACACATAAACCAAATGAGTTAGGGAAACTGAAAAGCCCACCTACTTAACTTCTCCCTAATATTCTTTAAGAGCATGAACATTTTCGCATTTCAAAGAAAAACAAAGAAACGAAACTAGCAAAAGACAATATAAAATTAGTACTTGAAACCATTACAACAGAATAACAAGTCTAATAAAGATGGCACAACAAGTGTCCAGTTTAACTAACCACTTGTGTCCCAAGCATATGGAAATGACTGATAAACTATCAGAAGGAAAGACAAACAAAAACATAGCAAATTCAAAAGCAATATAATTTCTCTCTGAACCAAAAGGACAACAGAGAAACACAGTGTTAAAGTGGGCTGAAGGTGCAGCTGCGCTAGGCTGTTTGTAAGCGGACAAATGGAACAAGGACTTGTGCTCCTGTGTAGTATTAGGAACTTAGCATCCTCTATAAAGACAGGTTACCAAAGCAAAGTTCTTTGCTAGAAATCAGACCCTGAATTATCACTTCCCATCTTCTTTAGCTGGGAAAATGTTTGGGACCATGAAATTTTAAAGAACTCAGGAACTAGGAAATTGAAAATATAAAGATAGGATCTATGACCAGAAATCTTTGTTATCCATTTGATGGCCCTGTGATTTTCTCTTGTTTATGATTAATAAATGGCATCGTAAGAAAAACTAGAGTCTGCATGGCACTTAAGGGGTTTGGTGGATAAAATTATACAAACAAGCAACGGGAGTTTATTCAAGATAAATTTTCTGTTTGTGTGTGTGTGTGTGTGTGTGTGACAGAAAGAGAGAGAGGAAGAAAATGAGAAAGAAAAAATTCTCCCTTTAAAGATAAGCCTGTACATGAGAATTCTAAAACATAATGAGAAATTTCATGCTAAGAACTTAGGCAAACAAAATAATCAGTATTACGAATATATATTTATTACAAATTAAATCAATTTAAAGAAACAATATGTAAAGACTATGAAACTGATACGTTTAAACAAAGGAAAATTACAAATCAATATCCACAATGTCATTTTCTGCCATTTATCTACAAAGACCAATAATACTATTTTGAAGAACAAAGTATGGGGACTTGTCCTATTATATATCAACATTTATCCAAAAATGGCAATTAAGACAGAGTGGTCTTGTTGAAATGATTACAAACGGACAAGTAGAACAGACATCCTAGAAACTGGTATATTTATGTGTGAAAACTGAAAATATGAAATAGATGGCAATTCAAATATGAGGGGGAAAGTATAAATGATACCGGAAAATTGGTTATTCGTGTAAAAAAATAAAATTAGATTGTGCATCACAGCAGATCAAAACTAAATCCAGGTGGATAAAAGAACTGGATGTGAAAATCAAAATTGCAACACTTTTAGAATACTATATAGAAAACTGGCTCAATGACTACAAGATGGGAAAGTATGCATTACAAATGATGAAACAATGACAGTATGAAGAAAATAATTCTATCACTGGCTTAGGTTGTAATAAAAAATATTTGGTAACATTACCATAAACGAAGTGGAATGAAAAGTGGAATCTTGGGGAAATTTTATTTGAAAAAATGAATAGCTTAAAAAAGATTAATATATAGAATTGGTAAATAGCTACGAATAAAAATAATGGTTAGTTTATGGATAGTATACCCATAAAATGGGAAACTCTGCAGCTGTTAAATAATAAAGCAGATCTATATTTTTTGATAAGGAAATATATCTATGAAATGTTATTAATGAAATCAAGCAAGATTTAGAACAGTGTGTATAGTATGCTACCTTTGAATATGTGTATTTGAAAAGCACATACATTTTCTGTACTCAGTAGGTTACAAGATGCAACAGGAACGAAACTATTCTTAGGAAAGGAATTTGGCTAAAAAATAAAAGGTAAGACAATACCAGGGGCTAGAAATGGGGTACTTCATACACTGCCAATGTAAACTTAAATTGACATAAACAGGGAGCAATTTCATAGTTTCTAATTAAGTTGAATATGTGCATGTTGTTTGATCCATTAGTTTCACTCTAAGGCATACACCTGGAACAGTGGTTCTCAGAGTGAGCTGGGGACCCTTGGGGAGGTCCTTGAGATGCTTGTAGATGGTCAGGAAAGGACAAGTTAGATTTATATTATTACTAAGATATTATTTGCCTTTTTCACCATATTGACTTGTGTACTAATGGAGTAAAATCAATGACTAAAACTGATAGCACATTAACATGAATCAAGATGGAGTAACAAAACATACTAGTAAACATCTTATTTTTCATGATCACATATTCACAGTGGAAAATAAAAGACAAGAAGAAAAAAGCAAGTTTTATTTAACAATATCTTTAACGAAACAAAAAAATTAGTAACTGCACTAAATCTTAAACCTTGAGAATGTATCTTTAAAAAATATTATTGGTGACAAAATGGGAGGTACACACAAAGTACTTCTACTTTATACCAAAGTAGATAATGTCTTAAGGAAATGCACTTCTGTGATTGAGTTCCAAATTGAACTAGCTGCTTTTATTCATGGACTGCCATTTTAATTGAAAAGATAAATGACAAACCATTGTTTTCTACTTACTAGTTTTTCCTTCTATTTTTAGTTGACATATAATACTTGGATATATTTTTGGGATACTGAGTGGCACTTTGATACATGTATACAATGTGTAATGATCAAATCAGGGTAATTAACATTTTCATCACTTCAAACATTTGTAATTTCTTTGTGGTGGGACATTTAAAATCCTCTTTTCTAGCTTTTTGAAAATACACAATAAATTACTGTTAACCATATTGACACTACAGTGCTATAGAGCACTAGAAATTATTCCTCCTATCTAGCTGCAATTTTGTATCCCTTAACCAACCTCTCTTTTATTCCTCCTCCTCATTACCCTCCCAGTCCCTAATAACTACTATTTTATTATCTATTTTTATGAGCTCAGAGCTGTTTTTCAACTCCGACATGTGAGTGAAAACATGTGCTATTTGTCTTTCTGTGTCTGTCTCATTTCATTTAGCACAATGTCCTCCAGGCTTAACCCATGTGGTTGCAAATAACAGGATTTCATTCATTTTTATGCCCAAATAGTATTTCATTATGTATACATACTGGATTTTCTTTATGCATTAACCTGCTGATGGATATTGCATATCTTGGCTATTGTAAATAGTGCTTCAATACACATGGGGGTGTGGGTATCCCTTTGATATATGGATTTTTTAAAAATGTATACCCAATAGTGGAATTGCTGGATCATGTGGTAGTTTTATTTTTAGTTTTTTGAGAAACGTCCATACTGTTTTCAATAATGACTTAATAATTTACATTCCCACCAACAGTATACGAGGGTTATCTTTTTTCCACATATTCACCAGCCTTTGTGGTTTTTTTGTCTTTTTGATGATAGTAATTTTAACTGGGACGAGATGATATCTCATTGTGGTATTAATTTACGTTCACTAATGATTAGTGCTGCTGTACATTTTTTCATATACCTTTGGCCACTTGTATTTTTTTGAAAAATATCTATTCAGACTCTTTGCCTATTTTGTAATGAGAATTTTGTTTTATTTTGTTCCATAATGTTGTGTTTTGTTTTTTGTTTGTTTGTTTGTTTTGCTTTTGAGTTGAGTTCCTTGTATACTCTGGATATCAGTTCCTTGCTGGATATATAGTTTGTAAATATAGTCCCTCATTCTTCAGATTGTCTCTTTACTCTGTTGATTGTTTCTTTTGCTGTGCAGAAGCTTTTTAGCTTAATGTAGCCTCATTTGTCTATTTTTGTTTGTGTTGCCCAAGCTTTTGAAGTCTTTCCTATAGCATCTTTGCCTACAATAATGTCGTGGAGCTTTCCCTCTATGTTTTCTTCTAGTAGTTTTACAGTTTCAGGTCTTACATTAAAGTATTTTATGTATTTTGAGTTGATTTGTGTTCATTCTTCTGCATATGAGTATCCAGTTTTCCCATCATCGTTGGTTGAGTAAGTTGTTCTTTTTCTAATATATAATCTTGAAGCCTCCTCCAAAAGTTAGTTGGCTTCAAATACATGGATTTATTTCTGGGTTCTCTGTTTTATTCAATTGGTCTATGTTTTCTGTTTCAATACGAATTTCATGGTGTTTTGTCTACTATAGCTTTGTCAAACTATTGTTATTTAGACAAGCTTTTGGCAGACATTTTCTGAGAAATGAAGGGAGTGTACCACTTCAAGGAAAACAAATGAGAGTGTTTGTTGCCAATGATCTTACTTGAAAATTCAAGCAAAAATGGGAATTTTTCAAAAATTTTTATCTACCATGCAATCTTGACCGTTTCCTAATACTTAAAGACTTTTCTGATGAGTTTGGCAATGAAATCCATAAATATAACTTTTTATATTGTATAAATGAAAAGATCTGCGTTTGGAAGGTCTACATACTTTAGGGAACCACCGTTTTCTAAATCACCAATTCAAGATGTTACAAATTAGTCATCAGTAAAAATCCAAAGCACAAGAAAAACAAATGGAGTTTAACGTAAATAAGTATACAACTTTTCATTGATTTGGTTTCAGATTCTACATTGCAAATAACCTTTAAGAAACTACCACCTATTGAGTTTTGGTGTAATATCAAAGAATATCCATAATTACCCAAAAAGGTTATTAAGACACTGCTGTCTTTTCTTACCTCATTTCTGCCTGGGGCTGGATTTTACTGATATACTGCAAAGAAGATGTTTCACTCCAGATTGGATTAGGAAAATTCAGATGGCATTTTTTTTTTTTTTTTTGGTCAGAAATCAAAGATATTTTCCAAAATATAAAATGATGTCACATTTCTCACTACATGTCTTATTTTATAATTATAATTATTTTTCCTAAGTGTCATTTATTTTAATATGTAATTGGTTTATTATTATATTTAAATTAGTTAAAACATAAATATATTAACACTTTTTAGTTTTAATTCTTAAAACTAAATACTGATACATATAACCCACATAAACAAAAGAAAGGCTCTTTGAGGTCCACAATAATTTTTAAGAGTGTAAACTGGTCCTGAGACCAAAACATTTTAGAACTGCTGCTCTAGAGAAAATATTTTCAATTGTTGTAAAATATACGTAACACAAAATTTACCATCTTATTTCAAGTTTATAGTTCGGTAGTGTTCAGTATATTCACATTGTTGTATAACCTACATAAATTCATAAACAGGAACACAAAAAAATGAAAAAGATATTCAATGAAGCATCATTTATAACATCGTTTATAATTGTATTTAGATTGTTTATGTGGGAAGCAATGTATCTATCAAGAGAAAAAAGTTAATTTTATATTAATATCTATAAATTCTATTGTGTGTTTATACAATGCAATTATATTTTTCCATTGAAATGAACAAATTAAATCTACATATATCAACATCGAGAAATTTCAAAATTATAATGCCATGCAAGAAAGCAAGCTACTGAATAAAGTGTATAGGTGAATATAATTTATCAAAATATGTAATGTATGTAAAGCTTGAAAATATGCAAACAGTGTTGAATATTGATTATTGACACATACACAGGAAGTAGTAATATATAGATGTGTGTAGGAATGATTTATACTTATTCAGAAAAATGATTACTTCTGGAAGGGCATGGAGGGAGATGAATTCAGGCAGGGCCACACTGGGGCTTTAACTGTATCTATAATATCTTTTCCAAAAAAGAAAAGTAGAAAATAACTGAATATAATTAACCAATGTTAATTAACCAAAATTAACCACTCTGTCACCCAGGCTGGAGTGCAGTGGTGCAATCATGGCTCACTGCAGCCTCAACCTCTCGAGTTCAACCAATCCTCCCACCTCAGCCTACTGAGCACCTGAGACCACTGGCACCCGCCAGCACGGCGGTTTTTTAATTTTTATTTTTTTGTAGAGACAGGATCTCTCAATGTTGCCCAGGCTGGTCTGGAACTCCTGGCCTCAAGAAATCCTCCTGCCTTGGCCTCCTAAAGTGCTAGAATTATAGGCATGAACCACTGTGCCCAGCTAGAATTTTCCAAAGATGGAAAGCTGGGTAGTAGTAAAAATATGTTCTCCATGTATCCAAAATACTATTCTATATATCCCCAGTGAGAGAGATTGACAGCAAATAAAAGTATCCTCCTTTCCTTCATTCAGTTGACAAATATTCCTTGAGCACAGGGGATACAATTGTGAGCTAAAATGCATTTCCTGATCTCAAGGGGCTGACATTCCAACAGAACAACCTATATAGACCCAGGCATTGTTCTTATGTTAATGTATTTAAAGATGATCTTTATTTTGAGAGGAATGGGAAGTAGTTTTAAATGGTTTTGAATTTCATCAGACTCTTTTGATCACTGGGCTGAATTGTCGCCCTGGGACTGAGTCCCTACCTTTTCCTTATCACACAATTAAATAAAAAGGTAGAGACATTAATTCATCAGATATTTATTGAGTGCTTGCTATGTTCCGCACGCTGTTCTATGTAAATATAGATACAGCAGTGAACAAGACAAAGTTCCTCTCTTAATGGAGCTTGTAATCAAGTTTGACATCATATAAAATTCAACTATGCATTTATTTATTCAATAAATATTTATTGAATAATCATTATGTGCCAGATACTGTTTTAGAAACTGAGAATCTAAGAGTGAACAAGACAGACTAAGTTTTTTTTTTCTTTTCTTTAGGATATTTCCCTCAAGGGGAGACATACAATAAAAAGACACCAAAAAATAGATACTTGGTAAACAAGTATACAAGGTAACATATAGTCGTAAGTATTATGAAGATAACAGAACAGGGTGATGGTTGTGAGATTGATGGGTAAGAGTTGAGAAACCCTTTCTAATGAGATATTTTCACAGCAATAGGAAATGCATGAGCAAATGAGCCGTGGATTTCTGGCAGAGAAGAGGAAATGCAAATGCTTCTAGGAGGAGCATGCTTAGTGCATTTGAGGAGCAGCATGGAAGCCAGTGTGACTGTCACTGAGTAACCAAGCAGAGCGCTTGGAGCTCAGATCAGTGTGGTAGGAAAGAGCTAGATCATGGAGGAGACTGTCTCAAAGAAGAATATCTCTGTAAATGTCTGTGACACAGTTGTATGCTATAAATATTGCAATGAACTTTCTTCATTTAGCCATTCAAAGGCCCTTGCCCCTGACCTTTTGGTCACATTGAGTGGTTAATGGGGTTATAATCCCAGAAAGTGAAAGTAGAATGGGGTAAAAAATTCCTCTTTGGTTGGGCTTTCACTCTTAGACACTGTTACAGTAAATGAGAGAGAGCCAGGACACAAGAGGTGCACTCAGCTCCATAGGCCAGGTCACCACACAACCTGGAAGAGAGTTCAACCCTGATATTTGTTTATAATCACCTAGTTGCACAAAATGTAAACCTGTCCATGACCATTAGCTCCTCCCTGTGCCTCAAATAATGGGGTTAAAAGAATGGACTCAGAACTAGAGTGTCTATACTATTAGTGAGAGGAGGGGCCAGCTGGACTTCCTGGGTCAAGTAGGGGCTCAGAAAGCTGTGAAACTCACTCATTTCCTGCATCAGGGCTTCCTTCGGTCCTGGATGGATAATATTGAAGATATATGCTTAAAATATTCCTAACACCAGGATTTGTGCATGTGTTTTCTTCCCCAAGAAAGCTATAAACACTGAAAATTTTGCTCTAAGTTTCCCTGTGTCCTTTCTCCCTCTCTCCCTTCCCCCTCCTCCGAGACTAAAGTAAAAGGAATATTAACTGCCCGTTTTTCTGTGACCAGCAGACCTTATCTATGCTCCCAATTCCAATTCCTTGTAAACATACTTTGTAAAGTCCTGTGAGATCTTGTCTTTTTTGCCATGCCACTGAAAGGTCATAAAATAGATGAAACCTAAGTTGCAATTCCGGTTTTCCTCAAGATCTAAAACATGTCACAAGTGGTTAATTGTCTGTGTTTCTCGCTCTGGTAACATCTTCCCACTGCACGTATTTCCTGCCTTAAAGAGTTTAAAAGGCAATCGTATAATCTAACTCTGGCTACCCGTTCGGGACCCCTTCCACACTGTGGAAGCTTTGTTGTGTCACTCTGCTCAATAAAGCCTACAGCTTTTTCTCTCTCTCGGTCCTTGTCTCCATCACTCGCCGCGGTCCGCCACCACACCAATTCTTTGGCGTGGCTAGGCAAGAACCTTAAGCGTTACATTAGGTTGGTGCAAAAGTAATTGTGGTTTTTTCCTGTTAAAGGTAATGGATTAATAGGATTCTGAATTCATCTTTCTGAGCTGTGTGGCATTAGACAAATGGCTTCATTTCTCTACAGCTCATTCTCCTTACTGATAAAATGGGGCTAATAATCAAATGTTTGCCATAGGGCTGCTGTGAGAGTTAAATGTAATAATTCATGTAAAATCTTAGACTCATACATGCCCCATAGTGTTTTAAAATACTGGCCATCATCATCGTTATTGATATTATTATATTTTAATGACAATTATTGTGTGCTTTTTTTTTTTTTGTGGAGATGGAGTTTTTCTCTTGTTGCCCAGGCTAGAGTGCAATGGCACAATCTCGGCTCACCGCAAACTCCGCCTCCTGGGTTCAAATTATTCGCCTGCGTCAGCCTCCCCGGTAGCTGGGATTTCAGGCGTGTGCCACCACACCCTGCTAATTTTGTATTTTTAGTAGAGACGGGGTTTCTCCATGTTGGTCAGGCTGGTCTCGAACTCCCGACCTCAGGTGATCCACCCGCCTTAGCCTCCCAAAGTGCTGGGATTACATGTGTGAGCCACCGCACCCGGTGGCAATTATTGTTAACCCAATATCCATTAGATTAATTCATCTTTCATGTGATGTATGAATTTCCTAAATCTGCTTGTTGGGTATCTGCCCTCAACTTTATTCAATTCCTGACATTCCAGCTAATGTGGTCTTTTTAAAGCTTTATGATAATGTACATGCTCTTGCTTAAAAGCCATGTTTTCACAGGGAGTGGTGGCTTATGCCTGTAATCCCAGAACTTTGAGAGGCCAAGGTGGGCAGATTGCCTGAGTCCAGGAGTTCAAGACCAGCCTGGAAAATATGGCGAAACCTCTTCTCTACTAAAAACACAAAACATTAGCTGGATGTGGTGGCATGTGCCTGTAATCTCAGCTACTCAGGAGGCTGAGGTGGGAGAATCACCTGAGCCCAGTAGGTCTAGACTGTAGTAAGCAGAGACTGCACCACTGCACTTTTAGCCTGGGCAACCAGAGTGAGACTGTCTGAAAAAAAAAAAGAAAATAAAAAAAGCAATGTCTCCACTGCCCTTATGATATAAAGATCAACTTCTTAACATGACTTTCAATGTGTGTCATGATCTGTTCGTGGTTTTCTAATTTCACTTCTCATCACTATTTTCCTTGGATGGTTAGTGTCAGCCTCTCTTAACTGTGTTCAATATTCTAGGTGCATGATGCTCATCTGTCTTGGCCTAGAGAAGTTGTTCTTAAACTATGATCTATGGACCAGCCACATCACTATCAGCACCACCAAGGAACTCATAAGAAATGCAAATTATTAGGCTCCACCCCCAACCTATTGAATCAGAAATTATGGGGGCGGGTTCTGGTATATGTTCTTTACGAAAACCAGCAGATGATTCTGTTGCACAATCAAGTTTGAGAACTGCTGGCCTAGATATCTTTTTCCAAGGTCCTCAAGATTTTGCTTGAAGAACGTACAAGAAATTTTCAAGATTTATCGTAGATCTTACCTCTTACTCTCTAAGAAAGCTCCTTGCATTCACCTTCCATTTTATTTGTTCATCTTTCCCTTTAGACTATGATGGTTTGGAAAGCATAGAAGTGTCTTCATAAAATTTGCATACCCAAAATATAGCATAGTACCTTAATGTATCATATGTGGTTCAATAAATTATGTAGCAATAAGTGAAAGAATAAATAAATAAATGAACAGATAGTATGAGAAAATATTATCTTAACAGTGGGCACTATTAGGGAGAGAACCATGTTTAGGAAAATGTTTTCACATGCCACTTATGGGTCAAAAGTGACATCCTGAAGGCATGAATTACAAGGGAATGGAAAAAACAGTTAAATTGCTCTGCATAAGAGGTGAACAAGAATATCTGAAGTTGGATAAATAAAGGATGAGATAACCAAAAGAGAGAGGTTAGCAAATATGACAGAAAGATGAAGAATTTTAGAGAAAAGTTTTGAGTGAGAAAAGTCCAGTGAGGCTTTGAAGAATAGATACATAGAATGTTCATGTCTGGGTTTGTGATATTGCAATAAGAGATGTCCTCTGTTGGTCATCAAGTATACATTAAAGTATAATGAGGCTGTATTCAACATAGCTTGTGTGGCCATGTTGCGGAGATTACTGTGGCACACCATACAAGAAACTATGTGCTGCCCTACAGTAACCTCTCTGTGATGTCTCTAGAGATAACCTAATTGTCAGGAAGAAGGCAGTGGTCCAGAAGTCCCAGGCAGTGGAGCCGAGGAAGGTGCAAGAAGCTGCTTCCACCTGAAAATAATTCAATCATAGATATATCTTTTTTCTTGTTATTCTTGTCATTGTTGCTGCTGCATCTCTCAAATATACTAGATGGGGGCCATCTTAGTAGGTGGAGGACAGGTAATATCAGTGTTACATATTTGATAACTTTAAATTATATTCACAAATTCTCTGATAGGCTTCCTTTCAAGAAGTGAAGCTGAACTCATTTTCAGTATGAGCTAGACTTAGTGACTTGCTTCCAGCAATGAGAATATGGTGGAAGTGATGAGATGTCACTTCCAGTGGGTACAGAAGGACTGTGACTTCCTTCTTGCTGTTCTCCAGCACCCCCTCACAATCAACTCTCTTCCTTTGCCCTCTATCCAGTATCCAGTGAGGAACTGAGGCCACATAAGTGGGCTTGGAAATGAGTCCCTTAACCCCAGTGATGCCTTCAGATGATTGAAGCACTGACCAGCAGCTTGACTTGCAAGATCATGAGAGACTCTGAGCTGTAACCACTCAGCTAAGTAGCTTTTGGATTTCTGACCCATAGAAACAGTGATGTAGCAAGCATTTGTTTTTTAAGCTTCAAAGATGTAAATAATGTGTTACACAGCAATAGATAACGGATACCCATATGGTTATCCTATCTTATGAGGAATAAACTGAAATCTCAAGAGGTCAATGGGTTTGTCCCATGAACAAAAAGCTATAAATTCTTAGAGCTGCCATTCAAACCCTAGCCTTGTAACTCCTAATTCATTAGTCCTACCATTATATCAGACTGCCATCAGTCATGTGTAACTTATTTATTATATTCCCAAACCTAGAATATAATTCTAAGGGCATTATTAAATCTTAATCAGAAATATCAAAATATGAAGGTCCATGGTTTAATCATTGTCTTTGTATATCCTAACCAAGAACATGCGTACCAACTCCAAAACTGCAAAAACTAATTATTAGAACAAGAAAGTAGCAAGGGACTTTCGAGATATCTGTAATAAAGTTTCACTATGTAGACAGAGAGAACCCCTGAGAGAGGAAATTACTGGAAAATGCCACAGCTTGAGTAAGAGATGGAACAAAGACTCACCTCAACTGTACAAAGAAAACGTTTTTGAAATTTAGTTTTAATGTAGTTAGTTCCTTGAGGACAGAGACTTACAAGTTGATGTGCTCAAAGCTTGGCACAATGGCTGGAACAGAATGTCAAGACACTCTTTTGAGACAGAGTCTCGCCCTGTACCCTGGCTGGAGTGCAATGGTGCGATCTTGGCTCACTGAAACCTCCGCCTCCAAGCGAGTCTCCTGCTTCAGCCTCCCAAGTAGCTGGGATTACAGATGTGTGCCACCACACCTGGCTAACTTTTGTATCTTTAGTAGAGATGGGGTTTCACCATGTTGGCCAGGCTGGTCTCAAACTCCTGACTTTGTGATCCGCCCGCCTCAGCCTCCCAAAGTTCTGGGATTACAGGCACGAGCCACCGCACCAGGCCCAAAACACTCTTATCTAGCCTCTTGCTAGATTAATAATGCACTCTATTACTTCTGTAAAATATAGTGATGAATGCTCTAAGGCATACTGAAAACTCACAGCTAATTGCCTACCCACTTGTATACATCTGCTTCCACCTGTTGAGTTGTATGCTCACCAACAGCCTTTATGTTCATTTCCAAATCACTTTATGCCAAATGTACAAATTATTATAATAACTTGATTTGATTGAAAATTATAGAAACTAATTAAATATAAGTTTAAAATGAGAAGTATTCTTTTTATGAAACCTCAAACTATTGGAAAAGATTTGATAAAGGAAATTTGTTAATTAAAAAATTTTTACTATTTTTAATTTTTTTTATACAATTAGATATGGGAGAGAGTTTAGAAAAAATAAAACAAAAATCTAGAAGCATTCTGCTTAAGGGGTGTCCTCAAGTTTCTGCTACATTTCATAGAAGGTGAAACTTAATATTAGAGATGATGCCTTATCATGTGGTTTACAATGATAAGCTTAGTCAAAGGACCCACACACATTTAAAAGGCCATGAGAAAGAAAAATGAGGCCAACACAGAGAAACATAAATGTTTGTTTATATTATGTAAAATACATACGTTATCTAAGATAAGTATATGTAATTTGTAAATGATTTTCAGCTTCAGCCAATGTTTTCAATTAATCAACTAAGTATTGGTCACAATTAGATAATAAGGCTTCTGCTGTAATGTATATGAAGTGTGTAATAAATGAATTAATGCCAACTCTGATGAAGTAGATAAAACAAGGCACCCTACAGATGTAAGGCATTTTTCAGTTTATTTGGAAACTTGTCAATACTCATCTAATTTACACCGAAATTTCAACCTTGTTTTTCATCGTTGTGTAATTAGAAGACATCTGAACAAAAATAAAGAACTTCCAAGTCTTTGTTTGTTTCATGTTGCACTTATCTCCCTCCTTGGCAGGGTAGGTTTCTTTCTTTGGGTGTTTTGTGAAATTTATCCCTTGGCAGCTCTAGTTGATTGGCTTACATACTGGGTGAGAGTTTGTAAGCAGAGTAGTGTTTCCAGTGCCATCTACAATGTGATGGTGGTTTCTGACAAGAGTTTCCAGTGCTGCTAAGCAACCATTACTGATGGCTAAAAATAGGGAACAACTATCATATTTATGGGACTCTGAAAGCTTAAGGAGCTTTTACAAGCCAATTGCTTTGGTACATAATTACTATAAGATTCAGCTTTTGAAACGGATTAAAATATATTGTGTGTGAATCTGCAATAATTTTCTACAGCCAAAACTGTTCCTCAGATTAAAGGCTTTGTTTGCATTGATTTCTTTTCTATTTAAAAATATTAATCGTACTTCATCTGGGTAGACATTTTCTTCCCGTGTCCTTATTTCCCTGAATTAAAGAGATGCAATAATATATAAACAATACAAATATGGAGGGTAGATTTGAAACTTCCTTCTGAAGGAACTGTTGATTTCTTCACACTTGTGTCTTTATATATTACCATTTTATCATGAATCCGTTTACCTCTGCATTATTTCATATTTGCATTCATTAACATTAATTACTTATAGTTACCATTTTTTATCTCTTTATCAACCATCCCTCTTTTCATCTGTGCATTTATTTATTGACCTAGCTGCCCTGCAAGCGTCCATCTTCATCAACTCTTTATCTATTTGTCTAGTATCATATAATGTCTTCTCTTTATTTTGAAGTTGTACTTAAAACCATTGCAAAACTTGCATCACTATCCCTTTCTGACTCCTTACATATAAAAAAATGACTTGTAGCACCTAACACGCCCCACAAATAACACATCTAATTTCAAGCTCCATGAGGGCAGAGGACATATATCTCTTTGTGCTCACATTGTGTCTCCAATCCTAGTACAGTGAGTGACTGGCCTTTAATAGTTGCCCAATACATATTCATTAAATGAATGCATAAATATCTCCCATGTGTTTATATCCTTATCCATTTCTCACTCTTTTTGACCATCGCTCCATCAGTTTCTTTCTCATCATCATCCTTTTATTACCTACTTTCACTTCTACAAGCCTGTCTGTCAGGTTTTTCACTCATCATCCCAACTATTCATCTATCCATTTCTATACCTAAAGCTCCCTATCTGTATCTAAGCAGCTATCTAACATTTTGTTAATATATTACAAGATATTTTTATTTGTTCATAATTGCATCTATGCCTCTTTCATCTCCTTGTCATTCATTAATCCATCATTCTCCACCATGCTTTTAACCTAAGTTATATTGCGTATCGTTTTAATATCGAATGATAAGGTCTGCACAGTTTCCAGTGAAAGGTCCAAAGGAAGGATGACAGAGAGTTTGCACCTTTCTCCATTTATTTTATACGAATTCAATTATACAAATTCAGCAAATAAAAATAAAAAAGAAGAGAAAAAAACAGCAACTTAAGTAGTGCCTGTCACTTCATTTAATGAATGTAGCCAATAAATGAAACATGATATATCGATTCCTAAAGTCCTCCTAATGAGATTACAAAGTTTAAGAACACGTATTCATACAAAACGCCCTTGCAACACAAGCCGACTATTTTTTTGTGTAGCTCACCCAGAAAAACAGCAATTTGTTCCAAATTTTTAGTTAAAAATAGCTATGTCGGTTCTGCTAACCAACAGTAGTATGCTTAAGACCACACTCCTATCTCTACACATTCAAAGTCACAGCCACCTAACTGCATATAGTAGAATATTTTTAGCCATTTCAAATATTTTAGCTATTTCAAATGGCTTTTTCTTTTTTATAAGCCACAATTGATTTTACCATCTCAAATTTTTCTGAGCTAACAATCATTTTAATCATTTTATCTAGTCTCTCAGTTTCTTTCATAATGCAGAATCTTCCATTCTGGATCCCCTGTCCTCACACTGTCAGCTGGACTGTTCTGTAGGACTCTTAAATGGCTGCAATGCTGAAATTTCCCTTATTGCTTTATTGGATTCTATGTCTTCATCTTCCTGGCTTTGCATTTTTCCTAGAGGATATTCTCAAAAAACATCTTGAAATACATGAAATGAGCGAAATGAACATGTTCAAGACCTTCCTGCTTGAAACTTTTTTTTTTTTTTTTTTTTTTTTTTGTTTGAGACGGAGTCTCGCTCTGTCGTCTGTCGCCCAGGCTGGAGTGCAGTGGCGCGATCTCGGCTCACTGCAAGCTCCGCCTCCTGGGTTCACGCCATTCTCCTGCCTCAGCCTCCCGAGTAGCTGGGACTACAGGCGCCCCGCCACAATGCCCGGCTAATTTTCTGTATTTTTAGTAGAGACAGGGTTTCACCATGTTAGCCAGGATGGTCTCGATCTCCTGACCTCGTGATCCACCCCCCCACAGCCTCCCAAAGTGCTGGGATTACAGGCATGAGCCACCGCGCCCGGCCGAAAAGTTCTTTATTTTCACCTTTACATTTGATAGTTTAGGGAGCAAAAACTTTCTCACATCCGTGCATTTTCTTCTCAAAGTTTGAAGCATTTCTTCATTGGTTTCTCGCATTCAGCATAATTGATGAAAAGTTTGATGTCAGAACTACACATTCTTTTGTACGTAACTGACTGCTTATCAACAACTCCAGTCCTAGCTCCCAGGAACACTTTGTTTTTGTATTTTCTTTGCTGTTATAAAATTTTACAATTATATAGAAAAGAAAGGTTATCAATTTTCATTTATTGTTCTGGGTATTTTGATATGAAAAGTTGTGTCCTCTTTGGGAAAGTCTCTTCTATTATTTACTGAATATGTTTTACTCATAGATTCTGTATTCTCCCTTTATAGAATGCCCAATAATCATATATTAAAACTACGAAACAAAGACTAATTTTATATTTTTCCACATTTTTAATCTTTTTTATGAGATTTATTTAAATTTAATTTCAAGTTTTTATATTAAAAATTTTGTTGGTGATTTTAAATTTCAAAGACATTTTTCTTTTTCCATAGTTGTGTGTTTCTTCCTCCTTTTTTTTTTTGGATTCACTCTCTGGAAACTTACTATAGTTTTTTTATTCTTTTAATTTTGTTTCTTTCGTCTGGACTGATTTGCTTTTTGTTTTTTCTTATTTTCTTTCTGTACATGTTTTTCTTAGATGTGTGGTGATATTTCTTTGTTCATATTTTAGAATGAAGCAGCAAAAACCTACTAGAGACTGTTGTTTACATGGTTGGAGATTTCAAATGATGGGTTTTAGTTTATCATAAAAAAGAGTAGAAGCTTGAATGTATGTTCTGGAACTACTAAATTGCAGAACACCCATTAATTTGCTATGAGCCGAAAATATCCAAACAATAACCTCTGTTTTCTTTAACTAATTTTATTTCTCTAGTGAATAATTTTAATTTTTTTTCAAGCAGTTAAATACATTACTACTAGGATTGTTCCACTTCTGGTGTTACAAGGTGAGAATCTTCTTAGACCTGTGACCCAGTGAAATTGTTGAAAATTATACATATATTTTATATATATGTTGTATTTATTATATATGTACGTGTGTGTGCACGCACGTGCGTGTGTGTCTACATTTAAGTCTCAGGAAATGGTACTAAATGTATATAGCAAATTAAGAAACCTTTATTCCAAAAATCTATTAAAATTCTTCAAGAACAGTGAGAGTCTGTGGTTATTGAACCAAGAACCATTCTCTTTTTCCTCTGTCAGAGCTCAGTGAGCCAGAAACTCCATTCCAGACTGATGCAGCCAAAAATGGAGGAATTCTTCTGCCTCCAGCTTTTAGTCACGGGACTACCCTCCCAGGAAGCATGGGCAGGATGTTGACATTCCTCATCCAGTCCCCAGCTACCTGTTGCTAAATTCTGGGTGAGTGAAACTAAGAAATAGGAGCTTCCTTTTTCTTCCCAGCTCACGCTTGTGAGACTAAGGCTCTACCTTGGGTGAAACACTGCCAAGAATATTGCGTCACTGATTAGCCTTTTCCTCTCTTGCAGGATGGCAACTTCATGCTGGGAGAGGCAAGCAGAAGATCTGAGTCTTCTCCTGGAACTGAGCACCCAGTCTTAAACTGGGAGTGTCGCTCAGGGATAAGTGTGACGTTGTCCCCATTTTCAACTCCAAAGCCATGGCTCAAGGATTTTTCTTGGGAAGAGGAGGCTATAAACAGAGTGCTCCAAATATCGTCCCAAAGAAATTGATTTAATTTGCAACAGAGTGTGGAAAAGTTCAAATCTAAAAGTGTTACTGTGGACTGAATTTAGTCCCACCCAAATTTACAAGATGAAGCTCTAACCCCCAACGTGATGGCACTTGGAGATGGAGCCTTTGAGAGATACTTAGGTTTAGACAAGGTCACTGGGGGGGGGCTCTCATTATGAGATTTATAAGAAGAGACACAGGAGCTTATCTGCTTTCTCTCTCTCTCTCTCTTTCTGCCAGCCACATGAAGACACAGCAAAAAAGCAATCATCTCCAAGCCAGAAAGAGAACCTTTCCAGAAACGTATCATGCTGGCCTCTTGACATTATATATAACAGAAATGTATTGCACAGTTTTGGTGACTGGGAAGTCCAAGATAGAGGCACAGGCAGATTTGTTCTCTGGTGAAGACCCACTTCCTGGTTCATAGATGGCAGTTCTATGCCGTACCTTCGTATAATGGATGTGGACAAAAGAACTCTTGGGACCTCTTTTATAAAGTCATTCATCCCATTCATGAAGATTCCACTCTCATGACCTAATCACATCCCATAGGCCCCAGCTCTTAATAACATCACATTGGATATTGGATTTTAACATATGAATTTTGGGGGGGAGTCACAACCATTGTCTATAGCACCAACTTCAGATAATTGTTAAAAATCACTTCTTCATTGTGGTTTTCTTCCCCTTGTGTTTATTGTTGTGCATTTTTGTCATTTAGGAGGCTATAAAAACAGCTTGTTTGCTGGAGCTTTGCACATCATTGCTTCATTCAAAAGAGAATCTCAGAAAATTACTGTGATGTCTATAATCTAACAAAGAGAATCATGGATGCACTAAGTATATACTGTGAATTTAACTCAGATGCTCATGAACAAATGGTTTCTTTATACTTGTATATCAGCTCCTCTATATTAAAGATGTAGCTAATTAAACATATGTTTATTTTTTATGATTATTTTAGACATTTTTCTTCTTGAGTTTTGCTTGTTCTTTGTTGCTAACCAAATTGTTTGAAAATTCTTAGGAAAATTACTTATACCTACAAATTACGTATGATGTCTAATTTAAACTCTAAACAGACTCTATTTCTCATGTTACATAGTGGAGAAGGTATAACTCCATATGGTTAATTGTTATTTTGAACCTGAAGTCTTAACTTGGTTAACTATATCACCACAGAGTAGATATTCATCAATCTCATGAGCATAAACCAGTAATTACTATTTTAAGTATGAACATATTCTTAGTTTCAGGCATTTTTGTATTAATTAGCTAACCAGTTGTTTTGGCTTCTGATACATCTGTTAGTGGGGAATTTTTTTTAATTCAATACTTAAATGGATTAAAGCCTGCATGTGATTGAGAGATGTGGAAATATTCCTGCATATACACCACATATGTGCAGAATTTAAAGGTTAAACATTTCTATCTCCTATTAAAATGTTATGTAATTAAATGCTGAAATTTAAAAAGCTGATTTTTGTTTAAAATACACATGTTCTAAATTTAGAAATTCTAAAATAAAATGTTACTACCTCATTAGTATTTTTCAATTTAAATTAATTTTTTGGTGCTTTTTAGCTTTTAGGTTCAGGGATACATGTTTAAGTTTGTTACATATGTGACTTTCAAACTCTAACTTCAGGAAGTCATTACTTCCAGTAGGTTATGTTCTGGTCATTCATTCCTCTATCACTATTACCACCCACAGAGCTCATATGAGCTATGCTGGCCCTCAACATTTCTGATGGAAGAGAATAAATACATGGTTTTGTTGCTCTCTTTTACAAAATCAAATGTTACTTTACACTAGACCAATGTTTCCTAAGCCTAACTGTGTACCACAAAGCACACTTGGAGAGATTTTTAGTTTGTTTCGTTTGTTTGTTAACTGTAAATTTCCAGATTCTATTTCAAATCTAATGAAAAGGAATCTCTATATGTGGAATTCAGGGAGATATATATATATATATTTTTTTTAAGCATGTCTTCTAGTGTTTCTAATGCCACCTTGAAACCACAGAATCATTTGAGGAAACCAATGTAATTGACATTTATTACACTCCTCCACATCAGTATGAAGGGCATGAGAGCCTAGGTTTTGTAGTGTTCACCACTGAATTCCCAGTATAAAACATAGTATCTGATAGGTCTTAGTCCTTTATTAAACATTAGAATGAGAAAATAAATGAGTTTATGAATTTAATGTCTGTATCACTATAATGCAAGTGGAAGGAACAGGGAACCAGAAAAGACCTCAGCCTAAGAACAAAGGAAGACAACTTAGTGACAATTACCCTGTTATCAATAGAAGAATAATGCCTTAAGGATCTGTCAGGACCATTTGTAGTTGGAAATCTGATTTCAGGAGGCTATAATAGCAGCTTGTGTCCTGGAGCTTTTCACATCATTGCTTTATTCAAGAGAGAATCATAGAAACCTACTGTGATGTCAGTAATCTAGCAAAGAGAATCATGGCTGCACTAAGTATATACTGTGAATTTAACTTAGATGTTCATGAATGAATGGTTTCTTTATACTTGTATATTAAAGATGTAGCTAGTTAAACATATGTTTTTATGTCTAAACCTAAACCTATCATACACATAATGTATGATGTCTAATTTAAACCCTAAACAGATTCTATTTCTCATGTAACACAGTAGATACTACTGTATTCTCTGATGATTCAGTGATTGTTGTACAAAATGATTTTTAAACTCACACATGTTCCCTAAACCATATCAAGCAGGGTTGATTGATTGTATACCAATCAGCATCATCTTTTTTTTTATTGTGTTCAGAAATGGCAGCATAGGTATTAAAAGCTTATTAACATCCTTACAGGTTGGCTGCAAAACACGCGATCAGTGTCAGCTGTGGCCTGTATAGTCACAAAGGTTTTCTGTTCTTGTTAAAAATTGTACTTTCTGAAGCTTTTAAGAAAATTATATTTTGTAGTTTCTTTTTGGGGGGGCTGGGGGGCATACAAGGAAACAAAACCTCAATTCATGAGCCTTTTAAACATAGTCGTGTTTGTCTCCCTCACAGATGTTTTTATGTTTCTATTTTTTATATATTCTTTTTTAACCATTCAATAGAATCAGATGATTCAGTCTTCCTCACCAGCCCATTATTATTAGTCCATTTTTCTACAGATCTTCTCTATAAGATATACAGATGTACCGTATGAACTCATTTCTTCCCTCTCTTTCTGCTTTTGAAATTGATCTCTCCATTATTCTAAGTGGGTTTTGATAATATTCTCTTCATGCAATAATTCCAAACATATTCTTGACATACCTCCTTTGCCCTGAATACCCATAAGCATCATTACTCAAAATAGGGAGGATAGAGCTGTGAGTGGTGACATGGCCTGGATAGGCTATATGTGCCTTTAATATAAATTCAATAATTTAGAACAATAGTTTTCAGAAAAAAGTGTTGATTTTGGTTTTGACTACAGTAATATGAGCATGCAAACAAATTTGGCTATTGAATGATACAAATTATTAAATATTTTCCTGCTTTATGATTTAGCAGATTTGTATGTGTGTGTGCTTAACTTTGCCTTGTAATTTGTTAGCTAGTAATTAAATAAGAGCCAGTTTGTCAAAAACAGAAATGATGAAATTAAATTGCATTATAAATTAAAGCATACATTCCCCTCCTTTGTTTCAAGCTTCAAAAGCTTGTGTAGGCTCAAGTCCTGTGGCCTTAACTACATATTTGGATCTTTACCTGGGTCTTCAAAGTCCATATGCCAGTAATTGAATGTAACCTATTTCCATGCTCCCATTCCCAAATTATCTCCTTTCTTCTACCCATCTAAGACTATATATGTTATCCTCAAGAAATAGAAGTGAAGATCAGACATTGGCCCTCACTATATTGTGAGTGTGCTGAGGTAGAGCCTCCTTATTCAAGGACAGCCTAAACAGATACCTCAGAGTTACCAGGCGTAACTGAAATACAATTGAAAAAATACTATGGTATTCTAGGTTTATACTATTTCTTTTACAACCTGAGTTAATACCATCTCATATAGAAACAAACATTGAAAATGTTCTAGAGAAAACTATCCTACTGATAAAAGTGCACACAATTATTACTGAGCCCTATAGCCATGCCAAACAAAGTTAATTTAAAAAAATGGAAGATTAACTTATAAATTCCAAGAGGAAAGCGCCTGAAAGCCACTGACGTAGCCGGCGGAGGACCACTGTGACGCACTTGTGTACTGCGTCAGCACTGTGTATCCTTGGCGACGTCGGCGCTCGAGCTGCACTCGGCCGGGCTCTTGGCAGCACCCTGTGCTCTGAGGGTGTCTTGCCCGCCGGGCGCCGTGGCTCACGCCTGTAATCCCAACACTTTGGGAGGCCGAGGCGGGCGGATCACCTGAGGTCATGAGTTGGAGACCAGCCTGGCCAACATGGCGAAAGCCCATCTCTACTAAAAATACAAAAAATTACCCGGGCGTGGAGGTGGGCCCCTGTAATCCCAGCTACTCGGGAGGCTGAGGCACGAGAATCGCTTGAAACTGAGAGGCGAGGGTTGCAGTGAGCTGAGATCGCGCCACTGCACTCAAGCCTGGGCGAGAGTAAGACTTCCTAAAAAAAAAAAAAAAAAAGCGCATTCTCAAATCCCGCAGTCAGTCCTGCGGGTGGAACACTTAGAGGAAAAGTCAGACCTCTCTATATGCAGGCCCCTCCAATACTGTATTTTCTGTCGGCTTATAAGTGGACCCAGGCAGTTCAAACCCATGTTATTCAAGGGTCAACTGTGTATATAGGAACAGCCATTCGCCTGGCACAGTGGCTCAAGCCGGTAGCCCCAGCACTTTGGGAGGTCGAGGCGGGAGGATCCCAAGAGTTCCAGGTTACAATGAACTGTGATAGCGCCACTGCATTCCATCCTGGGCACCAGAGTGAGACACTTGTCTCAAAAAAAAAAAAAAAAAAGGAAAAGGAATAGCCCCCCAAATCTATATATATTTCACTAGCAGAATAACAGAACATACCAAAATTTAACAGTAATAATGTAAAGATTTTCAGCCGTCTGTATTTTCCAAATCTTCAAAAATGTCTATTTTGGGAATTTGGATATTAAAATCTTACTTTTAAAACAAAATTTAACAAAACATTTTTAATAGTGAGAGCCTTTTAGATTTTAAAAGCTCACATTTGTGTAAACATTACAGTCTTATGTGGACAAATATCAAATGCGTTGATATTTTTAACTGGAAATTTGGGCTATTTTGGTTGTGGATAATTTTTTATCCTTTTTGTTTTTCCATATTTTCTAAATTTTGATATAATGAACAAGTATTGCCTTTCTAAAAAAGGAAAAACAGCATTTTGTTTTATTTCAACCATATTGGATGTGAATAAAAGAAAAGAAAAAGATGATTCTGAGCTTACCAGTGTGTGTGACCCACATTAACAGAAATGACATGTAAAGAAAATCTAGTTTGGAGTGGAAAATCCTATTTTAGGTAGTTGATTTCTTTCACTTGAGGTACCATTTATCTATCCATGTGGGGATAGCCTAGTAGGAAGATGAAATGGTAGGACAGAGATCTTGATGGAAGCCAGTAGTTGTGGCACAGTTCTGAGGCCCAGCTACTCCAAAGGCAGAGGGGGAAACATCCCTTTAGCCCAGGAGTTGGAGACTGCAATGAGTTATGTTCATGCCTTTGCACTCCAGCCTCTGGAAGAGAATGAGATTCCTATCTCTAAAATGAAAAGAGGGCCAGGCACGATGGCTCACGCCTGTAATCCCAGCACACTGGGAGGCCCAGATGGGTGGATTGCTTGAGGCCAGGAGTTCAAGACCAGCCTGGCCAACATGGTGAAACCCTATCTCTACTAAAAATGCAAAAATTAACTGGGTATGGTGGTGCACGCCTGTAATCCCAGCTTCTTTGGATGGCTGAGGCACCAGAATTGCTTGAACGTGGGAGGTGGAGGTTGCAGTGAGCTGGGATCGTGCCAGTGCACTCCAGCCTGGGTGACAGAGCAGACTCTGTCTCAAATAATAAGAATAATAATATTTAATTAATTTAAAAATAAAAACCAAAAGAGAAGATCTGATGGACTTAGAAGTCATATATCTCAGGTGATAGGTGAAACCACAAGTTTGCCTTGAAAAGTGTGTTGATGACAATAGCCATACCTAACAAGTACTTGCTGTGTTCCAAAGCTCTTTTTGTTAGCACTTCATTTGTATTAACTAATATCATTCTTCCACCAACTTTGTAAGGGTACTGTTATTATCCTCAGTTTTTACAGATAAGGAAAGCAAAAGACAGCCAGGTACCATGGCTCATGCCTGTAATCCAAAACTTTGGGAGGCTGAGGTGGGAGGATCACTTGAGCCCAGTAGTTCAAGACCATCCTGGGCAACATAGCAACACCCTGTGCTTACAAAAAAAGAGAAATTAAAAACTAGCCAGGCATGGTGGTACATGCCAGTAGTCCCAGCTATTTGGGAGACTGAAGCAGGAGGATCTCTTGAGGCTAGGTGTTGGAGGCTGCAGTGAGCTATGTTCACTCCACTGCACTCCAGCTTAGGTGACAGAGAAAGACCCTGTCTCAAAAAAAAAAAAAAAAAAAAAGGAAACCAAGAGAATGAGCACTGAAGCAACTTGCCCAAACACACTCACCTAGTAAAAATGGTATCATTAATTCATTTATGCTGAATATGTTGAAAAGGAGTGCCCAAAGAGAGAACCTTCTTTTCTTTCTTTCTTTCTTTTTTTTTTTTTTTTGAGACGGAGTTTCACTCTGTGGTCCAGGCTGGACTCCAGTGGCGCAATCTCGGCTCATTGCAACCTCTGCCTCCCAGGTTCAAGCAATTCTTGTGCCTCAGCCTCCCGAGTAGCTGGGATTACAGGTACGTGCCATCACACCTGGCTAATTGTTGTATTTTTAGTAGAGACGGGGTTTCACCATGTTGGACAGGCTGGTCTTGAACTCCTGGCCTCCAGTGAACCATCTTAGCCTCCCAAAGTGCTCGGATACAGGTGCCCGGCATCCACCGCGCCCAGCATCCAAAGAGAGAATCTTCTTGAGGAACTCAAAAGACTTTTCTCTTTTGGATAAGCAGTTCATATTTCTGCATTTATTAGGGATTTTCACATTTTACTTCATTTCACACTACTTTTTTTTTGTTCAGTGGTATAACATTTTCACCATGGCACTGAAAATTCCATTTGCATTAATGTCCAATGTCATATATTCCTACCATGTTGCAAATACAGTTCATTTGTCCAGCTTTACTGAGGTATAATTCACAAATAAAAATTGTATACCTTTACTAGGTACAACATGATGTTTTGCTATCCAAGCATACCTCATTTTATTGCACTACATTTTATTGTACTTCACAGATACTATGTTTTTGACAAATTGAAAGTTTATGCCCACTCTGTGTCAAACAAATCTTTCTGCATCATTTTTCTTTTTTGAGACAGAGTCTCACACTGCCGCCCAGGCTGGAGTACAGTGGCACGATCTCAGCTCACTGCAACCTCCTGTGGCAGGCCAGGTCTCACTAATGCAGACTTCCATAACAACTGTTTCAGTAATGACTGAATGAAGTTAAATACTAAAAGCCAGTGCCCTTATACAAAGGCTGGGATGTAACAAAAGGCCATCAAAACTTTTGCCTAGGCCTGTCCTGGGCCTTAAAGCATGACAAAATAATGAAGGAATTCTTTTTATTTATTTATTTTTCTTTTTGAGATGGAGTCTTGCTTTGTCTGAATATGTCAGCTTGCTTGATAGGTAACTTGATTGAGTCTAGGTGTTGCCCATGCCTACTCTGATCTTTACCCTCAACCTAAATAGCATATGTATAGTTCTCTTGATTAATCCTTAAACTAACTCCCTACCTTACCCCCACCAAACTAGTATTTCTCCTCAAGGAAAATACTGTCTGCTCACACTGGGGCCATGGAAGAACCACCTGACATGAGTTTTTGTGATTTTCTGTTTATCTCAAAACTTGGCCTTCGGCATTTACATCTTGGATGGCTTTTTGTATCTCCATTTTCTCTTTATAGTTTCATAAACAGTTCCTCTTGAAAAATTATCAGTGGTAAAATCTGATGAGTATCAATAGTCTCCAAAGTGCTTTTTATCTTCATCCTTTATCCAATACATTCTTACACCCTCTGAAATTGTTTAGTTTGCAGAAACTTAGCTTACCCCTTTTTGACTATTTACAGCCATGGCAATTTTTACTTGGTTTGTTTTACTGCCCAAGCCAGTCTTAGAATTTCTCAAAGCCTCAACCCAAATATAAAATCCTTCAGGAATGAGACTTAGTACAAATATATGGGCAATATTATAAATTTTAATTAGCCTAATGGCCTCCATAGTCCTATGACAACCTTTGCAATTTTTGCTGAACTCTATGCAAGGTATCTCTACCCAAGAGATAACTGAGAATTCCTTTCTTACTTACTTTTGTTACAAGTAATTCCTCTTTTGTTTTTAAAACTACACGTGGCTCTCCTAATTTTTACCTCCTGAATCAACAACATATTTACTTATATTTGCCTCATTAGAACCTAACTTGCATATACACATAATAACTCCAGGTATATTGGAGTTATTATGTAGCTCCAATGTAATAATTAGACAATTTAAGAGACTTCTCATGTCTTCCAGGAGATCATGCTTACCTGGAAGTGTCTGAGAGGACACTGATCTCCCTGGATGGGGGTTACAAAAGTTGAAAAAGCTATCAAAACTTGGTTAATAATGCTGACTGAAAAGATAAAGCCATAAAGCCCTAGAAGTATAACCAACTAATCTAAAATAATTAATCCAAGTGGTTACAGGTAACAGCATAGCTTTAGATTGCTTAATGGTACACCAAGAAAAAAATATGACATATTGCTAACAGTCCCTGATGAATGTGGAGGGAAGGTTGACTAACCTATAGTCAAACTGAAAGAAAAGACAATTTGGCTAATCAAAAGTGGACTCAGAAGGACCTTTGAGATCTGACCTCCTGGTCAGAATAAGGAAATCTTTGGTCATCAATCTAAAGTGACTTCCAGTGTCTCCTTATCATCATTCTGGTTATTCTTGTCTCACAGTCTTCTAATGCCTGGTCTCCAGAGCTGTATATGCCACTGCATAGCTGTTATTTCACTGATGGCACAAAAAATTATTTTGCAATGGAACGAAAAATAAAGGGATTCTGATATTCAGTCAGGCCAAATGCCAAGCCCTTCAGTTAGAATTCCTACAAAGGTAATAAGCCATACAGCAGTGAATACGTAATCATCTGCTCTACTTCTACAGGACTAAGGGATGGTGAAAATAGGGGAGGGGATTGTTAAAACTCTGCCAGGTTCCCAGTCTGTGCACTCAAAAGTGTTGACCCTATGTCCCTGAGCTTAACATTCATATCCTGTCTCAGACCTCTTTGTTAAGCAATGTCTGTGCTTTTGTGACAAAAGCAGAAAAAATAAAATAAAATAAAATAAAATAAAATGGAGAATTTCGAGTCCCCAAATGAACCAATTAGAACTTAATGCCTAGAACTGGCCAAGCACAGTGGCTCACGCCTGTAATCGCAGCACTTCGGAGGCCAAGGTGGGCAGATCGCTTCAGGTCAGGAGTTCGAGACCAACCTGGTCAAAATGGTGAACCCGTATCTCTACTAAAAATACAAAAATTAGCCAGGCATGGTGGCAGGTGCCTGTAGTCCCAACTACTTGGGAGGCTGAGGCAGGAGAATCTCTTGAACCTGGGAGGCAAAGGTTGCAGTGAGCTAAGATGGAGCCACTGCAGTCCGGCCTGGGCGACAGAATGAGACTCTGTCTCAAAAAAAGGAACTTAGTGCCTAGAATCCTTCCCAACATGTAATAAGCTTTATTTTCTTCTTCATCTATCTCTCCCACTTTCTGTGCGGAAACACTGAACTCATTACTTAACCAGCAAGCAGATTGATTTACATTTATTTATTTAAGCTCTGGTTGTGTTTGTATTATTCCTTAAAGGTATTTATAAAATATTTTATTGAGGCCTGGTGCGGTGGCTCATGCCTGTAATCCCCGCACTTTGGGAGGCCAAGGCAGGCAGATCATGAGGTCAGGAGATCTAGAGCATCCTGGCTAACACAGTGAAACCCCGTCTCTACTAAAAATACAAAAAAATTAGCTGGGCATGGTGGCATGCGCCTGTAGTCCTAGCTACGTGGGAGGCTGAGGCAGGACAACAGTGTGAACCCGGGAGGTGGAGCTTGCAGTGAGCCGAGATTGCGCCACTGCACCTCCAGCCTGGGTGACAGAACGAGACTCCATCTCAAAAAAAAAAAATTTTTTTTCCAACAAATTTGTTTTTGATAAGAAAATATCTGATAATTATTAATTATCTGCCCCCATCCAATGCAAGATGGAAGAAGTAGTACTGAACATTAATCTAGAAAATTAAGAATTTTTAAATATATCCATAAGCTTGTATGTTTGACATCATGAAGAAAACCACACTATTCCTAAAATATATTATACTTTATGTCATAAGCAGAGACAGACTATTGCATGAATAAACCAAACAGAATTAGCTTACCATAGCTTTTTTTTGAGACATTTTAAAAGTTATTATTTTTATATTTCATTTACTCTCTTGGGTATCTAAGCTAGAATTGATTTACTTTCATTACCTTTCAAATTATCCTCTTGATTTAGGCTTTCAGTGCAGACTGGGGAACTAGAAATTCCACAGAAACAAATCTCAGAAAATAAAATTCCCTTAGAATATGAGTATCAGAAAATAATCTTCTAGGTGTCATGACATCAAAAGTTTAAAAAGTTGATACTTTCCACAATATTTTCATATAGCAGTTCTCTAGAAATGCTTACTGGATGAATCTACAATGAACCAGAGTGAAACTGCCTGTTACCGAGTAATATCCCAATGGGCATTTGGTCTGTAAATACCTAATATCCCAATCAAGTATCTGCTACTAGATTAACTGTAATTGTAAGGTACTGCAACTGGGAGGCATAGGGGAGTAGATTTTTTAAAAGAAATGTTCCAAATTATACTTTGGCCTAAGTATTCAGCCAAAGTATGCTTCTCCAATTCTGCCTTGGCCCATCTCAAGTCATTTTTGGTATCCCTGAATGTCACATGGTCAGAGATTGCATGATCATTCAGTTACCATCATATCTAAACAGGGTAACAAAAATCTGGCCAGGCACAGTGTCATGCCTGTAAGCCCAGCACTTTGGAAGGCCAAAGCGGGCAGATCGCTTGAGCCCAGGAGCTCAAAACTAGCCTGGGCAACATGGCAAAACCCCGTCTCTACCAAAAATGCAAAATTTAGCCGGGCGTGGTGGTGTGCGCCCGTAGTCCCAGCTACTTGGGAGGCTGAGGCAGGACAATCGCCCGAACTCGGGAGGCGGAGGTTGCAGTGCGCCGAGATTGCGCCACTGCACTCCAGTCTGGACGACAGAGCCAACCTCGTTTCCAAAAAAAAGTGAGTTGTGCACTGGGTCGCCAAGATGTCGTTCCCAAAGTATACTCCTTCACCCCTGGCCACTATGCCCTCAAACCAGCCGAATAGGACATGTCTTCGGAAACCCAGCGGGCGCAAGCCAAGTGATTGACCATTAAGAGCCTGGCTGAAACCTGCTTACCCTAACTGCCGAGGGCTCATCGAAAATCCTGCCTTGATTCCTTGGACCTATGCAAGATCAGCAAGTGTCTTTCCTAATTTCAGACCCACTCCTAAAAACTCACTCTTGGGAGCTCTGTGTGGAATTGGGCCCCTCTTCTTCTGGTATTATGTTTTCAAAACTGACAGGGATAGGAAAGAAAAACTTATCTGGGAAGGAAAATTGGGTCCAACATTTAACCTGTCATATTAAGTCTGGCAATGATGACTATGTATTCTTGCTTAAATAAATCGTCTATTAATCATTAAACAAACAACAACAACAGAAAGTGAGAATTTTTTTTTTTTTTTTGAGACAGAGACTCGCTCTGTCTCCCAGGCTGGAGTGCAGTGGTGCAATCTGCTCACTGCAGCCTCCGCCTCCTGGATTCAAGCAGTTCTCCTGCCTCAGCCTGCCAAGTAGCTGGGATTACAGGCGCATGCGACCACACCCAGCTAATTTTTGTATTTTTAGTAGAGATGGGGTTTCACCATGTTAGCCAGGCTGGTCTTGAACTACTGACCTCAGGTGATCCACCCTCGACCTTCCACAGTGCTGAGATTACAGGCGTGAGCCACCACACCCGGCCCAAGAATATTTTTTCAAGTATGTCATATAGGTGCAGTGGCTCACGCCTGTAATTCCAGCACTTTGGGAGACTGAGGCCAGCAGATCCCTTGAGATTGGGAGTTTGAGACCAGCCTGGCCAACATGGTGAGACCCCGTCTCTACCAAAAAATACAAAAATTAGCCGGGCATGGCGTTGTGGGCCTGTAGTCCCAGCTACTCAGGAGGCTGAGGCAGGGGAATAATTTGAACCCGGGAGGCAGAGGTTACAGTGAGCCAAGATCCCACCGCTGCACTCCAGCCTGGGTGACAGAGTTAGATGCCGTCTCAAAAAAAAAAAAAAAATTTACTCTTAGTATCTGAATATTCATTTTCCAATTTTAGGTGTTTTACATAAAACTTGGAATGAAAATCTTTTTGTGTCACTTTGTATGTTAAAATTTTCTCAATTAGATGAAGTATAAATGTACATTAATGCAAGAAGAAAATGTCACAATGATTATGAATGCTATTTATGTACGAAAGAAAGTAACAATTTTCAAATAGGCAAATAATAGTGTAATAATATTGAGAGAGTTAGCTAATGAATTTAAGAATATTAAATCCTTTTTCAGATGACAATTATAAAAACTTTAATGAAAAATACAAAGCAGAATAGAAATTTTATATCATAATTTCAATTGCATTCAGTTGTCATACCAGTATTAATTATACTAAACAAAATCATTTCTAAAGACTATGTTTAATTTTTAGTTGTTTTATACCATGAAGTTTTTTTCTTCCTTTTTTTTCTGAGACTCAAAATCCATGAATCTTCTATGAGAAAATCTTATTTGGGGATTCTTCACATGTTTTTGTAGATAAATTAAAAGCAGAATGTTAACTCTACCACTTCGGAATTTTATGAGGAGGAAAACCTCCAAAAGTTCTTACAACATAATCATTTTTGCTCCAGATATTATATATGTGTATACATATTTATATACATACACGTATATATAAACACAGACACATATAAAGACGTTAGAGGAAGAAAGTTCCTCCACCTATTTTGTATTCCACTAACTTCAGTGGAAAGTGACCCTCAATTTAGTGTCTGTATGTGCATGACAGCAATCATAGAAACAATCTAGCAACAGGCAGCACTGAGAAAATTATCATTACTGCACTATAATGTCCTACTCTTAAAATAAGATTACTAATATTTCTGAGAATAAATTATAATAACTTCAGGGATAACATTTCATATCTTCACATATGCCAGAAGTTTACTCTATGATGATGATACCGACTTCTGCTCCAGCTTTAACAAATATTGGTTTTCACACTTGGCCATTTGGCATTCAAAAAAGGGATATTTTGTGCACTAAATGTACAGCCAAAATATGTAGGTAATTCCTATGTCAATTCATTATTTCATTCCATTTTCATGTGCTTATATAAAATATAATTTTAAAAGAGGATCTTATATATTCCAAGGATGTAGAAAACAACTCACAGCCTCCCTTATGGGTCTAACAGAAGATATCATAAAAAACTCAACCCCACACAGAAGCACCAGTGATCTAATAACATTTTATTGTTAACTGCCAATAATCAAGAAAAATCCATGCAAGAAAGGTGTTAGTTCTTCTGATCTCTATACATTTTCAATGAATTCCCTTCACAGGCTGAAACTTGTACACAATAGAATTGCTTTCCATAGCTAAAAACTTACAGATCTAAGTTAGCTAGACTTGACTTCATAGTCTCTTAAAATATAAAGATTATTAACATCCTTATACATTAAAATTTTAATATTTTAAGATTTAGACAAGTGTCACGTAAGATGAATTTTTAATTAACTAAGATGAAATTGTCTGTGATTCAGTAATATCCAAAATAAAAACATTTATAAATGCCCAAAATCCCAATCCAGCAACTGATACCAGAGTAACTATCCTTATGAAGCAAGGGAAAGATGGCTGAAACTGAATGCCACAGATAGGCTGTGGTTCTCACTCAGCTGCTTAGTCATCTTAGACAAGTTATTTGCCCTTCCAAGTCTGTTTCCTAAACTATAAAATGAATATATTATTATCTTCTCTGTCTAAATGTTATAGACATATATATATAATATGAATATTATATATAAATATATATATAATGAATATATTATTATCTTCTCTGTCTATATGTCTAACTACCAAATGAAGTTATGGAAATTACAAACTCTGATATATGTAAAATATTGAGTATCATGAGGGTTCCAAATCTAGGATCTTTATTTTCATACCAACTTTATGAATAGACTGTGATCGATTTTTATGTAGTTTTATGTTTACTTTTAATGTTTACTCTCTTTAGAAACTACTTGGAACTTGATTATTTATTTATTTGCCATTCAAGAATGTGAGTATGATTTATGAAAATGTATTAACAGTTATCTGAAGTAATAATGTTAAGCTAGAACTCAAATTACAAATAAAGAAAAACAAAACAAATATAAAATCATTTACAATAGAGAAAGCTTGCTCTTTGCCAAGAGTAATAATAATCTGCTGAAATCATTATTGTTAGTCACTTAATGACTACTGTCTTGGTTGGTACACATCAGCAGCAGTCAAATACCACCTCCCAGAACCCAACCACCCAAAAAAAGATACTGGGAATAAGAATGTCCTCAGAAAGCTCAACTGTAAAACTAAAACATAAACCAGAACATAGATTAGGAAGTCAAGCACGGAGGATCAAGTAAAAGATAGGACTAAATTTAAGATACTAACATGCAATGAAAAGAAATATATCTACCAGAAATATGGAGGTGAGTAGTTTGGTCAGCAATGAAAGCAGTGAAAAAGGAAAGGTACAAAACACTATCACATAAGCATTAACCAGGAGAAAGGATATCCTATAAGGCAGATTGATGTAAGTAACTGCTTGACGAGTATATCATGGAGCTGAGATTATCACTTTATCAGAGTCGATGCCATTTAAAACTTCTAGTCATTTATAATCAACTCCCTTGTTGTTATCTCATGATCTTGTTCAGTAGGCAACTATTGAAATTTGGTTTTCCATTCAGCATTCTACAGTGAAAGAATACATTCCCTGATGTAAATTTCTAGTCCTTATTTTACTTGAATAAACTGGCGTTCTCTTGTGATGGGGATGTATATGCTCAGATAAGAATGTGGGCTCTGGGGATGGAAGCTCCGGCCGCGGAGTGATGGTGGCCTCAGCGAAGATGGGCCGGGCAGGGACCATGGCAGTGGCAGCAGAGGTGGCAGGGGCGGGGCGGCTGGCGGTAGAGGAGGCTGTGGTCCTCAGGGGGCTGTAGGTGGAGGTATGGCTCGGGCCAGCAGCGGGAACGGCAGCGAGGAGGCCTGGGGGGCACTTCGGGCGCCGCAACAGCAGCTTCGAGAGCTGTGCCCAGGAGTGAACAACCAGCCCTACCTCTGTGAGAGTGGTCACTGCTGCAGGGAGACTGGCTGCTGCACCTACTACTATGAGCTCTGGTGGTTCTGGCTGCTCTGGACTGTCCTCATCCTCTTTAGCTGCTGTTGGGCCTTCCGCCACCGACGAGCTAAACTCAGGCTGCAACAACAGCAGCGGCAGCGTGAAATCAACTTGTTGGCCTATCATGGGGCATGCCATGGGGCTGGTCCTTTCCCTACCGGTTCACTGCTTGACCTTCGCCTCCTCAGCACCTTCAAGCCCCCAGCCTACGAGGATGTGGTTCACCGCCCAGGCACCACCCCCCGCCCCCCGCCTCCGCGCCTTATACTGTCGCCCCAGGCCGCCCCTTGACTGCTTCCAGTGAACAAACCTGCTGTTCCTCCTCATCCAGCTGCCCTGCCCATTTTGAAGGAACAAATGTGGAAGGTGTTTCCTCCCACCAGAGTGCCCTCCCTCATCAGGAGGGTGAGCCTGGGGCAGGGGTGACCCCTGCCCCCACACCCCCCTCCTGCCGCTATCGCCGTTTAACTGGCGACTCCGGTATTAAGCTCTGCCCTTGTCCTGCCTCCGGTGAGGGTGAGCCAGTCAAGGAGGTGAGGGTTAGTGCCACCCTGCCAGATCTGGAGGACTACTCCCCGTGTGCACTGCCCCCAGATTCTGTACCGCAGGTCTTTCCCATGGGGCTGTCTTCCAGTGAAGGGGACATCCCATACGTAGTTTTGAGAGGGTGGATGGGTTACTTGCCCACCAGAAACAGCCCTAGTCCCAACTCCTTGCGTTCCTTTTGGCCCCTCCCTGCCTACCTAGAATCTGCCTGAAAGGGCTGGAGCCCTGAGGAGAGGGGCAGTATTGGGGGACTGTGCTAGCTTTACCCCCGCAAGACATACACAGGAGCCTTTGATCTCATTAAAGAGACGTGAACCAGCTAAAAAAAAAAAAAAAAAAGAGTGTGGGCTCTGGAGTCAGGTTACTTTGAGTTCCTACTGACTTACTTTGTGATCTTGGGAAATTTACCAATCTGTTGTCTGTTTCCTCATCTGTAGAAAGGGCGCCTAATAATAGGACCTATTTCCCAGGGTTGTTGTGAGGATTAAACAATTCATGTAAAGCACTTAAAACAGTACGTGTCACATAGCAAGTGCTAAACAAATGCTAGCCTGGTTATTATTTTTGAACATGAATTAACATTCCTGTGTCTGATCGCTCTGACACTGATCAGTTTCTAAATCTAAAAAACTGAAGCAGGGTCACTGTGTTTCACAACTCCGGGGGCATCAATGCACAAGAGAACAGAGTTCTCCGGCCGCTCTGAACTGATGGCATGACCTGGTGAATTCAAGGTCACCCACCTGTGAGGTTCTTTTTGTTAGCCAATCTGTCCAGGTGAAAACTTAAGAGTCATAAACCTAAAATGTCTACCCTAGTGAGGCAGATCTCCTAAATAAGTGAGGCACAGCTTGAGTGGTGAGTTTGCCAAGAAACTATGAACGATAAGACTGTGGAGCGTAGAGCACAAGTCAAGCCTTAAATGCTTTCAAATACAGATATTTTAAGATATTCTGTCAGGCAAAAACAACAGTATAGGCAGATTTTAGGCCTGAAGCCCACCAGTTTGCAAACCCTGCAGCACCCTTTCATTCAAACCTTAAAATATTTTAACTTAGGATAATGTACATCCTGTGACCTATTTTTAACCTTTATTTTTCTTTACTGCTCTGTGACTATCCCTTCTTTTCTCCTCCCTTGGTTTACAAAAACTTCTGTGCTCTTCTCCATACCTCTTGACACACATACCTTGAGTGGTATCATTCATTTCAACTAACATTTCAATCAGCTAAAAATTCCAGATATTTATATCCAACTCTATCAATGCTAAGAAATACCTCATGAATGGTGCCTGTCTACTTTCTCATTGCCAATGCCTTTGGTCAAGTCCTCATCTGATTTCTAGACGTTTACAATAGCTTTGGTTCATTCTATTCTCTCATTGTCCACATCCAGCCACCACTAAATCCTACTGGTTCTAACACCAATCAAACCATATCCACAATCCAACCATTTTCACCTAAACCATCATCATCTGTTACCTAAATTACCACAGCAGTTCCTTTTACTATTCATTTACCTCATTTACCATACTACTCATTTACCATATACCATAGAGGATCCTGTCCCTCCTCTGTTTAATCCCCCATTAGCTCCCAGGTCACTCAAGAGTGAAATCCAAGGTCCACACAATGGCTTACAAGGCCCTATACAATTGCCTATTACCCCTCTAATTTATTCTCTTATTATTCTCTGGCCACATCCCTTGTGTTTTCCTCAATCATACCAGGCTCATTCCTGGTCCAGGCTTTCTCTACCTCCCACTCCCTTTATATGGATGCTCTTTCCTCAAATGTCTTGGGTCTGGATTGTTGTCTTGTATCAGGGCTCTTTGCTCAAATGTTACTCTTTCATAAGTGCTTCCCTAAACACCCTCCCCACATGCACTTGACTCCCCATCTCCCTTTCTGCTTTATCACCATTGAACACATCTGTTTTTCATGTTTATTTTCTGTCTCTCCCAAGAAAATGTAAGTTTCATTACAGCAAGTTTTTTTCTTTATTGCTGTATTCCTGATCTTAGAACAATATGTATTAAGCTTCATGTTTAATGAAAATGACTGAAAAGCTTCCTAACTTGTCTTCCTTCTACTGATCTCCCCTTCTGTAGTCCACTTCCTCCTATCCCCCAGGTAGTATACCAAAAAATGCATCTGATCATTCTCCTGCTTAAAAGACTTTGATGGGATCCCCACATCCTTCGGGGTCTGGCCCCAAATTTAATCTGTTTCCCCATTCCCCAAAATAGTTGTACACTCTCCACATACTAACACTTTTATCATCCCTGAACCTACTTGTGCCATTTATCCATGCTTTTCGTGTATCTCTGTATTTACTTGGCCAAAGTTTTATTCATCCTCCAGGTCTAGTTATGCCATGATGTCTCCCAGAAGCCTTCATCTGTGTACCCCCACAGCACTCAGTTCAGGCCTCCATTATAGTACTTGTGCTATACTATGTATTTACCAATCTGCTTCTGCAACTAGATTATAAGATCCCAGAGAGCAAGTTCATGATGTTGTGTCCAGAGTTCTTTTGCCAGTGCTTAACACTATACTTAGCAGAGAGGAAACACTGCAAGTCTGAAGAATGAAAATGTAATGAATGAAATTTTATAATGAATGAAATAATTTGTTTATGAGAGGTTGGGGGAAAAAAAGAGTCTTCCTAAGAGTCAGAGTGCTTTACAACATCAAACCTGAGACCTGATATGAGTTTTTACATTTGCTAAAGAAAAATTTCCTTTAGTAATTTCAACAATAGTTAAATTAGTGGATTCAGGAATCAGAAGTAAGTTAATGGCTAGTCAGGAAAGGTATTTACTCCACGGAACATACCAATTTACACACCAGATATTGTGTGGAGCAAAAAGTGTACTCCAATCTGAGAAAAGGCATCTGCAATTTTTTTAATTAAAATTGATTTAAGTGGGAAGGAAAATTGAAAATTATCTAGTGCAACTACTTCATTTCACAAATGAAAAAAATCATGAAAAGGGGAAGAGCATTAACCCAAGTTAGAAGATCAGGATCAGTACCAAGGTTTTATTCAAAATGAAGGGCTCTCTCTCAAATGTAACACATTACAGTTCCAAACTACTCAAGGATTAAAGCCCAGAACTTATTCCATTACTTTGCTGTGCAAACTTAATGAAGAGTGAAGATAATATTGCAAGTAGGAAAATAATATTGCAAGACTGAAAATAATAATACCTGGGTTCTTATCTAGGTTGTATTTGTGAGATCTCAGACAATTCACTGAACCTTGTAATGCTACCTTAATTAACTACCACATGGGATTAATGTGAGAATCAAATGAAAGCCCTGTTGCAAATGAAAAGTATAATCATCTTTTCCATCCTCATCCTTTCAGGTTCTCCAGTGCAGTCTCTTAGCAAGTTTTCAATCTATATGGGGGGCCATAAACCACTTGCAATTCTGACTAGTTGGAGTTTTGTTGTTCTTGTAGTACAGGACAGAAAGCTGCGAGGGAAGGGTGGGGAGGTTGTTTATGTATTATAAACCTCCTCCCAAAGGGGAGTATTATCCATATCACCTATCAATTAAAGACTCTTTGAGACTCACAAGCTCTTAAAAGGTTCATGTTGAAAAATTATCTTTTTCCCCAGTACACGCCCTACAAAACCTTTTACCATTTGTATATTTCAGAAGATTCTGTAACAATTACTTGGGTTATATTTATCTTTTCCTACTCTACTACAGATGTGTCCAAAGCAGGGACTCATAGTATTTCATCTTCAGGAGCTGTGAATTGTTTTAATTGGGTCAACATCCAGTTGAAATATAAAACTAAGTGGCTGGAGTCGTGCCTGAGAGAACTGAATGAAAAAGAACTGAACGACGAGAGACCAGAATTATACCTCCCTCTGATTTCCCCCAACTCTTTCCCCTCTATGTCTATTATATATTGCTAAAGACCTTTAGAAACTAGGCTCTGGGCTTATGCAAAAGTCCTCTACTACATTCTACATAGCCACAAGTTTATTTACAAGTATTTTTATATTAATAACATTTTATAAAATACAATGTTTTAACTCCAGGTGTGAAAATATTTAAAGGAAAGTACACTAAATGGATTTTTTTAATTATTCATCTGGCAAACAATCTTGTGCAAAATGGTCACTATATAACATGTACAAGGCCAGGCGTGGTGGCTCATGCCTGTAATCCCAACACTCTGGGAGGCTGAAATGGGAGGATGGCTGGAGCCCAGGAGTTCGAGACCAGCCTAGGCATACAGCGAGACTCTATTTCTTTAAACGAGAAAAAAATTATGCATTCTGTGAATTCCATTTACATTTAGAATCTCATTCTCATAAACAGTAATATTTTAATTTGTATTAAATCAAAGCAATTGTAAATATAAATCATAGGCTTCATTTTTTTTCCTGTATACACAATATGCCTTAATTTTTGAAAATGTTATAAAAAGAATATCCTTGGCTGGGCACAGTGGCTCACGCCTGTAATCCCAAAACTTTGGGAGGCCAAGGCTGGTGGATCACTTGAGGTTAGGAGTTCAAGACCAGCCTGTCCAACATGGTGAAACGTGGTCTCTACTAAAAATACAAAAAATTAGCCAGGTGTGGTGGCGGGTGCCTGTAATCCCAGCTACTCGGGAGGCTGAGGCAGGAGAATGGTGTGAACCTGGGAGGTGGAGCTTGCAGTGAGCTGAGATCATGCCACTGCACTACAGCCTGGGCAACAGAGCAAGACTCCATCTCAAAAATAAAATAAAATAAAATAAAAAACTGATACATTGGATAACTAAAATAAAAAATTCTGCTCATCAAAGACACTGTTAAAGCCACATTCTAAGGGAAAATATGGTCAAGAACTCACGTCTAGAACATGTAAGAACTTCACCAGCTTACATATTTTTTAAAATCTAATTTACAAGTTGATAAAGATTTGAACAGAAACTTCACAAAAATATACATAAGCAGCTAATGAGCACATGAAAGAGTGTTTAACATCCTCCAACCTCAGCCTCCAAGTAGCTAGGACTACAGGTTATGCGCCATCATGCCTGGCTAATTTTCAAATTTTTTTGGTAGACAACTGGTCTTACTATATAATATGTTGCCCAGGCTGGTCTCCTGGGCTGAAGCAGTCCTCCTGCCCCTACCCCTCAAAGTGCTGTGATTACAGGCGTGAATTTTCATTTAAAAGAAATTAAATTAAAAGAAATTAAAATTACAGATGTGAATTTTAATTTAAAAGAAATTAAATTAAATTAAAAGAAATTAAAATTCATGCCTGTAATCGAAGCACTTTGGGAGATAGGGGCAGGAGGACTGCTTGAGCCCAGGAGTTTGAGACCAGCCTGGGCAACATATTATAGTAAGACCTTGTCTCTGCCAAAAAAATTTAAAAATTAGCCAGGCATGATGAAGCATACCAGTAATCCTAGCCACTTGGAGGCTGAGGTAGGAGGATGGCTTGAGCCTATGAGTTCGAGATTACAGCCAACTACGATAGCATCACTGCAGTCCGGCGTAGGCAAAAAGTGACACCCCGTCTCTTAAAAAAAAAAAAGAAATGAAAATGTATGTCCACGGGCCGGGCATGGTGGCTCACACCTGTAATCTCAGCACTTTGGGAGGTCAACATGGGCGGATTATTGAGGCCAGGAGTTTGAGACCAGGCTGGCCAACATGGCAAAATCCAGTCTCTACTAAAAATACAAAAATTAGCCAGGCATGGTGGCGCATACCTGTAATTCTAGCTACTGGGGAGGCTGAGGCATGAGAACTGCCTGAACTCGGGAGTCAGAGGTTGCAGTGAGCCGAGATCGTGCCACTGCACTCCAGCCTGGATGACACAGCAAGACTCTGTCCCCCTCCCCCAAAAAAAGAAAATATATATCCACAAAGACTTGCCAGTGAATTTTGGCAGTAGCTTGCTTTATTCATGACTTAAAAAAAAAAAATGGAAATAGCCTAGATATCTACCAGCAGAAGAAGGATGGATAAACAAACTATGGTATATTCATACTACTCAGCAATAAAAAAGCACAAACTACGGGTATCTGTAACAATATGAATGAATCTCAAAAGCATTATGCTGAATAAATCTTATACCAAAGATTACATACTATATTATTTTATTTACATCAAGTTCTAGAACAGGCATAACTAAGATATGGTGACAGAATTCAGATCAGTGATTGCTAGAAGAAGAGAATAAAGCTGATTAAAAACAGCAAGAGGGGCCAGGCCCAGTGGCTCATGCCTGTAATCCCAGAACTTTGGGAGGCCGAGGTGGGCAGATCACGAGGTCAGGAGTTCAAGACCAGCCTGACCAACATGGTGAAACCCTATCTCTACTAAAAATACAAAAATTGGCCAGGCGTGGTGGCGCATGCCTATAATCCCAGCTATTCAGGAGGTTGAGGCAGGAGAATAGCTTCAACCCAGGAGGTGGTGAGCCAACATCGTGCCACTGCACTCCAGCCTAGGCGATAAGGCGAGACTCCGTCTCAAAAAAAAAAAACCACACAAGGAAATTTTATGGAGTTATAAAAATATTCTGTGTCTATATAGGAGTGTAGGTTACATGAGTGTGCATATATTAAAACTGATCAAACTGTAAACTCAAGATGTATTTCATTTTTGTAAATTACACCACAATTTAAAAAAACATATTTGGACCACTTAAGAATAATACCATGGAGGCCAGGTGCAGTGGCTCATGCCTGTAATCCCAGCACTTTGGGACACCAAGGTCAGGAAGGTCACTTGAGGTCAGGAGTTCGAGACCAGCCTGGCCAACATGGTGAAACCCTGTCTCTACCAAAACTACAAAAATTAGCCGGGCATGGTGGCGGGCGCCTGTAATCCCAGCTATTCAGGAGGCTGAGACAGGAGAACTGCTTGAACCTGGGAGGCGGAGATTGCAGTGAGCTCAGATCGTGCCACTGCACTCCCTCCCGGGCAACAAGAGCGATACTCCGTCTCAAAAAAAAAAAAAAAAAAAAAAGGAATATACCATGGAACCTGATACGATTGAGAACCTTAATTTAAAAAACACTGCATAAAAAAGGTAAATGCTGTCATTTCAGGTGATCAGTTGATAATAAAATGTCTACAAACCCAAACTGAAATCATGCAGTAATACATACATTAATTTTTGGATAATCATTAAAGACCATAGAAAATGTAACAGATCCTACTCTTCAAAATAATTGCTATTCAGTATTAAAATAAATAAAGTGAAAGGTGTTGGAAAGATAGAGGAATTGATAGGAATACCACAGAAGTGGAAGAATAGTATGAATATCCATAAATTAATTTATATTAGCAAGAAATAATAATGCTTACATCATCAGATCCAGTCTCAGAAGGCCTTGCTTTTTTGGGTGCAATGACAGGGGAAAGTGATCCTTCAAAGTCAAACTGAAAAGTAACCCCAAAAGAAAAGATAAAAATCATAAATGCATTCCTGTCAACTGATCAACTTAAAGGATTCAGAAATCAGTTCTGCCAATTATGAAAACTGAGAAAAGCCATCAAAACTCATTTTTTGATCTGGAAAGTCATTATTTAAATATCTTTCTTCCAGGTTACTGTAAAGATGAAATGAAATCATATTAATATATGCAAACATCTAGAACAGTGCCTGGGCTCCTAAGGACTGATTTTAATGGTAGTTTCCTTCCCTCTCCTACTTCTGTAACAACATAGATTACATCACATCTTTGGTAGAAAAAGAAACTTTAGGCATATCCACAATATACCAAGTCTCAAAGGATCAACCCAATATCAGTCAAATGTTAGAACTAAGCAAACATTTATTTACAGTCCACCTACAGTAAACTATCTAACAATTCTATGGCAGAGACAAGTAGCTACTCTGGAAAATCTTTTTTCTCCTCTTTCTACTGAACCCACAGCCAGACTACATACATACGTCTGCCTCCTTTGAAGTTAGGTGTGACCCTTTGACAGAGTTAATTATAAATGGAAGTCACTGTCATCACTTCCAGGACCAGTCCAGTCCTACCCCTGCTCCTCCAGGCTCTTTGCCCCTTCCACCTGACTGGAATGCAGTCAACCAACGGCAAGCTTTGAACCGAAGACAAAAGATCCTCCATCAACCTGGGTTCCTGAATAACTGTGTGGCCTGTTTATCTGCTAAGCCCTGTTATGTAAACAAGACAGACATTTTTATTGTGTTTGAGCCATTGTATCTTTTGAGGCCTTTCTATTACAATAGTGAGCCTATCTTTTAACTAGTACAACTACATCAAAGCAGTTTTCTGCAAGTTGCTCTTCTTCAATTTCCCCTGGCATAATCTTTGCTGCCCCAGCTACTTCACATGGGCATTGACCATCAACTAATAAACTGTAACTCTATAAATGGCAATGGCTATTTTCCTATGCTGAAAAACTTACATATTTATCAACTCACTCACCTAAACAGAGTTGATTTCTATATAAAAACTAAACATAGGTAGCAATAAAGTGATTTTTAAAACCGAATGTTATTGAGAGAGAAGATTTGCTTGTGAAGCATTCAAATAAAAAACAGCCCAACTCATATATATTATAAAAAACCTGGTAGTAACAGTGAAATCAAAGCAACAAATATAACAGTAACTATCTAACCTAAAACTTCAACCAAAATGTAACACACACAAAGTCCCACAGTCAAAAAGAATGTCCCTGCTATAATTATCAGATTCATAAGGCCTGGAGTTATGAGAAAGTAGAAACTGCCTGATAAGGATGGCTCTTTGTGCCATACATGGATCTGTTTAATCTTCACTCTTTCAATGTGTCTCAGGTTAGCCAACCCTGTTATATGCTCCTATGGACCCTTACCCTTCATCTATCATAACACATGTATCAAATATTACTTATTTGTTTCCCTCAAGACAGTCAATTCCAGAGGAACAATCTGTTTTGTTTGGGGTATATGTGAGAAACCTGGCATCATGCCTGGCCCACAGCAGGGATTCAATATTTATCTAATGAAAAAAAGAGCAGCCCAAAAGCCACAAAAAGTTAACCCCAAATGCAACTGTTCCTACAATGTACAGTCCAGTGCACTCATGTAACACATCAGCAAATTAAAGAAAGCACAAAGAAATGCCAAAAATTGTGTAACGAGTCATTGGCAGAAATTCTGTACTCCACCACATTATATATGTGAAAACAAAAAGAATAAATCTGAACAAAGCAAAATGAAAACCATTTGCCAATGAGGACCATTTCATCCTAAGCTTTGACTATGAGGACAAAAGATAGCAAGGGTTTAACCACGCAGTCCTATAAATAAATGGCAAAGCAACTTGGCCTCAAGAATTGATTTCCTTATTCCTTCCTTTATAATTATCATGCAATAAGTAAGTCAAAGAGTCATGTCCTTCTTTGCAAAGGAAAAAATGGGTAGGTGCTCAGTCCTCCCCAAAACATGGAAACGCGAGGGGGCATAGGTTCTCTGCCAGAGACTAGGACACAACAATCTGTACTCATCAACAAGTTCCAAGGACAATGATACACAAAACTACAGAAAGCTGACATGCTTTTTCATAATGTAGAAATCCAGTTTCTATGAGGCTTAATCTTTTCACATGTAATAAAGAACAGAAAAATTGAGGATAATGTCACTTGGATACAATTGTTTAAAATTAGAAAAGAAGGCCAGGAGCCATGGTTCACACCTGTAATCCTAGCACTTTGGGAGGCCAAGGTGGGAGGATCACTTGAGCTCAGGAGTTTGAAACCAGCATAGCCCACATGGCAAAACCCCGTCTCTACTAAAAATACAGAAATTAGCCAGGCGTGGAAGTGCATGCCTGTAATCCCAGCTACTCGGGAGGCTGAGGCACAAGAATCGCTCCAACTTAGGAGGCAGAGGTTGTAGTGAGCCAGGATAGCGCCACTGCATTCCAGCCTAGATGACAGAGCAAAACCCCGTCTTAAAAAAGGAAAGAAAGGAAAAGAAAATTGTCCCTATTTTCCCATAAGATTTTTCTCAAGGAAATTGCAGACAGCAATTCCTTCATGTGCTGAAATAGACACAAACTCTTAAAAACAGTATCTCACTCAGATGGAAAATGGCATTCACTCAACAAATGTTCACTGAGTATCCTTCTATGCCAGGCAATACCACAGGTCCTGGAGAGAGAGAGTAGTAAACAAAACTAAGCAAAAATCTTTGCCTTCCTAGAATTTACATTCCAGTTGGGGGAGGAGGGACACAAAACAAAATAAGTAAAACATACAGTATATTATATTTAATTAAGTGAGAAGAAAGAAAAACAGGTAAATGGCACTAAAGGTATGGAGGCAGGTGTAATTCTATAGAGAGAGACAGGACAGGCAGCACTGAGGTGACATCTGAATAAAGACCTAAGCACGTCTTGTCGGAGGGAAAGCATTCTCCATAGAGGTAATGGCAAGTGCAAACACTCAGAGGCAGAAACATGCTGGCAGTGCTCAGGGAACAGAGCTGAGGCCAATGTGGCTGGGATGATGCGTGCAAAGCATTAAGAAATAAGACCAGGAAGGTGAGCAAGGGCTAGGTCACATGGCATCTTATAAGCCTATGGCCTTTACTCTGAGTGACATGGGAAGTCACTGGGGGATTCTACGCAGAGGCGTGACGAACGCAACCTGACGTTATCAAACAGGATTACTTTGGCCACTGGTCTGAGAAGAGACTGGAACATAGACAAAGGACATGAAATATGAATAAAAAAATAAGAACTATAAATAACTGATGAAAATTTGAAAAAACCATTCCCATTTACTTATAGAGAAATAAGATAAAATTTCTCAGGAAGCTGGCAAAGGTTCACCACACCACAAATAAACACTGTGGTGAAATGGGCGCTTTTAAATGATGCTAGTAAGAATGGCACCGGCGAACCCCTTTCCAAACATTACTTGACCTCACAGTTTCTCTTTTAAGATTCAATTCTTGGGAAGTAACTAGAGATGTGGTTAAAGAGTCGTGAAAAAGGATGTTTATAAATTACAATAACGAAAACAACAGATTCACAAGGTACAATTATTAGCTATTGGTTAATTATGATAAAACTACACTATGAAGAAATGATGGAGATATTTTAGAAAAAATTTTTAATGATAACGGGAAATTTTCATTGGTATTTTTATATAGAAGGTAACATCAAAAATATTTAGAGTGGTTATCTCTGAGTAGTATAATTATTTTCTTAATTCCTCCATTTTCCACATTTTCCTTTCATAATTAAGACAAAAAACAAGTTTTAAAAATGGATTTGCTGGCCAGGCACGGTGGCTCACACCTGTAATCCCAGCACTTTGGGAGGCTGAGACGGGCAGATCACGAGGTCAGGAGATCGAGACCATCCTGGCTAACATGGTGAAACCCCATCTCTACTAAAAATACAAAAAATTAGCCGGGCGTGGTGGCGGGCGCCTGTAGTCCCAGCTACTCGGGAGGCTGAGGCAGGAAAATGGCATGAACCCAGGAGGCAGAGCCTGTAGTGAGCTGAGATTGTGCCATTGCACTCCAGCCTAGGCGACAGAGCAACATTCTGTCTCAAAAAAAAAAAAAAAAAAAAAGGATTTGGTGTGCAAGGCTAAAACATATAGAATGGTACAGCTGAGCTACCTGGAAAAGGGGTAATTACAGTCTAGAGTGATTTTTTTTCAGAGTGACCCAGGCAAAGTTGTCCTGGGAGTGATCTCCAAAGCTAGAAGGAGATCACCAATACTGAGGACACCACTCTGCTGATTTTGTAAATAATCTAATAAGGGCCTGTAAGGATGTTACTGGGGGAAGAGGGTGAGAGGTAAGGCCTTATACCATTAACAGAGTAGATGGTATAAGTACAGAGTAGATGGTATAGTACTCGGCTAAAGTACTTTAAATCTCCCTCAAATCAAACCTTCCTCTTCACATCCCAAGCAATATGTGTGTAAAAAGACAATCTTATCTTCAGAAAACAATGTTAAACAAGGAGTCAGAAGATGCAGTCTAGTCATAGTTTTTAAAAAATCACAGATCTGTGATTTCTTTGTGATCCAGTTTCTTCATCAATAAAACCAAGACTATCACTAATCCTAGCATAACTTGCAGTCATTTTACAAAGGTGAAATGAGAAATAGTCATATATGCTTTAACATTCTAAAGCTCAGTAATTATAATCACTAGTAAAATGTTAATATTAAATATTAAGTGAGATTTGATTTACAACATATAGATACAATAAACCTTAATATCATTCTATTATTTTGAATATGGTACGCCTATTATGTAGTCTCAATGTTATATTACCAATTATGCAACCATTACATTAACAGAATAACTCATAAAGAAAACAATTGTATTTACTTACATTTCTAGTCCATGCTAAGCGGTCTGTGTTAAAACCCATCACGTTCATGAGACAAGTCACAAATAAATTCCACTCTGAGTGATAACTGGGTCCTACTGGAGCACTGTGGACATTGTACCACTTGACAAGCATCTGAACTGCTATTTCTTTTGGCAGGATAAACTTAATTGTTTGCAAACATGTTTGTACTATTAAAAGCAAAGATTAATTTTAGTATTCTTACTCTGCATGCATTTCTTTTCCCCTTTCAATAACCAAGTTTTTTTAACTTCTACTATGTAAAGGCCAATTATTATGAAAAGAAAACTGTCATTAAAGAGCCAATGAGATGCAAGCATTACCTAACCCATCATCTGAAACTAAAACCAACTACTGAATTCAACAGGGCTTGAAAGGGGTCTGAAGACAGCTTTTTTTTTTTTTTTTTGAGAGAGTGTCTCGCTCTGTTGCCCAGGCTGGAGTGCTGTGGTGCGGTCTTGGCACACTGCAACTTCTGCCTCCTGAGTTCAAGCGATTCTCCTGCCTCAGCCACCAAGTAGCCGGGATTACAGGCGTCTGCCACTGCCCCAGGCTAATTTTTGTATTTTTAGTAGAGACCATGTTTCACCATGTTGGCCAGGCTGGTCTCAAACTCCTGACCTCATGATCCACCCGCCTTGGCCTCCCAAAGCACTGGGATTACAGGTGTGAGCCACTGTGCCCAGCCAAGGACAGCTTTTTGATCATTAATTTTGCATCAGAAATAAAGTAACCAAATAGCCCAGTTTGCCAGAGACAGTCCTGATTTACATCCATTGCCCAGCAATTACTAACTGCTCCCCTTCACTCTTAAAGATGTTCTAGCTCGGGTGACAAATTAAAAGTCACTATGGGCCAGGCATGGTGACTCACGCCTGTAATCTAAGCACTTTGCGAGGTCAAGGTGGGTGGATCACCTGAGGTCAGGAGTTCGAAACCAGCCTGACCAACATGGTGAAACCCCATTTCTACTAAAAATACAAAAATTAGTTGGGCATTGTGGCAGGCACCTGTAATCCCAGCTACTCAGGAGGCTGAGGCAGGAGAATCACCTGAACCCGGGAGGCAGAGGTTGCAGTGAGCCAAGATCACGCCATTGCACTCCAGCCTGGATGACTACAGCGAAACTGTCTCAAAAAAAAAAAAATCACTATGAAAAACATACAACTTCTATGTTTATACATTTATATAAAATACTGCCTACATACTTCAGTAAATATATAATATTCAATATATGCATCCACGAATAGCAATGCTTAGCTAGCATTACATGATGTTCTAAATGACTTAACATGCCTATTAACCAAAGCTTTATAACTTTATTTCTGATGTCATTCAGTTTCTAAAATGTTTCACATGCTCTCTGCCTTAAAAGGGTTAAGAGTTGATACCACATAATTTACAACACTCTTTTTTTGGTAAGCGGAAACAGGGTCTTCCTCTGTCCCCAGGCTGGAGTGCAGTGGTGCAATTATAACTCACTGTCACCTCCAGCTCCTGGGCTCAAGTGGTCCACCAGCTCAAGCTTCCCAAGTAGCAAGGACTACAGATGCATGCCAGCATGCCTGGCTGATTTTATTTTTCTTTCTGTAGAGACCGAGTCTCACTATGTTGTCCAAGCTGGTCTCAAACTCCTGGCCTCAAGCAATCCCCTCACCTCAGCCTTCCAAAGGGAGGGGATTACAAGCACGAGCCCACCACACCTGGCCTTATACCATTCTCAGTGGCTCCACATCAATTATAGCACTACACTGTCATACAATGATCCCCTCAGAGTGGCCAGGGCTACCACTGTGAAGAGACCCAAATCTGCTTTTAGTAGTAAATAATCCCAAACTGCAATGTTTGTGTACTCACATATCCTCTCTTCCAGGATTCTTTTTTCCCTTTCCACTGTCATGCCACTGGGCCCACCCTCATCAGCATATCCTCTATCCCGTCAGTTTGCAATATGCAAACTCACACAGCACAGGTTGGAAGCAAATAATATTAAAATACCATATAACCAAGTATGTCATAGCTGAATCCAAAATAAGTGTAAACCCAATGCTGCATGAGTGTGTGAGAACCCTTTGCAGGTAAAGTACATAAACTTATGTGCATAAACTATGGGGCTTCTATTTGGCTATAAAGGGGTAAGATTTTTTGTTTTTATTTATTTAATTTCTTCCATTATTATTTGTTTTTATATATTTTGCTTAGGCTTATCATACTTCTAGGTACCTGGCCTTGTGATTACGAAATACCTTTTAGAAGGCAAGGAATCTCTATAGCAACTTGGAATACCATTTACCAGCAGTGAAGATTCCTAAAATGAAAAAGTCATTCTTGTCTACAATCTGCCAATGTCCTGCTTTGGCAGTTAGATTGGAAACCAAGATATGTCATGAACTTCCTTATATCATACAGGCATTCTTTTCTTAACCTACGTTTGTTGGCAAATCCCTTCAATTCTAACATTTTGTTTACTAAGCTATGTTCAGAAATATTCTCCTCTAGCATTTTTGAAATTGCATCTCAGGAATAATTCAAGCAGAATCCAATATTTATTAAGATAATTCTGATTGTATTTTGACAATAATATTAAGTTTTATTCAATTAAGGCAATTAGGTTACTTTCACAATTTATCTGAAAATTGAGATATTTATTTTAAAATTAAAAACATCATTAATACATTACAGAAAAAAAACATTAAATATGCCAAGAATTATCTTAGTCGCTTAGGCTTCCAGTTTCCCAGATGTTCTTGCAAGAGGCATGTCCATATATATACATATAAATATATATATATATATATTTTTTTTTTTTCTTTTGAGACTGAGTCTCACTCTATCACCTAGGCTGGAGTGCAGTGGCACGATCTTGGCTCACTGCAACCTCCGCATTCTGGGTTCAAGCAATTCTCCTGCCTCAGACTCCCAAGTAGCTGAGATTACAGAAGTGCACCACCACACCCCGCTGATTTTTGTATTTTCAGTAGAGAAAGGGTTTCACCACGTTGGCCAGGCTGGTCTCGAACTACCGACCTCAAGCGATCCACCTGCCTCAGTCTCACAAAATGTTGGGATTACAGGTGTGAGCCACCATGCCCAGCAGGCATGTCCATATATTATTATACTGCACAATATTCCCCAACAGAAGAACCTCAGGGAACAGAACTAGCACATCCTTCACCTGTACTCCAGCCTTAGAGCACACATAGAGTGGACATCACAAAGCACTCCCTAGCTCTTTAAAGCTCCTCTACAAAGCTAAGAACTTGATCCAGTGGCTTCAAAAATGGCAAAATAATGTTTAAAACCCCAGTTATTAATGTAAATCACAATTACTTCATGTCTTATAAATGAAACTTCTCAATCGTACCTAACTCAGAGGTGGCAATTTCAGGAACAGTGATCCTAACCATGGAGCCATTACTCAGTTCCTAGATGGAAACAAATGAGAAAGTAAATAAAATCTGTGCATTCTAAGTCTTTGAATGTCTTAAAAATAGCTGGTACAAGACTTTGCCCATCAAAGCAATAAAATAAATGAAAAACAATTTTCAAACAGAAATGAACACTTCCAAACTTCAGAAACTTTAAATGTAATTATTTGCAAAATGTTTTCCAAAATGCTTGTTTTAATAAAAAGTGTCTAATCTTTATACAGTGAGTCACCATCATCAAAAGGACATTTAGTTTTAATGAGATGACAAAAAATCACATCAATATACAATTCAACTGACTCAACAAGCTTTTGTTTTCATGAAGTTTTTAATAATACAGAAACTGTAGAAAACAAGCAGAATTACTGTATAGTAAAAAGTAAAATAGTGCCAAAAAATGACACAATAGATTTTTTTAAATCATGAGAAATGTTTGTTGTCATTTTTCAGACAAAATTCTGTATTCTGTCAAATTTGAAATGCCAGCCCACTTCTTGGAAAGCTACCAAATGTTTGTACTTACTAGGGTGACTCTGTTATGGACAGGATCTCTGATAGAATCAATGTAAGTTCCAAGCTGTTGGAAAGTACAATCCTCATTATAGAGAGAATCATGAAGTTTTGAAGAATCCCTCAGTTCTGGAACTGGGAACAACAGAAGAACCTGTAAAAAGTCGTAAATACAATACAAATGAATTCTTTTCTGAGAAATTAAGGACAAGGAAATTTAACTATTTCTTTTTTGCATATGGTCTAACAAACAATAATATGTAATGATTCAAAAACATTCTGCTCCAAGCCAAGCATGGTGGTGCACACCTGTATAGTCCCAGCTACTCAGAAGACTGAGACAGGAGAATCACTTAAGCCTAGGAATTTGAGGCTGTAGTGAGCCTGTGAATAGTCACTGCCCTCCAGCCTGGATGACACGGCAAGACCCAGGCTCTTTAAAACATTTTGTTCCAGATACAATGAAGTACCAGCAAACCAAGGTCCTCACAGGAAACAGCTAGAAAAGGTAGGTAAAAGGAAAACATCTGATTGGTGGCTGTGGAAAAGCTGTGGAAGCAACCTGGACTTGAGGGACCAAGATCTAGGAGAGAAGGCAACTGCAGGGAAAGGGGCCAACGTTCTTGGAGAACCTTGCTTTTTCTGCTCTGGCCATCTGCAAATTTTGGTGGTAAGAGGAACATATGGAAAGGCTGACAATATGCAAGGAAAGTCATAGCTAAGAGGGAGAGAAGCCAGCAGCACTGTTAGCAACCTTACAGGGCTAAAGACTAAACTGTGAGCCGGGGCACGCGGTGGCTCATGCCTATAATCCCAGCACTTTGGGAGGCTGAGGTGGGCGGATCACTTGAGGTCAAGAGTTCAAGACCAGCCTGGCCAACATAGTGAAACCCCACCTCTACTAAAAATACAAAAATTAGCCAGGTGTGGTGGTGGGTGCCTGTAGTCCCAGCTATTTGGGAGGCTGAGGCAGGAGAATCGCTTGAACCCAGGAGGTGGAGGTTGCAGTACGGTGAGATTGCCCCACTTTACTCCAGTCTAGATGACAGGGCAAGACTCCATCTCAAAAAAAAAAAACTAAACTGTGATTTGAGGCAGCTGAGGAACTAAGAGCCCAGGAAGAAAGGACAGTAATGAAAAAGCCAACAAATGAGACCAGTATTTAGTGGTATTTCCCCTATAGGCAATTATTTATTCAAAAATACAGGAACAGCATTTATTTGCTTAACTGCAGATATGCAAACAAAAAATTTAAATGGTCTTAGTTACTATCTACATGCAGATGCTTCCAATCTTAATCTCTAGTCATGACCACTGATCCTTTTTTGATTCCTTTAATTCAATTTATATATCTCTAAGTGAATATCTTGTCAACACTGACAATCAAGACTAAGATGTATTTATTCTATTCCAGATTCTACTCTAAAAGTCACCAGGAAAAATTCAGCTCCACTGGTCCTGGCTCTAAGTCTACTAGCAAAATCTTCCAGAGAAGTGGAAAAGCCATCAGCCAATGTGTCAGACTATCATTTCCATGACCTTACACCTATCAAAAAGGCACTATTACCAGGCTTATAGAATTCTAAAAAAGCTGGAAACCATTTTCCATTATAAAAGAAATTCTTCCAAATCACACAAAACACTCTGACACTTCTCCAGTTCCCCCTTTGAATGTTCTGCAAATGTGCTGGTTTGAAGGAAAAAAAATTCAATGTGGCACATGTTTAAAAATATAATGAAGACATAGACATTATCAAATACAACAGATAGCACTAACCTTCCCTTTGAACCGTCCCTAAACATCCACACTCACATGTCCTTTAAATACAAACCACTTTTCTCCAGGCTTCCTAACTTGGTAAATCCAGGTACCTTCCCAGGTCGTTCAGAGAATTCGGAGCCTCCTTCCACATCACCTTTCCCCAGCCCAGCAGCACAAAACCAATCAGCTGACAAACTCATTTCCACCTCTCAAGGCCTCTCATATTAATCCCTCCTTTCCACACATATACTGCCCTAGCTCAGACCCTCTTCATACTTCTTAAACTGACACAGACAACCTCACTTGGAGGCTAACTGGTCTCCTTATCTTGAATCCCAAAATACACCTATTTACAACACAGATCCAAAACCTCATAACTCCTTTCTCAAAATCCTGTAATGCCCTGTCAATTGCATTCAGAAGAAAACCACATTTTCATCCTTTCTCCCTTTAAGAGCACATTAGTAAGAGTGTAAATCCCAGTTCTACCACTTAGTAGGTTTATTTCATTTGTAACCTCTATCTCATTTGTAAAAAAAAGAATCATAGTACTATCTTCTCAATAAAGCTGTTCTAAGGAAATAATTATTACTAATAAAGCACTGAGAACAATGCCTAGCACATAGAAAATGCTCAAAAAAGGTTATTATTGTTATCCAATCCCTATCCTGCCTCACCCTACAGACTACTTGTACTTTTATAAGTATTTATTCTACAGATTTATTCAGTCCTTATGACTAGGAGATGAAGATACAAATATCCATTAAAAAATGTTCCGCATTATCTGGCCTTCCTGCCTGTGCCTGTGGAGTTTCTCCTTGCCCTGAATGCTCCTTTCTACCTACAGATATCCTACTCATCCCCAAGGTCCAAACGAAGACTGACATGTCTCTCAGAGATGAGGCTTTGATTTTGCCATGTCCTCCCATTGGATGTTATCTTCCCATCAGTCAATCAACGATGGTACTCTCTTTTCCACATTACTGAGTCATGAGTCTTTCTTAAATTCTAATTTCTTATGCAGACAGTACATCAACTCCACACAATTGTGAGATCCCTAGATGGAAAAGAATGTATCATTTCCATCTCTCCAGCACCTTCAAAAAGTATCACATACATCACAAGGGAGGTCAGTGTATGTTAACTGAATCACTTCTGTTTGAAAACATTTATTCTGCAAGTAGAAACTAAAATTAAGTTAACCATGGAAAGAACTAATGTTTAACCAAACTTCTTTAAAAAATGTTAACTTTTTGGCAGCACCTAGTCCTTTTCTTACCTCGTCCAATGATCCAAGGAGTTTACTAAGAGGCTTTGGAGCACTAACGCCATCAAGTGAAGTACTGGGCTGAGGCATTGTGTTGGACATCGTCAGAGAGGGAGCTGGCAGTCCAGGAATAAAAACCTTTCCCACCTTTAAGCAATAAAAACATGTGAAAAAAAAATACTGCCTTTAATGCATCACATCCTTAAATAAAATGTTAAGGAATATAAACATATATTTCTTTTGATATTTCTAAGTTTATGCTCACCAAACACAGCAAAGAAACAATTCAAATGTCAATAATCTATCCAATTCCACTATCCAACTGCAAATATGTTGGTATAATTTCTTTTTTTTTTTTTTTTGAGATAAGATCTCACTCTTTCCCTGTGGCTGGAGTACAGTGGCATGATCTCAGCTCACTGCAGCCTCAACCTACCAGGCTCAAGTGATCCTCCCACTTCAGCCTCCTGAGTAGCTGGAACTACAGGCACATGCCACTATGCCTGGTTAATTTTGTATTTTTTGGTAGAGACAGGGTTTCACCATGTTATCCAGGCTGGTCTTGAACTTCTGGGCTGAAGCCATCTGCCCACCTAGACCTCTCATACCTTGGTATAATTTCTCTTGGTTGGATTCCTTCTCTTCATTACTGAAGACTTTTTTGGAAGGCAAGGAGAGGAATGTTAATATAGTCAGCACATTATACAAAAATCTGTACACTATGTACTCTTCTACCTTATTGGTCATAAAGACAGTAAGAACAGCGGCCGGGTGCGGTGGCCCACGCCTGTAATCCTAACACTTTGGGAAGCCGAGGCAGGCGGATCACAAGGTCAGGAGTTCAAGAGCATCCTGCCTAACACAGTGAAACCCCATCTCTACTAAAAATTAAAAAAAAAAAAATTAGCCGGGCATGGTGGCAGGCACCTGTAGTCCCAGCTACTCTGAGGCTGAGGCAGGAGAATGGTGTGAACCCAGCAGGCGGAACTTGCAGTGAGCCGAGATCGCGCCACTGCACTCCAGCCCGGGCAACAAGAATGAAACTCTGTCTCAAAAAAAAAAAAAAAAAAAAAGAATGAGTTGACAATCCGTGCTAACCACTCCTTATTTTGGCTATCTGTAGGGTACTTAGCAAAAACAGAAATTCACATCTGTACAGGCTGAAAACTTGATAAGACTAAAAAGGAGATGCTCAGAACTAAAATGAGATCTTAACAATGTACATATTCATGTTAACACACTACTCAACAGCTAACAAAATAACAGAAGTTGCCCCAATAAAATCCTTAGGCTTAAAAAACAAAAATAACAGTGAGAACTAATTATGCATAATTTTTTAAAAGCTATCTCAAACCCCTAATTTACGAAAAGATGGAATAAGCACATACCATGCTATTCCCTCATTAATCACCAAAAAGAAAAAAAAAACTGAATAAAATTTATAATGCAACTAACAGAAGATTCTGAAAAAGTGAAGAAAAGAAGACAAACTGGCTAGTAACCTGAGACCCAGGAATGACCTAATGATGAATTCCCTAGGTTTCTGGTTTTTTTGACTCCTTACATAACCAGGCCTCAGGCTTTCAAAGTGCCTATAACGCAGACATGCCAACGTTCACAGACAAAACACGCCCTAAGAAAATCTTACTCTTTCCAGCCAAAGTGTTGGGAAAAGAATGACCGACCAGGACAGAAACTTTTCACTATATCTGCCCTACTCTTTACAAACACTATGAAAAAAGTCATGGCCGTCCCTTCCTCCTCATCAGGAGGCACAGTGAAAATTTTGAATGTCCCTCGTCTATTTGAGGAAGTCCCCTTCTATTTCTAGATGCTGAGGTTTTTTTTCATCACGGATATTTGATTTTATCAAATGATTTCTCTGCATCTATTTAGATCCTTGGTCAGCAAACCATGTTCCATGACCAAATCTGGCTTGTATCCTGTTTTTGTACAGTCTGTGAGCTAAGAATAGGTTTTATGTACTTAAATGGTTAAGGAAAAAAAAAAACAGAAGACAAATATGTAATAGAGACTGCATGTGGCCCATAGAGGCTAAGTTACTTGTCTGAACTCCTACATAAAAAGTTTGCCAGGCTGGATGTGGTGGCTCATGTCTGTAATATCCCAGCACTTTGGGAGGCTGAGGTGGGAGGATCGCTTGAGTCAGGAGGTCATGGGTGCAGTGAGCTGTGATGCCACCACTGCACTCCAGCCTGAGTAACAGAACGAGATACTGTATCAAAAAAAAGAAGAGAAAAGAAATTGCCAAGGATGGAGAGGACATGAACAACATTATCAACAAAATGGAATGAACTGACATTTACAAAATACTCAAGGGTGCCTTCTTGGTGATATAGCCCTTTAAAGCCTCTCTTTGTTCCTGGTCATTTTTTTTTCCCCACTTTATAGCAACTCCAGCTATCTTTTGATTACTGTTTGCATAATATATCTTCTTTCCATCCTTTAACTTACCTATGTCATTATATTTGAAGAACACTTCTTATAACCAACATATATAGTTGGGCTATATTTTCTAATCTCTTCTGCTAGTCTCTGTTATTTGTGTTAGACCATTGTATTTAATTAGTGGCCTAGTGGGATTTAAATCTGCCATTTAATGTTTGTTTTCTGTATGTTCCCACTTTCTTTGCTCATCCAGAAGAAGCAACTCTTCCAGTTTGATCATAAGATTTTGGCAATTCTGTTCAAGTTTGGCAATTCTGTTCATGTTTAATCATAAGATCTTGGCAATTTAGTCACATCTTCAGTCTCTACTTCTAATTCTAATTCTCTTGCTATTTCCACCACATCTGCAGTGACTTCCTCCACTAAAGTTTTGAGCCCCTCAAAGTCACCCATGAGGGTTGGAATCAAGTTCTTCCAAATTCCTGTTTATGTTGATATTTTGTCCTGATTTCCCAGGTAGATGTCCTCAAACTTCGTGCTTAAATAAGCCCTTCAAAGTTCTATTCTAATCCCTTTGATTATTTCAGGTTGACGGACTAGAGGTTGCTGTGTGTGTATGTGTATCACTATGTTGTCACCTGACAAATGACAAGGTTCATAAGTTTAGAAAAGAGAGCTTTATTTCTCATAAAGGGTTGCAGCCTGCAGGTGGCCATTCTGACAGGTCAGGAAGCATGGACTGTAGCCAGCAGCCCTTCAAGGGAGGGGTTAAGGAAACAGCAATTTACTCTGAGTGGGTTGGCCATGTATATATATTCAACAGGTTATAAGAGGAGCTATGAATATTCATGAAAAGGAAGCACAGGCATAGTAGGCTAATGAATGCAACATGCATCCTATGTTCAACTTTAGATGTTGTATTAGTCAGGGCTTTCCAGACGGACAGAACTAATAGGATATATGTATATATGAAAGGAAGTTTATCAGGGGGAACTGGCTCACATGATCACAAGGTGAAGTCCCATGATAGGCCATCTGCAAGCTAAGGAAGAAGGAAGCCAGTAGTGGCTCAGTCCCAGTCCAAAAGCCTCAAAAGCAGGGCAGCCAACAGTGCAGTTTTCAGTCTGTGGCCAAAGGCCCAAGAGCCCCCAGCAAACCACTCACGTAAGCCCAAGAGTCCAAAGGCCGAGGAACCTGGAGTCTGATGTCCAAGGGCAGGAGGAGTGGAAGGAAGCATCCAGCCTGGGAGGAAGGTGAAAGCCAGAAGGCGCAGCAAGCCAGCTTAGCCCACTTTCTTCCACCTGCTTCCTTCTAGCCGAGATGGTAGCCGATTGAATGGTGCCCACCCACATTAAGGGTTGGTCTTCCTCTCCCAGTCCACTGTCTCAAATGTCAATCTCCTCTGGCAACATAGACACAGTGAGAAACAAGACTTTACCAGCCATCTAGGCATCCTTCAATCCAATCAAGTTGACACCTAATATTAACTGTCACAGATGGTTAACCTAATGTATTACAATTAGGCCCTATACATCAAAAGGTGAAGCAGAGGACATGAAGGCCCTCTGTGTGCAACCTCTGTAGACTGGCCAGAACCACTCCTGTGGGCAGTGGTTTCTTATCAGGAAGGAACGTTGGTCAGTGTTGAAATTACAAAATGGAGAACCAGTCACATGGTTGGTTGAAGTTAGCAGTGGAGCATATTTTTTTTTTGGCGGGGGGGTGGGGGGCGGTACAGAGTCTCTTTTTGTTGCCCAGGCTGGAGTGCAGTGGTGCAATGACAGCTCTGCAGCCTCGGCCTCTATCTCCCCAGCTCAAGCAATCCTCCCACCTCGACGTCTCAAGTAGCTGAGACTACAGGCATGTACCATCATGCCCGGCTAATTTTTTTTTGAGACGGAGTTTTGCTCTTGTTGCCCAGGCTGGAGTGCAATGGCGTGATCTTGGCTCACTGCAACCTCTGACTCCTGGGTTCTAGTGATTCTCCTGTCTCAGCCTCCTGAGTAGCTGGGATTACAGGCACATGCCACCATGCCTGGCTAATTTTTGTATTTTTAGTAGAGACGGGGTTTCCTAATATTGGTCAGGCTGGTCTCAAACTCCTGACCTCAGGTGATCCACCTGCCTCAGCCTCCCAAAGTGCTGGGATTACAGGCATGAGCCATGTGCCTCGCCTTGCCCGGCTAATTTTTTTAAATTTTTTTTGTAGAGATGGGGTCTCACTATGTTGCCCAGGCTGATTTCAAACTCCTGGACTCAAGCAATGCTTCCCTGTCTCAGCCTCTCCAAGTGTTGGGATTACAGGCATGAGCCACTGAGCCTAGCCAGAGAATCTTTTTTCTGGTTTCCGGTTTTTGTTTAACCCTTAGGGAGGAAAGCCTAGTGGCAGTTAGCGAGGTGGGGTGGGGTAGTACAATGAGGTATGTCTAAAGTCCCATCCTGTCATGGCTAGAAACTTAGTTTTTATGTTTTCTCTGGGGTCCCCTTGGCCAAGATGGGATCTGTTCAGTTGGTTGGGGGGCTTAGTAATTTACTTTTATTTCCCAGTGTTCATGTCTGTGATTGTGAATGGGAGCTGCACATCAATGTGTTTGCACACACATTGTTGCATGTTTGCATGACACACAAGTTTGCATGTCTATTTAATGTTCTACACGTTCACAACCTAATTAATACTCATGGCTCAGCATTCACAGTGCAGAAGGAGCTTTCCTAACACTGGGGAAAGTAAAATTACAAGTTTGTTTACCCTGATAACAAAACCACTCTGAGTTTTTGTTTGAACCATGAATAAAACTGCACCAGGGTGAAATTTTGCATGTGGCTACTCCTTCTAGTCTCTTTTCCTTAGGACCCTGCAACCTAGAGTGTTGATTCTTCAGAGGGACCTTCAGTTCTAGAATGATCCACAGTATTAATAAACCTTTGAATGGCGTGGACTAGCTTCCACTTAGGATGTTACAAAGCTCATTGGGTCAGAGCCCTTGGGCTGGCAGGCCTGGTCACCTATTGGGGAAATGACCAGTTCTGAGCTTTTCAGGTTCGAGGGCAAATCAGCCACTTGGTGGTGGGAAGTTAAGGGGGTATGATTTGGGAAATATATATTTGGTCTTCATCCTGTTTCCTGAGATATAGCTTCGAAAATCTTTGGAATCTCCAAAGTGATAAGTCTTTTTGTATGCTACTAGGTTGACTGATGACTGGGGGTCCTGGATAGCTTCTGAATGGTGCTGGTCACAGAAAGACCAAGACAGGATGAGAGGGTTGGGACTAAAAATGTAAGCCCCACCCTCCAACCTCTAGGGAGGGGGAGGGGCAGAAGGTTGAGTTGATCACCGAATGGCCAATGATCTAATCAATCACGCCTAAGTAGTGAAGCCTCCATAAAAACCCAAAAGCAGGTGCGGTGGCTCACGCCTGTAATCCCAGCACTTTGGGAGGCTGAAGTGGGCGGATCACGAGGTCAGGAGCGTGAGACCAGCGTGGCCAACATAGTGAAACCCCATCTCTATTAAAAACACAAAAATTAGCCTGGCGTGGTGGAGTGTGCCTGTAGTCCCAGCTACTAGGGAGGCTGAGGCACGAGAATTGCTTGAACCTAGGAGGCAGTGGTTGCGGTGAGCCAAGAAGGCACCACTGCACTCCAGCCTGGGCAACAGAGCGAGACTCCAAACAAAACAAAACAAAACAAAAAACCCCAAAAGGACAGGGCTTGGAGAGCTTCTGGACAGCTGAACACATGGAGGTTCCTGGAAGGTGGCAGGCCAGGGAGGGTATGGAAGCTCCAAGCCTCTTCCCCCAAACCTCACCCCATGCATCTCTTCATCTATATCCTTTGTAGTATCCTTTATAATAAAGCAGTAAATGTAAGTAAGTTTTTCCTTGAATTCTGTGAGCCACTATAGCAAATTAATTAAACCCAAGGAGGTGGGCTTAAGAACTCCAATTTCTAACCACTTGGTCAGAAGCACAGGTAAAACGACATGGGGCTTGTGGTTGGCATCAGAAATGGGAGATAGTCTTGTGGGACTGAGCCCTCAGCCTGTGGGATCTGACACTTTCTCAGGTAAGTAGTGTCAGAATTGAATTTAAGGCTGGGCGTGATAGCTTATGCCTGTAATCCCAGCACTCTGGGAGGCCGAGGTGGGTGGATCACTTGAGGTCAGGAGTTCAAGACCAGCCTGGCCAACATGGTGAAACCCCGTCTCTACTAAAAATACAAAAATTAGCCAGGCATGGTGGCAGGCACCTGTAATCCCAGCTACTCGGGAGGCTGAGGCATGACAATCACTTGAACCCAGGAGGTGGAGGTTGCAGTGAGCTGAGATCGCGCCACTGCACTCCAGCCTGGGTGATAGAGAGATACTCAGTATCAAAAACAAACAAACAAGGCCGGGTGCGGTGGCTCAAGCCTGTAATCCCAGCACTTTGGGAGGCCGAGGCGGGCGGATCACAAGGTCAGGAGATCGAGACCATCCTGGCTAACATGGTGAAACCCCGTCTCTACTAAAAATACAAAAAAATCAGCTGGGCGTGGTGGCGGGCGCCTGTAGTCCCAGCTACTCGGGAGGCTGAGGCAGGAGAATGGCATGAACCCGGGAGGCGGATCTTGCAGTGAGCCGAGATCGCGCCACTACACTCCAGCCTGGGCGAGAGAGCAAGACTCTGTCTCAAAAAAACAAACAAACAAAAACAAAAACGAAAAACCCCAAAGAATTGAATTTAATTAGCGAACACTCAGCTGGTGTCACCTCCTGGAGGATTGACATGTGGGGAAAAACTCCCATACATCTGAGGTCACAGAAATATTTCATGCTGTGAGAGTACAGGGAAAACAGAGTTTGTTTTCCTTTATGTTCTCAGAGGCTATTCCAAAAGGCAGGCAGAGCATCTCCCTACCCCCCACCTCCTTATTCCAGCTCCAGGGTTGCTTCTCACCATTCCTGCCTTAAGGACAACCCAAGCAGAGGCATCCTGCCACCGTTTAGTCACCTTATACCCAATGTACACAGACACTTGTATCTGTATCCTATGAATCAGGGGACCCAGGAGGTGGGTCCCGCTCTACCTGAATCAGAACTAGCAGCAACACTGGCCAATTCTGCTCTAGACACCTACCTGGGAGGAAGAGAACTCTGTCAGCGGGTCAGGCAGCTTGAGCCACCTGTGGGACAAGGAAGCCAGAACTCAGCCCAGACACATGCCTGCCCAGCTCCCTGGACAAGGGCAGGAGCCATCCTTCCCTCCAGACCCTCCTTTTTCCACTGTACTTTAGCCTGGGCAACAGAGCGAGACTCCATCTCAAAAAAAAAAAAAAAAGAATTATTAATGTTGTTGGGTGTGGAGCCTTATGCCTGTAATCCCAGCACTTTGGGAGGCCAAGGCGGGAGGATTGCTTGAGGCCAGGAGTTCAGCACCAGCCTGGGCAACATGGTGACACCCCCATCTTTACAAAAAATGTTTAAAAATTAGTTGGGGGTGATGGTCTGTACCTGTAGTCCTAGCTACCTGGGAGGCTGAGGTGGGAGGATGACTTGAGGCCAGGAGCTGGAGGCAGCAGTGAACTATGATTTCAACACTGCACTCCAGCCTGGGCAACAGAGGGAGACCCTGTCTCAAACAAACAGAAAAGAATTCTTTTTTTTTTTTTTTTGAGTTAGACTCTTGCTCTGTCACCCAGGCTGGAGTGCAGTGGAGCGATCTCAGCTTACTGCAACCTCTGCTTCCCTGGTTCAAGTGATTCTCGTGCCTCAGCCTCTCAAATAGCCGGGATTACAGGCGTGTGCCACCATGCCTGGCTGATTTTTGTATTTTTAGTAGAGATGGGATTTCACCATGTTGGCCAGGCTGGTCTTGAACTCCTGACCTCAAGTGATCTGCCCGCCTTGGCCTCCCAAAGTACTGGGATTACAGGCAAGAGCCACCGTGCCCAGCCTGGAAAATATTTTTTTTTTTTTTTGAGATGGAGTCTCACTGTGTCACCCAGCCTGGAGTGCAATGGCGCGATCTTGGCTCGCTGCAACCTCTGCCTCCCGGGTTCAAGCCATTCTCCTGCCTCAGCCTCCTGACAAGCTAGGATTACAGGCACCCACCACCACACTCGTCTAATTTTTTTTTTTTTTTTCAGTATAGACGGAGTTTCACCACGTTGGCCAGGCTGGTCTCTAACTCCCGACCTCAGGTGATCCGCCTGCCTCGGCCTTCCAAAATGTTGGGATTACAGGTGTGAGCCACCGCGCCAGGCCAAGAATTCTTAGCTGATAAAAGACGGTTAACTATCGTAAGTGGTTCAAGAGGACTATAAGGCAGGGGCTGACAAACTTTTTCTGTAAAGGGCCAGATAGGTAATATTTTAGGCTTTGTAGGCAAGAGGCACAATCAAAGACATTAGGCAGGTCCTCATATAACAACACAGAAGCAAATGTCCACATTTTTTTAAACATGAAATTCAAAATAAAATAATGAGTACACGTTTTGGAATAACGTCCTATTAATGAAAAGAATGGGATCCATTTTGCTGGGATAACATTTTGCCTAGTTGAGGTTCCAATGTAAAATCTTCTCAGATCGAGGGCAGTAAAAAAGCTGGATTTGATCTGCAGGTGGTAGTGTGCCGGCCCTCCAAGCCCTATCTATGGGGTGGAGGGGTGGTGAACAAGGAACTGAGAAACTTGGAAGAGGGTCTGTCCCCTACAACTGAGATTCAGACCTCTGCAGAGAAAACCAGGTCACACAGTCCACCAAGGACAAAGAAATTTGTTAGAGGACACAGGACACGGACACGGACGAGGACGGATGGACACCGCCCGCCCCCCCCCCAAGAAAAGGGCCAACTTAGGCAAAGTTTTTCCACCTGCCACTTCACAATGACCCTCCAGCGCCCTCTACTGGCAGAGACTAGCATCAAGCCAGCTGGCAAACCAGAGGCGTCCTTTAAGGTCCTGTTTTGCAGAGCAAAAAGACTGCTTGGAGCTCAGAGGCAAATAATTCCGTAACTTGCACAGGGATATTCACAGTGAGGCAAATAAAATTTTCCCCAACTTGTTGCTTGTCTTTAAAAGTATTTATTAGAAAGCCGGGCGCAGTGGCTCACACCTGTAATCCCAGCGCTCTGGGAGACCAAGTCGGGTGGATCCCGAGGTCAGGAGTTTGGGACCAGCCTGACCAACGTGGTGAAACCCCGTCTCTACTAAAAATACAAAAATTTGCCGGTCATGGTGGTGGGCACCTGTAATCCCAGCTACTCAGGAGGCTGAGGCAGGAGAATCACTTGAACCCAGGAGGCGGGGGTTGCAGTGAGCCGAGATCGCACCATCGCACTCCAGCCTGGGCGACAGAGCAAAATGCCATCTCAACAACAAAAAGAAAAAAAAAGAAAAGAAAAAAAAAGAAGTTAGTCAACTGCAACCTGTTCCCCACCCACTCAGTTCTCTGATCCCAGAACCCACAGTTATCAGTGCATTGTGTATCTTTCAGAGCTGTTTGATGCACACATACAATGCTTTATTTTTAAAATTTCCATTTTACAAATTTTACAACAAAATCTTCCACTTTACACAAATTTAAAATATCTCGGCAGTTACATCTATTAATTTTTCTTTGATGGTTTCTGGCTTGTGTTTTATTTAGGAAGGCCATCCATACTTCAAGATTTAAAATACTTTTCCCATATTTTCTTTGAATATTTTTATATTTTAGTTTTTACACATATATCTGTAAACCATCTGGGTTTTAATATTTGAATAAGAGTGTGAGGTGCCGATTAGATTTTATTTTCTTCCAAGCAGGTGGCCATTTAACTGCTTCAGTGTTATCTAATCCATCCTTTCCAGTGGATTCAAATGATTTAATACTGGGGCCCCCAGTCCGCAGTCATCAGTAACAACTGCCGAGGATGGCTTCATCCCACAGGTCCCTCTCCTCTGGGCCTTCCCTGCCTGACCCCTTCTTCTCTCTCCCAGACCTTCTCACCTCTTTTGCGGCATCCCCACCCTGGTGATTCTTCTTGCTGCGTCTGGGCCTCTCTGCACTGCCTGGCGCCCCCTCGGCCTTCCTCCTGCCCCTGTTCCCTTTGTGTGAGTCTCCCTTCGCGCGGTGCTTCCTCTTGGGCTCTGCTTGCTCCTCCCCGGCCGCTCTTCGTCCTCCCACCTCCCCGTGCCTCCTCCTCAGGCCTCGGTCCCCACGGTCCGCCTGCTGGGCGCTGCCGCGGGGCTCCCAGAAGAGGCAACAGGAACCTTCCCTGCCGTGCGCCCCGCGGACGCCTGTGTTCTCTCCCTGCCCAGATGGGCTTGGAAGCCACCGGAGTTTGAAGAAATGGTCCTGATTATTTTGACTGTGGTTTACAGATTCCAGTCTTCGTGGCGCATAAGGAATTTCAGGCCAGGGAGGTACCCGGCTTTCCACGGTCCTCAGTCTTTCCAAGGAAGCGGGGAACACGTGGGGCCTCCAGAAGGGGAGTCCCTGCTGCTCCGGCCCCCGAGGCTCAGTGGGGCCCCTTTCTTGGCACGCGGAGTCCTCCGTCACCTTTGTAAAGCAAAGGGTTGGTTGCAATCCTCTGGCTTTCTGCTTTCTAATATAATCCTCCAGTTCATGTTGAAAAGAGTCAGAAGTCTTAGAATTTTCCATTATATTGATTACGGATGAATCTGTTAGGGAAAATGGGGGGAAGCTTTCTGTTAAATGTATTATTTTGCTATGATTTTTTTTGTGTGTCCTAAAAAAAAGATCAGACTCCAATTTCTAGGGGAGGTTATGTTATGTAATATACTGTAAGTACTACATAGTCACTGATGTTGAAAATATTTTTGACATAGACTGAGAATCATGAAATATAATGGACTAAGAAAATGAGCCTTAAAACACTGTGTACATTTGAGGATCTATATAAAATAAATAAATATAACACATATAGATAGGCATATGATTTATCAGTGGTTACCCCAGGTGTAGGGGGAATTTAGATAATTTTAGTCTTACTTAATTGTTCTGGATTTTTGCCAAAAATACTATCACTTGTGTGATAAAAAAAGAAAATTAAGTTGTTTCAAGAAAATAGACAAGCAACTAAATTAATCTAAAATCATTCATAAATTCTACAAAAACAGAACAAGCTAGTCCTGTGCTTATTATATGCCAAGAAAGAAATAATAGAGAGATAATTAAACATATTTCCAGGTCACTCACATTCCATCTATTTTAAATCTAATAGCTGAGGTGAAAAAACAGAGGAAGATGCTATTTATTGTGTTAAACTCCCAAACTATGATTATTCTTTCTTTCTTTTTTTTTTAACAAATGAAGAAACTGAGTCACAGAGAATTTGGGTTGCTTACTTAAGGTCACGCACAGCCAAAAAGTACAGGCAGGATTTAAACCCAGGGAGAGAGGGTTCAGAGCCTGCTTGCTCAGTCATACTCTGTAGCTCAGAATGCTTTTCATCTCTGAGATTGGTATCAACCTTATAGGTGTTGTGGGGACTAAGACAGTGACTACAACTGAAGCACTAGGGATGCAGCAAGTGGCCAGTGACTTGTAGCTATTAATGTTCTCATTAAGATGCAGGAATGAGGACAAGTAGCATTAAATATTTTACTAGCAGTCTTATTCTGAGAACTCGCCTCCATTTTAGTTTACTAATTTCTTTTTTCTTTCTTTTTTTTTTTTTTTGAGTCAGGGTCACTCAGGCTGGAGTGCAATGGCATGATCACGGCTCACTGAAGCCTCGAACTCCTGGGAGACACCCACTACTCGACACCTCACAGCCAGCACCATCAGCAGATCCTGCCAACTGCTCTATTTTCAAAACTCGGCCGGCGGGATGCGGTGGCTCACACCTGTAATCCCAGCACTTTGGGAGGCCGAGGCGGGCGGATCACCTGAGGTCAGGAGTTCGAGACCAGCCTGACCAACATGGAGAAACCCCGTCTCTACTAAATATACAAAATTAGCCGGGTGTGGTGGCACATGCCTGTAATCCCAGCTACTCGGGAGGCTGAGGCAGGAGAATCGCTTGAACCCGGGAGGTGGAGGTTGTGGTGAGCCGAGATCGTGCCATTGCACTCCAGCCTGGGCAAAAAGAGCGAAACTCCGTCTCAAAAAAAAACAAAAAACAAAAAACAAAAAACGAAAAACAAAAAAACTTGTCCAGAATCTGACCACTTCTACTTAAACTGCTCTTGTCTGGGCCAGGGTGCCACATGTCCCCTGGATCAGGGCAGTCACCCTTCACTGGTCTTCCAGCACCTGCTCAATGAGCCTATTTCCAAACCAGCTGCCAGGATAACCATTTTAATGTGATGTCATCCTGGCTATCTCAAAACCAGTAGAGAGCTCAAAATCCTTTGCTCAAAACCATCAGAGGGCCGGGGGCGGTGGCTCATGCCTGTTATCCCAGCATTTTGGGAGGCCAAGGTGGGCGGATCACCTGAGGTCAGGAGTTCAAGACCAGCCTGGCCAACATGGTGAAACTCCGTCTCTACTAAAAATACAAAAATTAGCCGGGTGTGGTGGCAGGCGCCTGTAATCCCAGCTACTCAGAAGGCTAAGGCAGGAGAATCGCTTGAACCCAGGAGGTGGAGGCGACAGAGCGAGACTCTGTCCCAAAACAAACAACAAAAAAAGCATTAGAGAGCTCCTCCATCCCTCCCTCAGAAGGAAGCCCAGATTCCCACGGTGCCTACAAGGCCTGACACTGTGGGTCACTCCCTGTCCTGAGGCCTCCAGTTTCTCTCTGACTACCATCCTCTTGCTCCTCCTGTCCAGCCACACTCGTCTCCCAGCTGGAAGGCAGCAGAGAAGCACACCCTGGCCTCAGGTCCTCCCCGTCCCTAACCCTGCAAAGCTCTTTACCTCTGCACCCACACTGGAAGCCCCCTTGCCTCCCTGGTCTTAGCTGGAAATGTCACCTTCTCAGAGTTTTGACGACCCTCCCCATGGGACACCCTCTGCCCCTTCCCTGCTTGATTTTCCTCCAGGACATCACCATTCCCTAATAGAGTGCTTTATGATACTGAGATATCTCGAGGGTTTTGAGACAGGGTCTTGCGCTGTTGCTCAGGCCGGAGTGCAGTGGCACAATCACAGCTCACTGCAGCCTTGACCTCCTGGGCTAAAGTAATCGATTACTCAATTACTCCCACCTCAGCCACCTGAGTATCTGGGACCACAGGCGCACGTGACCACGCCCGGTTCATTTTTTGTATTTTTAGTAGAGATGGGGTTTTGCCATGTTGCCCAGGCTGGTCTGGATCTGCTGGACTCAAGCAATCCAACCATTTTGGCTTCCCAAAGTGCTGGGATTACAGGCGTGAGCCACTGCGCCCAGCAGAGCTGTTAAGATGCTGGTTCTCTTGGCTGGGTGTGGTGGCTCACCCCTGAAATCCCAGCACTCTGGGAGGCCGAGGTGGGAGGATCACTGAAGGTCGGCATTTAAGACCAGCCTGGCCAACATGGTGAAACCTCATCTCTACTAAAAATACAAAAATTAGCTGGGCATGGTAGTACGCCTGTAGTCCCAGCTACTTGGGAGGCTCAGGCAGGAGAATCACTTGAACCTGGGAGGCGGAGGTTGCAGTGACCCAAAATGGCGACACTGCACTCCAGCCTGGGCAACAGAGGGAGACTCCGCCTCATGGGTAGAGATTCCTTGACTGCTGTTTCCTCAACATGTCAAATTGTGCTTGACGTAGATGCTTAATAAATACTTGCTGAATGAATACATGAGTGAAGAAAGGCCCTGACCTCTCCCAACATGTTTAGTTCCACTAAGAACCCCAGATCTAAGGAGTCCTACCCACTTCAGCTGTGCGTCCCACACAGCCTCCTCTCATTTGCCCCTCAGCCGTCTTCCATAACAACTAGTCATCCAAACGCCGCCAAACGTCTGGTTCACCTCTTACCTGGAATCACTGCCATGCATTAGTTTACTGAGAGAAATTTCCACAAAACAGATGGAACCCTCACACCCTTTAGACTACAGTCGTCGGGGCCCCACAGAGTGCAGAGGCCCACCTGGTTAGATAGAACTCAGAAGCAAATTAGGAGCTCTAGCACGGCGCGGGGAGCTTTACTCTGAGCTCCAGGAGAATTCCAGCTTCCTCGCTGCTTACCAGTCCCAGGAAGCAGGAAGCCACACCCCCTCCTTCGCCCCCGCCTCTTTGGTTTTAGGCCTTCTCTTCCCACAGCTCCATTCTCAGGAGAAACAAATTCAATTACAGACACTAAAGTGATTTAGGAACGCCCAAGTTTATCGCCTTGGAACGCAATCAGCCTATAACCTAATCAGTATTATTAAATCCTGTCTGAAGAGTTTATCTTGAAAAAAATTTAATAAAACACTAATTCTTAATTTGTGAAATATAGCATACATGCAGAAGTGTGCACGAAACGAAAATCTACAGCACAATGGTTTATCACTAAGACAAAGTCCATCCAACCACCATTCAGGTCAGCAAACAGAACCGAGCCACATGCCAGATGTGTCTCCTTTCCCTCCTAACCTTAACTGTCCCTTTGTCCCCCACTAGCCTGTGTTTTGGGGGGAAATCTCATCGTTGCTTTTCTGGATAGTTTATTACTTACATGCAAGACTCGAAATACTATAGTTTTGCCTGTTTTTTGGAATGTACTTTATGTAAATGGAATTGTACACTGCACTTTTTTGTACAGTGTATTTCTGAATTTTACCACGTTCATTTTCACAGCTGTATGGTATTCTATTCTTGAAAAAAAGTATATATATTTCATATATTCACACATATATGTGTGTGCATTATGTATATATGTGTGTGTATATAGATAGAGGGATATTAACAGATTATTGATCTGTTCAAGGGCATTGTGACTGTCCCAAGTCCAGGCCATTTTAAACAACACTGTCATGAATATTCTTGTATATACTTCCTGATATACATAAACTTGCATTACTACAGAGTGTTTACCTAGAAGTGGGATTTCTGTGCTACACAACATGGTGTATTCAGCTTTATCAGACATAGTAATACCAAAGGTTTTTCAAAAGAGGTTAATACCAATTTTTTTTTTTTGAGACAGAATTTCACTCTTGTTGCCCAGGCTGGAGTGCAGTGGCGTGATCTCAGCTCACTGCAGCCTCGGCCTCCCGGGTTCAAGCAGTTCTCCTCCTCAGCCTCCGGAGTAGCTGGGATTACAGGTGCCCACCACCATGCCTGGCTTATTTTTTGTATTTATTTTATTTATTTATTTTTTTGAGACGAAGTCTTGCTGTGTCACCCAGGCTGGAGTGCAGGGGTGTGATCTCAGCTCACTGCAACCTCTGCCTCCCAGGTTCAAGCGATTCTTCTGCCTCAGCCTCCTGAGTAGCTGGGACTACAGGCACACGCCACCATACCTGGCTAATTTTTGTATTTTTGGTAGAGATGTGGTTTCACCATATTGGCCAGGCTGGTCTCGAACTCCTGACCTCGTGATCCGCCCGCCTCGGACTCCCAAAGTGCTGGGATTACAGGCGTGAGCCACCGCGCCCACCCAGTTAATATCAATTTACATCCTTCCCCCAGCAGTGTTTGGGGGCTTCACATTCTTTCCAACACTTGTAATTGTCAAACCTTGAATTCCATATCTAATTGTGATTTTAATCAACATTTCCTGTTTACAATGGTACTGAGTACCTTCTTTATGTCTATTGGCCAGTGTTTTTCTCTTTTGTGCCACGGGGGTCCAGGTCTCTAGAACATTCTTGTGTTGGGTCGTTTGCATTTTTTGCTTATCTGTCTTCTAAGAATGAGCCCTCTGCTGGCTCTGTGTGTTGTGGAGATCTCCCACTGTTTGCCTTGTATTTTCATTCCCTGGGTGGTGGTATCTTTTGATGGACACTTAATGTTGTCCAACATAGGAATCAAACTTAACAGGCATAGTGCTTTTTTTTTGTTTTGTTTTTTTTGAGATGGAGTCTCCCTCTGTCACCCAGGCTGGAGTGCAGTGGCTCTATCTCGGCTCACTGCAACCTCTGCCTCCCGAGAGGGATAGTGCTTTTTAATGTCATGTTTAAGATATATTTTCCTAATCCTAGACCAGGGTTTCTCCACCTGGCACTGATGACATTTTGGGTCAGATGATTCTTTGTTGAGAGGGGCTGTCCTGTGCATTATAGGATGTTTAGCAGCATCCGTGGCCTCTACCCACTAGATAACAGTAGCAACTCCCTTCCAACCTAGTTGTGACAACCAAAAATGTCATCAGACATTGCCAGAAGTCCCCATGTTTCAGAAACATTGCCATAGATCATAAACATATTCTCATATGACGCCTTATAAAAGCTTCATAGTGGGCCAGTGCGGTGGCTCACGCCTGTAATCCCAGCACTTTGGGAGGCCGAGGTGGGCGGATCACTTGAGATCAGGAATTCAAGATCAGCCTAGCCAGCATGGCTAAGCCCCATCTCTACTAAAAATAAAAAAATTAGCTGGGCATGGTGGTGCACGCCTGTAGTCCCAGCTACTCGGAAGGCTGAGGTAGGAGAATCGCTTGAACCCAGGAGACGGAGGTTGCAGTGAGCCAAGATCATGCCACTGCACGTGAGCCTGGATGACAGAGCGAGACTCTGTCTCAAAAAAATAAAAAAAATTTAAAAAAAAGCTTCATGGTGGCTGGGTGAGGTGGCTTACACCTGTAATCCCAACACTTTGGGAGGCCAAGGAGGGTGGACTGCTTGAGGCCAGGAGTTCCAGACCAGCCTTGCCAACATGGCAAAACCCCATCATCTCCACTAAAAATATAAAAATTAGCTGCGCATGATAGTGCACACCTGTGATTCCAGTTACATGGGAGGCTGAGGCAGGAGAATCGCTTGAACCCAGGAGGTGGAGGTTGCAGTGAGCTGAGATTGTACCACTGCACTCCAGCCTGGGTGACAGAGCAAGACTCTGTCTCAAAAAAATAAAATAAGTAAATACAAAGTAAAAGCTTCATAGATATATAGTTCAACTGGAATTGATTTTTGTGCAAGCCGTGAGGCAGGCATCCTACTTCATTTGTTTGAAGATATGGTGGGGGGAACCCAAGGGGTTTCTGTTTTTTCTGTTCTCTCACTCAACAATCAACACAGAAGACTTCTGTGACCAAATGTATGGAGTTTTCCCCCACACACCAAGCAAACAGTCAATTCTGCAGCTGACACCAGTGGGTGCACTCTAATCTAATTCACTTCTCACACTCTCAACCTGGAGATGGCGTCAGGTCCCACAGGTTGAGGACTCAGTCCCCAAAACTGCCCCTGCCCCTGACTTTGGAGGCCAGTTGCAAGCCCCAGGCTGTTTTACTTGTGCTGCTGATCAACCAGCTATGAATTAGGGTTCCCAGGACCTCCTCCTTAGGTTCAGTTAATTTGCCAGAGTGGCTCACAGAACTCAGGGAAACACTTACTTATGGTTGCTAGTTTATTATAAAATATATTAGAAAGGATACCAATGAACACTAGATGAAGAGCTGCAGAGGGTGAGATATGAGGGAAGGGGGGGGAACTTCCAGGTCCTTCCCAAGCTCCTCCCCATGTTCCACCCTCTAGGAACCTCCATTCGGCTGTCCACAAGCTCATCTGAACCCTGTCCTTTTGGGTTTTTATGGAGGCTTCACTACATAGGCATGATTGATTAAACCACTGGCCATTGGTGATCAACTTAGCCTTCAGCCCCTGTCCCCTCCCTGGAGGTTGGGGGTCAGAGCACAAAAATCCCACCCCTCTAATCCTGCCTTGGTCTTTCTTGTGACTAGCTCCCTTCTGAAGCTACCTAGGGGTTGCCAGCCATCAATCAACTCATTAGCACACAAAAATATATCACTTTGGAGAGTCTAAGGATTTTAGGAGTTGTATGCCAGGAAATGGGAAGACCAAATATGTATCTCACAATATCACATACCATACTTTTCCAACACCATTTACTGAAGTTTGTCTCCCTCACTGCTCTGAAGTTCTTTGTTATTTTATTTTATTTTATTTTTTTCTTATGTTGGACTGGTAACAGGCAGACCTTACCAGGTTTGAGAAAGGCTCATCCCACACATGAGTGTGAAAATCCAATCATCATGCTTATGAACTGCAAACAGATCTGCCTTTGTTATTCAACAAATGTCCATTTGTTCATAGTTCTGCATCTGGTTTCTGTATTCTGTCATATCTTTGCACCAGTACTCCTCTGTCTTCATTACTGTAGCTTCATGAGAAGTCTTTATATTTGCTAGAGCAAGTCATCTCCCTATTCCTGTCTTTCCGTATTCAAGTATGTGTTGATTTCTCTTGGCATTTTGTTTATATATAAACTTTAAATCTGGCTCATCAATTTCTGTAAACACTTGCAGTTTTGCTTGGGGCTACACCGAATCTGTAGGTTAATTTGAGGAGAACTGACATCTTTCCAGCGTTACAACTTTCAGTATATGAATATGGCTTACGGCTCCATTTATATAAGCATTCTTTATTCTTTTGTGTTCCCAGAAGATGGACTTTGTCCACCAAACTTCTCCTAGAATCCTGAAAGGCCACACGTTTTAAGCCCTAGGCCCAATGTCACATATAATGCCTGTGCAATTTGTGGGTTTGCTTATTTATGTCAGATGTAATTTCGCTTTTAAATGTTTTATTTATTTTTTTGAGAAAGGGTCTCACTCTCACCCAGGCTGGAGTGCAGTAGCGCGATCACGGCTCTCTGAAGCCTTGACTTCCCGGGCTCCACTGATCCTTCCACCTTAGCCTCCTCAGTAGCTAGGACCACAGGTGTGTGCCACAGGCATGCACACATGCACAGGTGTGTGCAGTAGAGACAGATTTTCACCATGTTGCCCAGGCTGGTCTCAGAACTCCTGAGCTCAAGTGATCCTCCTGCCTTGGCTTCCCAAAGTACTGGGATTACAGGTATGAGCCACAGCACCCAGCTAGGTGTGATTTCAAGTACTGAAGAAGCTTACAAAGATAAGGACTTTATTAAAAGAATATTTGCAGGATGGGTGTAGTGGCTCACTCCTGTAATCCCAGCACTTTGGGAAGCCCAAGGTGGGCAGATCACCTGAGGTCAGGAGTTCGAGACCAGCCTGGAAACATGGCGAAACCCCATCTCAACTAAAAATGCAAAAATTAGCCAGGCATGGTGGCATGCGCCTGTAATCCCAGCTACTTGAGAGACTGAGGCAAGTGATTCTCTTGCATCCAGGAGGTGGAGGTTGCAGTGAGCTGAGATCGCGCCACTGCTCTCCAGCCTGGGCGACAGAGTGAGACTCTGTCTCAAAAAAAAGAGAGAGGAAAAAAAAAAAAGGCTGGGCACGGTGGCTCACGCCTGTAATCCCAGCACTTTGGGAGGCCGAGGCAGGCAGATCACAAGGTCAGGAGATCGAGACCATCCTGACTGACACGGTGAAACCCCATCTGTACTAAAAATACAAAAAAATTAGCCTGGCGTGGTGGCGGGCACCTGTAGTCCCAGCTACTCGGGAGGCTGAGGCAGGAGAATAGCGTGAACCCAGGAGGCGGAGCTTGCAGTGAGCCAAGATCGCGCCACTGCACTCCAGCCTGGGCGACAGAGCAAGACTCCTTGTCAAAAAAAAAAAAAAAAAAATTGCAATGTGAAGAAATTTGGGAGAAAGGAAGATAAAGTGGGAGAAGAAACAAAATGGAGGCCCCTGCAAGTCCAGGCTGTGTAGCTGCCCAGTCTTGGTGAGATTATTGTCACCATTGAGCAGGTAGGCACAGATTTCACCTTTGGGCAGCCCTGAATGTCAGGCTCAGCACCATGAAATTTCACACTTTATTGTGGGCTCCCTAATGTTGCGCTCTGATTATTTGATTCAAGTAACATATATGGGCATGGTACTGGCACATTTCATCTTCAAATAACCCTTGCTGAGGCAAATGGGTTTTTTTTTTTTAGTTCCATTTTAAGATGAAAAGTAAAGTTTAAAGAGGTTAAGTGACCTGCCCTTAGCCACCTATAGAAAATAGCATGTTCAAACCCATCTTCTGATTCCAAGGCCAATGCCTGCCCTCCTTCCATTCTACCTCCCCACAGTGTGTGGGATTTCTGCTCTTGCTGTTTTATAAGCTCTAGAGACTTGGAAGATATCTAATGTACAGAAGGCAGATGCTAGTTATTATCAGACAAGCTGAAGTGAAAGCAGGAAAGGGCTCACTTCTTTTCTTTCTTTCTTTCTTTTCTTTTCTTTTCTTTTTTTGAGATGGAGTCTCACTCTGTAGCCCAGGCTGGAGTGCAGTGGTGCAATCTCGGCTCACTGCAACCTCTGCCTCCAGGGTTCAAGTGATTCTCCTGCCTCAGCCTCTCGAGTAGCTGGGACTACAGGCATGCACCACCATGCCCAGCTAATTTTTGTATTTTCAGTAGAGACATGATTTCACCATGTTGGCCAGGCTGGTCTTGAACTCCTGACCTCAGGTGATCCACCCGCCTCTGCCTCCCAAAGTGCTGGCATTACAGGCCTGAGCCACTGAGCTGGGCCAGGAGTCACTTAATGATGGCATTGCCAAGGGCTGTAGATGCTGAAATTTATCAAAAAGGGATATTCTTGTTGCTGTGATGGACAAGGGCTGCCCCACCCAGACTCCTTAAGGCTCTTCCAGCCCTGAAATAAACCTTGGTGTGGAGCATTTATATGCTAAACAGATCACTTTCTTGCTTACTTTATCCATTATTTCCATGGCTCTCTCTTGTCCCTAAGCTGCTCCTATGTCTACGGTTTCACCCTGGAGGGCCAAAAGTTCCAATAACCAAGTAAAGCCCATGCTTGCTTAGCCCACAAAGGGGAACAAGTACTGCATACTTCCCATTTCAACATCTCTTTTGGGGGTACCAGGGTATAAAACTCCCTTGTCCTGCTTTTATTATTTATTTATTTATTTTTGAGAAAAGGTCTGCTTCTGTCACCCAGGCTGGAGTTCAGTGGAGCTATAATGGCTCACTGCAGCTTCAACCTCCCTAGGCTCAAGTGATCCTTCTACCTCAGCCTCCCAAGTAGCTGGGACTACAGGCGTACACCACCATATCCGGCTAAGTTTTTGTATTTCTTTCTAGAGACAGGGTTTTGCCATGTTGTCCAGGCTGGTTTCGAACTCCTGGGCTCAAGTGCTCTGTCCACCTCAGCCTCCCAAAATGCTAGGATTACAGGCTTGAGCCACCATGCCTGTCCTGTCCTGGTTTATAACAGATGAGGTGAGGCTGCTATGCAACTTTTATTTTGAAAAAGAACTATGCAGTTAGATTTCCCTGACCTTTCCTCAATGAGCAACTCATTTCCCCATCTTCCTTTAATCTTGTCATAACGTACCCAAGGATGATATAAACCCACCTCCACCAACAGTAGAAGAAAGACTCAAAAACACCACACCTTTACCAATCAATGGCTGTGTCCTCAAGCCCTTAGGAGTAAATAAGTTTTGCAAATGAAATTTTATTTTACCTATAGAAAGACTAAAGATTTGTAATCAAAAATGCAATTTATTGCTTCTACCCAAGATCAAGGGTAGTATCTGTGCTTATTATGTAATATCTGACACATCCACTTCCTGAGAACAAAATAATAAGTGGGTTTTAGGAGCAGAAGAACAGTGCTCCAGGTAACTGATGACTCCAGTATGGCTCTATCCCTCATGCCCTCCGTTTTAATATGAAACCTGCCTTTTTCCCTTTTATTTATTTATTTATTTTTTACTTTTATTTTTTGAGGCGGAGTCTCCCTTTGTCACCCTGGCTGGAGTGCAGTGGTGGATCTCTGCTCACTGCACCCTCTGCCTCCAGGGCTTAAGTGTTTCTCCTGCCTCAGCCTCCGGTGTAACTGGGATTACAGGCCGGGTGTAACTGGGATTACAGGCGTGCACCACCACGCCCCAGCTAATTGTTGTATTTTCAGTAGAGACTGAGTTTCAACATGTTGGCCAGGCTGGTCTCGAATTCTTGACCTCAGGGTATCTGCCCACCTCTGCCTCCCAAAGTGCTGGCATTACAGGCGTGAGCCACCGCACCTGGCCTTTCCTTATTTATTTTATTTTTTTGAGACAAGGTCTCTCTGTCGCCCAGGCTGGAGTGCAGTGGCTTGATCTCAGCTCACTGCAACCTCCACCTCCCAGGTTCAAGCAATTCTCCTGCCTCAGCCTCCCGAGTAGCTGGGATTACAGGCACCCGCCACTACGCCCGGCTAATTTTTGTATTTTTAGTAGAGATGGGATTTCACCATGTGGACCAGGCTGGTATTTTTATTTTTTTTTTTTATTGAGACAGAGTCTCGCTCTGTTGCCCAGGCTGGAGTGCAGTCGCGGGATCTTGGATCACTGCAACCTCCACCTCCCAGGTTCAAGCGATTGTTCTTTGCTGAGATTACAGGCACCCACCATCATGCCCAGCTAATTTCTGTATTTTTAGTAGAGACAGGGTTTCACCATGTTGGCCAGGCTAGTCTCAAACGCCTGACCTCAGGCGATCTGCCCGACTCGGCCTCCCAAAGTGCTGGGATTACAGGCGTGAGCCACCACGCCCGGCCTCCTTTTTATCTTTGTTATTTTTTGAGACAGGGTCTTGCTTTGTCATCCAGGCTGGAGTGCAGTGGCACAATCATGGCTCCTTGACCTCCTGGATTCATGCGATCCTCCCACTTCAGCTTCTTGGGTAGCTGGGACTACAGGCATGAGCCACCATGCCTAGCTAATTAAAAACATTTTTTTTTTGGTAGAGTGCCAGGTGCAGTGGCTCATACCTGTAATCCCAGCACTTTGGGGTTGGGGGTGAGGATCGCTTGATCCCAAAGCCCAAATCCCAGGAGTCTGAGACTAGTCTGGGTAACGCGGGGGAAACACCCCTCTCTACCAAACAAAAACAAAAACCATATATACATATGAAAACAAAAAAATACACACTAGCCCGTTGTTATGGCACGTGTCTGCTGAGAGGCTGATGTGGATGTTCGAACCCAGGAGTCCAAAGATGCAGTGAGTAAGCCAGGATCGCACTATCTCAAAAGACTGAGTCTCGCCATATTTGCTCAGGCTGATCTTGAACTCGTGGGCTCAAGCCATTTTCTTTCAAAAAGAGCTGGGATTGCGTGTGTCAGCCACCTCGTTTTGGAAAATTTAATCAAAGTTGTAGACCCCTGTTTCTTAAACTGCTAGCATACCTGTTTTTTCTTCTTTAGCCATATTGCTGTGAAATTGGAAGCAACCTTCTGAGGTTTCCAAAATTACAAACCTGTTTTTGTCACTAATGGTTAGCAGGTGCACCGTTTCTGGAAGTACTGCAATACCAAATCGATGCGTAGACTAGATAGAGTAAACTCTTACTCCAACTCCCCGTTCCAAAACTGCGTTTAATATAGCGTTCATCAAACAGAAGAACATACCAGATATTAAACTGATAAGAACACACACTACACTCAATCATTAACCAAACAGCAAAAAAGAGATACCAGTTACCCGGGGCCTCCCACGTCCTCCCTTCTTTCATCCACCTTAAGGTCACGGTGAGAAACCTCACCTTCGGTAAACATCTCACCTGCTTTCTGATGTAAATATTATATTGAAAACATAGGCCCTTTGAGACATTTTGTCCGCTCCTTGACTCTTAGTGACTTCGAGCTTTGTCGCCCCTTTTCCTTGGTCGCGAGGGCCGTTCATTTGCATGTCCCACCCGCTCTGCGCCCGGGAGGCGTGGCCACCAAGGGGCCGGGCCCTGCACAGCGCCCTGGGGAAGCTGGTTTGAAAGCTCTGGAGCGACCCCAATGCCGGGTAAAGGACAAGATTTGCCCAGACGGAAGGGAATTTGGGGTGAAGTGGCCGTAAAAGTGTGGGACGAAACTGTTTCGGGCAGAGCGGTGGGAACTCACCTGAGGAAAGCATGGGGGAGGAGTCACTAATAAGAATGAGTGGCAGGGACAGGGCGGCCTTGTAACGCCCTCGGTGTTGGAAGGGAAGACCGTACAGCGCGATGGGGACCAGGGCGGCGGGCCGCAGCCAGGGTGTGGGTGGGCGACGGTCAAGGTGCCTTGAAGCGGATTCTGTCCTCGGGAGCTGCGGTTCTTCCTCCTCCGCCCTCACCGGCGGGCGACCTTAGGCAGGGCGTGAAATGCAACGGGAGCCCTGGAGGGAGGGTGAAGCCGCGCGTGCAGGAGGAACCTCCTTTTGGCGAGTTCAGGCCCCGCAGCTGCGGAGGTGGGGGACCCTGTGTGGCAGCCTGCTGAGAGGCTGCGTGCTCCGCGCGGTTGGAGGGGGGAACCTCCAGCCCACCTCCTCTTTTTCAGCCGAGAAACCGCTAGTTACCCCCTTTCTTATGCGACCAAGATTGTAATAACCCTGTCACCTTTCACGGCCCTCCGGGTCTGCGCCCATCCTCCTCTGAGGATTCGCTCATCCACCCCGAGGCCTGTTTTCCTCACTTGTTGTCCCTCTGGCAGACCCTAGGCCCCTTGGAGTCCAGCCACCATCTATCTGCCCGCTGTTTCCACCCACCACACTCCCTCCCCAGTTCTATCCCAGCTCTTTAAACGGTTGGAGTTCAAACCTCAGACCATGACAGCACACGGGCCTGGACTCCGGTATGGCCCTGGACAAGTTCCTTAATCTCTCTGAGCCTCAGCTTTGTTCCGTGTGAAGCAGCGGTAACATTGTTATTAGAAGCCTCCCGGCCCCAGCACACCGACGTACATATAAGTGGATATCCATCCTGCCTGTGAGGGGTCGTCTTTTCTTTGGGTTGTTTGTTGTCCACAGAGGTCCATACTTTATGTTCCTGGAGGCACCAGCGGAGTCACTGATGCACCCCTGCATCCAGCATGTTTAAGGAAGACAGTCTGGGGAGGGCAGGGAAGAGCCTAGAGGGTCCCCTAATGATTAGGGCTGTGATGGGGATGTTACTGGAAAAGGGTCCCTATCCAGACCCCAAGAGAGGGTTCTTGGACCTCCTGCAAGAAGGAATTTGGGGCAAGTCCATAAAGTGAAAGCAAGCTTATTAAGAAAGTAAAGGAATAAAAGAATGGTTACTCCATAGGCAGAGCAGCGGCATGAGCTGCTCGACTGACTATACTTACAGTTATTTCTTGATCATCTGCTAAACAAAGGGTGGATTATTCATGAGTTTTCCGGGAAAGCCAATTCCTGCAACTGAGGGTTCCTCCCCTTTTTAGACACTATAGGGTAACTTCCTGATGTTGCCATGGCATTTGTAGACTGTCACGGCAGTGGCAGGAGTGTCATTTAGCATGGAAATGCATTATAATTAGCATAGAATGAGCAGTGAGGATGACCAGAGGTCACTTTCATCACCATCTTGGTTTTGGCCAGCTCCTTTACTGCATCCTGTTTTATCAGCAAGGTCTTTGTGACCTGTATCTTGTGCGGACTTTCTATCTCATCCTGACTTAGAATGCCTAAGCTAGTGGGAATGCAGCCTCGCAGCTCTCAGCCTTATTTTACCCAGCGCCTATTCAAGATGGAATCGCTCTAGTTCGATCGCCTCTGACAGGGGCAGTGCACTTTCACATCTTGGCCTTTGCTGCCTTATCCTTCCAGATCTTTCAGATGCTTGCCCTCTGGCATTCTAGGATAGGAAGGCTGCTTCCAAAGTGACGCAGGATTTTTCTCAATTTTCCAACTGCAGACTTCTGGCTGGTGATGCCCCTGCCCATGCCTAGCTCTGCCCCAGGCAGGAGGTGCCCTGCCCACTTGGGCTTGCACTCTGGTGGGGATCCTGCAGCCACCGAGACTGCATGCTCAGCCCCAGTAGGAGGGGGTGTGTGATCAAGTGAGTGCCTCATCTTGCCAGCCACTCCAAGTGCTGGCACAGGAGTGGGGTCCCTTTGGGGCCTGCAGCTGGATCAGGCCTGTCAGAAGCGACTCCTGGGGTGAACTCTGGCATCCAGATGAAGGGAACGTGGTGGCACCCAAACAGGAAAGCGCTCGACTCTGAAGCCCCAGAGGGGGTGTTACAGCCATGCTAACAGCTGTTTTAGTCCCACTGTCAGCAGCCTGACAAACAGGGGCATGTTAACAACAAACGGGGGGTGTGTTAACAACTCTGTCAGTCCTGTTGCCTGCTCCTGCTGGAGGCTCCCTGGCTGGCCTGGCCCTGCACTGCTGCTCATGGCAAGGGGTTGCCACTGGGCACAGACGGTGGGGGAGATGTGGAGGGCTATGGTGTTACTGCCTTTTTCATACCCTTTGCTGACAATGGAAGGGTGAAAAGGGCGGAGAAGAGTTTTATGAAGCGATGAAACAGCTCTCAGCTGAGAGGGGATGCAAGGGTGGTCCCTGACCTGAAGTCGGGTGGTCTCTCTCTCAGTGTGGCTGGGTCTGGGGCTTTTATGGGCTCAGAAGTGGGGACTGCATGCTGATTGGTTTACAAGTATGCAAAAAAGGCTAAAACAAAGGCACCATTCAAAGGTGGCATGACAGTGTAGAAAACCAATTAGGGAAGGGTAGATACATGTAAAGTAAGTGAAGGGTGGGGATCAGTCAGAGGAAAGTGCACCAACAGGAAGAGAGGTTCTCAGTTCAGTCCATGGATTTATCCAAGACTTGTAGCTTAGCTTTCCGACTTTAAACTGCCTTTGGTTTGAAAGTTGGGTTTCATTGGGGACATGCCACTATCTGCCTAGGGGTTTGTCTGCCTCCTGCCACTATTAAAAGTACTAAATCAGTGCATCTAGCCCGAGGGCTGCCCCTAGTCCAGCCAGCAGAGGTTTTTGTTTTGTTTTGTTTTTCTTTTAATTAAAATTTTAATTAAAAGGGACTAATATAGAGGGTTTTTAAAAAATTACCATATGTGTTGAGTATTTATGCTATGCCAAGCACTTCCCATATATTTTCTCATTTAATCCTCAAAATAGCAAGGGTGATTGCCTTATCTCCATCCTATAGATGAGAAAGCTGAGACTCAGAGAAATTAAGAAACTCATATGAGGTCATGTTGTAGGTAAGTTAGTTTTTGCTGCATCATAAACCACCCAACTATTTATGATTTCAAACAGGTAATACTTGTTTCTCAACAACTGGTTGGGGGCTGGATGGCCAAGGGGCCTCATATTTTAGGGACAGGAGGAGCTCATCGTCAGCTGGGTGATGGGGATGCGACTGCAAGTCTCATCCAGGAGAGCTTGAACATAGGGGTTGAGTTGCAAAAGCAGCATAAGGGCAGCAACACAAGAACTTTCCATGTCTCACTTATGTCATATTTGCTATTCTCCCATTGGCCAAAGCAGGTCACAAAGGCATGGCCAGCCGGTATGGAAGGGGACAACCAAAGGGGTGGACACAGGGAGTGAGAATTGCTGCTATTTTCCCCAACAAAGAATCTACCATCCATAGCTTCTAAGTGTACAACTGGAAATCAAAACTAAGTTTGTCTTACTTGAAAGTTCAAAACTGTCTTACAGCTACTGCCTGGGGTCTAGGAATCCAGAACATTCCACACATTGCCTAAGTCAACAACCTGTTGCACACACACACCTGCAACTGTTTTGCAAAAGTATGTGGATCTGGTTGTCATTGATAAAATGCAAATTAATTTAGATGTATTATTCAATTCATAGTATAATTTTGTTGTATTTTCAAATCAACAGATATTTACGTAATTTCGAAGCAGCTCTTCACAAAATATTCATCAGTTACAGAAGGAAGTCACTTCACAGTGGAAAAATCTGGCAGGTGCCACCTTAATCAAGTAACCAAAATGAACATCATCAGTAATAGGACAAATTGCAATCGTGTGCCTCCTGATAGTCTAGCAAGAAGAACACAGCATCACTTCTATGATGCTCCTGCCAATAATATATAATTGGAATCTAATCCTAAAGCAACAAATTCAAATTAAGGAAAATTCTACAAAATAATTGGCCTGTAATAGAAGTGTTAAAGGTCATGAAAGTTAAGGAAAGACTGAAGAACTGTTCCAGACTGAAGATGAAAGAGATGTGAGAAATAAGTGCAGTGGTGATTCTGAACTGGATCCTGACTTGGCAAAACTTGAATAGGTCTGTTGGTTGGATGGTAGAAATATAGTAATGTTGATTTCCTGATTTTTGCTAGCTATATTACAATTTTATTGGATTCAGTCCTTGTTTACAGAAGACACACAGTATGTAGGGGTTATAAGAAGTCAGCTCAGGAACTTTCAAATCATTTAGCAAAACAAAAGTTCTTCGTACTTTAATTCCAAGACTTCTATAAATTTGAGATTATTTTTAAAATACTTAAAAAAAACTCCTTTAAAGTCTCTCAACATGCTGTCCTATTAATAATAGATTTCTAAATTTTTTATTTTTATCAACGTTTTGTGTGCCCATAGTTTGAAGTATTAAATTGTTTTTATTTATTAAGGAGATCGAGACCATCCCGGCTATAGCGGTGAAACCCCGTCTCTACTAAAAATACAAAAAATTAGCCGGGCGTAGTGGCGGGCGCCTGTAGTCCCAGCTACTTGGGAGGCTGAGGCAGGAGAATGGCGTGAACCCGGGAGGCGGAGCTTGCAGTGAGCCGAGATCCCGCCACTGCACTCCAGCCTGGGCGACAGAGCGAGACTCCGTCTCAAAAAAAAAAAAAAAAAAAAAAAAAAAAAAAAAAAAAAACATTTTTTAATGTCACTCCATTCAGAGGTAATGAAGTGTTAATTTTTTTTGTTTGTTTTTGCTTTTGTTTTTTTTTTTTTTTTGAGACAGTCTCGCTCTGTCACCCAGGCTGGAGTGCAATGGTGCAATCTCGGCTCACTGCATCCTCTATCTCCCCGGTTCAAGCAATTCTCCTGCCTCAGCCTCCCGAGTAGCTGGGATTACAGGCGCCCGGCACCATGCCCAGCTAATTTTTGTATTTTTAGTAGAGACAGGGTTTCACCATGTTAGTCAGGCTGGTCTCGAACCCCTGACCTCAGGTGATCCAACCGCTTTGGCCTCCCAAAGTGCTGGGATTACAGGCATGAGCCACTTCACCTGGCCTGAAGTGTTAGTTTTATGTCTTTTTTTTTTTTTTTTAAAGAAAAGTAGTTCCCTTATCTCCACTTTCCCCCTTTCCAGCACCTCAGAGGCAACTGCTTTCAGCTGATTACTTTGACAGGCGTGACCTTATTTCCACATAATTGCTTATGTCATGATTTTTTTCTTTTTGAGATAGGTTCTTGCTCTGGGGCCCAGGAGGGAGCGCAGTGGCGCTCTTGTAGCTCACTACAACCTTGAACTCCTGGACTCAGATAATCCTCTGGCCTCAGTCTCCTGAGTAGCTGGGACTACAGGTACATGCTACCATGCCTGGCTAATTTATTTTCACAGAGACAAGGTCTCACTATGTTGCTTGGGCTGATCTCTAACTTCTAGGCTCAAGTGATCCTCCCGCCTCGGCCTCCCAAAGTGTTGGAATACAGGTATTGAAATCAAGTTTAGCCTAAAGCTGCCTCCTTATATATTTAAGTTTGGCCTAAAGGTTTGTCTGTATATCGTGACAAGTGGAGGTGTAAACAGACTACACTTGTGCCAATCACTGAGTTTTGGCCAATCAAATGTAGCCAACTGTTCAAACCACGTTCAGATAAGGCAAATGCCAAGCTGTAGCCAAGCCCAGCTGTTTCTGTACCTCACTTCCATTTTCTGTCCGCAAACCTTCCACCGTGTGACTGCGCTGGAGTGTCCGAGCCTACTCTGGCTGGGAAGGCTGCCCAATTCTTGAACTGTTTATTGCTCAATTAAACTCCTTTAAATTTAATTTGGCTGAAGTTTTTCTTTTATCACAGGTGTGAACCATCGTACCTGGCTGTCCTAAATTTTTAAAAACTATCATGCAAGTCATAGGTGCTTCCTCAAGACTGTCATTATCACGTACTTGTAGTATGCCCTTACTCAATTTTTATGGTTTTAATTTAAAAATTGGAAAAAGAATCTGCCTGCTCCACTCAGTGTAGTTCAGTTGTGTGCTGCTAACAACTGAACCATGGCATCTATTTTGAAACCATTTGGAAGAAATCACAGTACTTTGGTATCTTACTGAATATTCTTAGGTAGTTGGCTCCTGAACAACGTGGGGGTTAGAGGCTCTGAACCCTGTGCAGTAGAAAATCCGAGTATAACTTTTGACTCTCCCAAAACTTTACTAATGGCCTGCTGTTGACTGGAAGACTTACCATATCATAAACAGTTGATTAACACCTATTTTGCATGTTACCTCTATTACATGCTATATTCTTACAATACAGTAAGCTAGAGAACAAAATGTTACTAAAAATCATAAGGAAGAGACCATAGATTTACTATTAAGTAGAAGTGGATCATCATAAAAATCTTCATCCTCAACATTAGTTGGGTAGGCTCAGGAGGAGAAGAGGAGGGGGTTGGTCTTGCTGTCTTTTTTTTTTTGAGATGGAGTTTCGCTCTAGTTGCCTAGACTGGAGTGCAATGGTGTGATCTTAGCTCACTGCAACCTCCGTCTCCTGGGTTCAAGTGATTCTCCTGCCTCAGCCTCCCGAGTAGCTGGGATTACATGCGCCACCATGCCCGGCTAATTTTATATTTTTAGTAGAGACGGGGTTTCTCCATGTTGGTCAGGCTGGTCTCGAACTCCCGACCTCAGGTGATCCGTCCGCCTCGAACTCCCAAAGTGCTGAGATTACAGGCGTGAGCCACCACGCCCGGCCTTGGTCTTGCTGTCTTAAGTGTGGCAGAGGCAGAAGAAAATCTGTGTATAAGTGGACCTGTGCAATTCAAGGCCATGTTGTTCAAGGGTCAACGGTAGTTTTGAACTTCCCCCAAGCATTAGACTCAAAATAACCTGTGGAAAAGAATTTTGTCAACTCTAAAAATGCTGATAATTCAGCTGACCTTGTTTGTAATACCTGTCAATAAAGACTATACTATCTTGGGGTTTTCAGAGAAGAAGGAATCTTTTAGGACTGATAATTCACAGCCTGCTTGTGCTCTACTTCGGTTTTCTTTTGACCAGTAGACCAGACATGTTAAAAACAGAGGGAGTAAAATCACTGCACAAAATCTTACTCTGTCAGTGCCATGGAAGAACAGTTGATTTGGGGATCTACTCAGTCACTTGGAGACTAGTCACATAGTCAATTATAAATCTACCTAATCATATAGTTTTTTAGCCTATATTATCATTTTGTCCAAATCTTAAAAAAAAGTTATATTCCTTACCTATAGGCAAATATATCACTAAGTTTATTTCCTTATTGATAGGATTAAGTAATCAAGGAACGGGAATAGTCTAATTTTTCTGTTCTTGGTGATTCTGATACAGCTCCGATGACTGGAGGAACACCAGGGTCCTTGGTCTCGCGCTGACAGGATTGACATGGACACACATGGATTGGTTTTAAGAAGCAAAAAGTTTAATAGGCTAGAAAGAAGGAAAGAAGAAGAAAACAGCTCCCCTGTACAGAGATAAAGGGAGGAGGGATTCAAACAAAGAGAAAACCCTGTGTGCCGCAGAAAAGTGGCTGCTTATACTGGGATGCTGGAGGAGGCGGTGTCTGGTTTCCATAGGGCCCAGGGGATTGGTTAGACAGGTATGTCATTCACGTAGCCCGTGAAAAAACTGGCCCTCCCATCCTAGCCTTTTAACATGCAAATGCAGGGTGCCATGTCATTCTACACACATGGGGATATGTTGGGGCAAGGGAGAAGACTGAGGGAATCGCCATGTCTGGGTGGACCCAGTTTCTAATGGCCGGGATTTGCATAGCAAAGCTTGCCAGCCCAGCTCTAAGAGCAGGGGCTTTCCTGCTAGATAAATGTTTCTGGAGCTGCTTTAAAAGAAACAACTTCCCAAGGACCCCCTTTTCCTCTCTAGCTGCCTAAAATAATTTCTTAATAACTCCTATAACAATTCCATGTTGGGTTCTAATGGTCACCTTTTCCCCTTCTAGGCCACAGTCTAAGATGATTTTTTTTTTTTTTTTTTTTGAGATGGAGTTTAACTCTTTTTGCCCAGGCTGGAGTGCAATGGCACGATCTTCGCTCACTGCAACCTCCGCCTCCCGGGTTCAAGCAACTCTCCTGCCTCAGCCTCCCGAGTAGCTGGGATTACAGGCGTGTGCCACCACACCTGGCTAATTTTGTATTTTTAGTAGAGACAAGGCTTCGCCATGTTGGCCAGGCTGGTCTCAAACTCCTGAACTCTGGTGGCCTCCCAAAGTGCTGGGATTACAGGCATGAGCCACCGCGCCTGGCCTGTGTGTTTTGAGATTTATTATAGGAACTGGCTCATGTGAAATGATTATGGAGGCTGAGAAGACCCACAATCTGCCATCTGTAAGATGGATAACTAGGAAAGCCTGTGGTTTAATTCAGAGTGTGAAGGCCTGGGAACTTGGGGGGGTAGGGCTGATGGTGTAAGTTCTAGCTGAATGTGAAGCCCTGAGAACCAGGAGCACCAATGTCCAAGAAAAGGAGAAGATGGATGTCTCAGCAAAAAAAGAGTAGGCAAATTTGCCCTTCTTCCTCCCTTTTGTTCTGTTTGGGGCCTCAACAGATTGGATGATCACATTGGGAAGGCCATCTGCTTTACTAATTCACCAATTCAAATATTATTAATCTCTTCTGGAAACACCTTCACAGACACACCCAGAAACAATGTTTACCAGCTACTCAGACATCCTTTAGCCCAGTCAAGGTGACACACACAATTAAAAATCACAGATGGTTAAAAAAAATCACAGATGGGAAGAGTTAAGAGTATAGGCATGCTAATAAAAGCTTAAGTAATAATGATTGTATCCAGTGTTTATCTTTTCAGGCTAAAAGTTGTATTTTAGAATACAAAATGGGAAGGGCAGATAACTTTTGTGTGTGAATTTCCATCTCCCTACCATGGTAAAAATAATTTTAGCAAGACAATTTTAATGTTAATATTATAATAGACATGTAAGCACAACATTGTAGAATACAAAGAGAATTTTTTTTTCTTTTTTTAAGTGGGGCTTGGGAATTTTCATTTCACAGAGTCTTCTTGTTATCCAAGGCATTTTTAGAGGCCAGTCTTTCTAGTCATATTTGATAATGAGGAAGATGAAGTAATTGACTTCCCCAAAGTCACATAACAACTTCATGGCATAGCTGAGACTAGACTCCTGCGATTCAGATTCTCAGGCCATCAGTCTTTCTACAACAAAATAGTGATGCTTAAATACTTGAGATGCGTATCACAAAAAAGGGGATTATTAGAATGAAAACACTGATTAGGACAGAATAATTTAATGGCATTTTATTTCTGATAAACTCCTCTCTCTTCAGTTTTAACTATCTGAAAAAACTGTGGGCATGTGAGAGGCATGTGAACCAGAGCAACTCCATCTTGAATAGGAGCTGGGTAAAATGAGGCTGAAACCTATTGGGCTTGTAGTCCCAGATGGTTAAGGCACTGTAAGCCACAGGATGAGATAAGAGGTCAGCACAAAATACAGATCATAAAAACCTTGCCGATAAAACAGCTTGCAGAAAAGAAGCCGGACAAAACCCACCAAAACCAAGATGGCCACCGAGAGTGACCACTGGTCTTCCTCACTGCTACACTCCCAGCATCGCCGTGATAATTTACAAATGCCATGGCCAAGTCAGGAAGTTACCCTATATGGCCTAAAAGGGGGATGCACATCATCAAGAAATAACCATAAAAATGGGCAACCAGCAGCCCTCTGGGCTGCTCTGTCTGTGGAGTAGCCATTCTTCTATTCCTTTACTTTCCTAATAAACTTGCTTTCACTTTATTCTATGGACCTGCCCTGAATTCTTTCTTGCGTGAGATCCAAGAACCCTCTCTTGGGGTCTAGATTCGGACCCCTTTTCCTATAACATCATTCTGGCGACCAGTGAAGGGACTATAGTGAGGAAACCCCCGACCCAAAGGCTAACTTTGGGTAAGTGGTGGGGTCCTGTAACAGTCAGTCATAGATTTCTACCTTAAAAACCAGGTTCAAATGTGAGCAAGCAAGGTATGATAGATAAGGAATTTTTACAGCTTCAAAGTGTGACCTACCCAAAAGATCTTGCCTGTTAAGTATGATGAACTGCCAAGTTATTCTCTCCTCCTCCCAAGAGAAAAATCATTGTTAAATAGGAACAGACTGACACACAACAACATGTAGAAATTAGAATACTTTATTATAAATATTTTCAGAATATAAACTGATTTTGTATCAAGACTCTTTGAAACTTTAGAAACTTTATGTAACCTAAGATTATAATATATTTCATTTTCCACTTTCCAGCCTAGAAAATACACTGCAAGTTAGATCTAATAAAGGAGAAAAAAATTGCTTCACAGAGAAAAACCAATGAACATAAAATACCCAACTCAAAACTATAACAAACCCAATCAAGAAACAGATTGTGCAAAGGTCATTAATCCTCCAATTTAAAATAAATAACCTCCCAACAGAAAATATTTCCACCATCAAAGCAATTTGATGAATAAAAGCAGAGTCACTTTCATTAAAGGAAATTACACTATATGTTCAAAAAATGTAATAATGCTTTTAGAAAATGAGGAAAAGCAATTTCTGTGTTGGAGAGCAAGCATGCTAAACACTTTGTTTACTAGGCCTTTGTTAGAAGTTAAAGAACCTATTCACATAAGAAAAGTGGTATGAACACGGATATCATAAAACCAAGCTCTCACCTATTTTTTCAATTTAACTTTGGGAGAACCAACTTTGAAAGCTTCAAAATCCAAGAATAGACTGGTCCCAAAGCATTTCCTCCTCTGTCCTTTCTTGGCCTTGTTCCTTTTTCTTTTTTGTACGCTTACGTTCCTCTTTCTTAGAGACTACATCTCGGCTTTTTTTCTCCTTTCGATTCTTAAGCTTTTCTGTACTGACATGTACGGTTTCTATTTCCACCTCTGTTTTCTTTCTTTGGATGCTCTTGTGTTTGTCTAAGTCAATTTCCTCGCAGCTTTTTTTTCTCTTATGCTTAGACCGCTCCTCCTCTGATTTTTCTCTGCCTTCCTCTGGGTGCCTTTTCCTCTTCTGATGTATCTGTTTGTGACTGGCTTGATGAGTACTGGTACTGTTATCTGAGGAGAAGTGCTTGTAAACTCTATGTTCTACACCATGTGAGCCACAAATATATTCTTGTTGATTAAAGTTCAGGGGTACTGGTTTTTCTGAGAAACAGTCCCTCGTGAACTGACAGTAGCTCAGAGAGTCTAGTCTCAATCTGCTGTCATGGGCTGGTAACCACTGAGGCAACCGATTTTCCACTGTTTGTGGAATATTGCATGATCTTGGGTAGGTCTGGATGGTTTCAGATGGGAGTCTCTGGTCAAACATTCTATACGTGGGTCTGGAATTAACCTCTCCTTTGTACCCACAGGTTTCCAAATAGTCCCCTTTCATCTTTCTGAAACAAGTCTTTGGCTCTAAGCCTCTGGCTTTCTGTACTTTAATATAATCTTCAAGTTCATCTTGAAAAGAGTCATATGTCTTCTTTGAATGCTTCATTAGGTTGACAAAACGGGATTTTCTGCAAAAAAGGGAGAAAATTCTTACCAGATCATCTTGTCCTGAGCATTTCCTTTGCTCTTTTTTTTTTTTTTTTTTTTCTTGAGATGGCGTCTCGCCCTGTCGCCCAGACTAGAGTGCAGTGGGGTTGCTCTTGGGTCACTGCAACCTCTGCCTCTTGGGTTCAAGTGATTCTCCTGCCTCAGCCTCCCGAGTAGCTGGGATTACAGGTGTGTGCCACCACGCCCAGCTAATTTTTGTATTTTTAGTAGAGATGGGGTATCACCATGTTGACCAGGCTGGTCTCAAACTCCTGGCCACAAGTGATCCATCCACCTCAGCCTCCCAAAGTGCCAGGATTACAGGCATGAGCCACTGCACCTGGCCTCCTTTGCTCTTAAAAAGAGCTTTGAAAAACAAAGCAGCTCAAACAAATTACAACCTATTTCAGCATAAAAGCTGAGTATCTTGACATTATATGCCAAAGGGTAGCATCAGGATGGTCAGATACCTCCCAGGTCACGTACCAGTAACTTTACCCTTCTCAGAAGTGAGACGAAGAGGGCAGAAAGGAACCGATACACATGTTGCTGTCATAGGGCTAAAATGTGAGATAAGCAGGGATGTGTGGATAGGAACCACACAACCACGGTGGGTGGCTGATATTAATGTTCAATTAATTTCTGAAGTTCTCATGAATTGGTTTCCTGTATATTAGTTTCTAAGAGAAGTAAAGGAACCACAGATACAGAATTTGATTTTTAAAATCTTCAGTTTACTCAAGATAAAATAAACGTACTCACCTGACGAGAGTACTGTAAGACTTAACAATAAAAGGATGTTTATAAAATTGATTGGGAATGCTGAAAATCAGAAATTCAGTTATAAGATGAAAACTACTTTTAGGTATCAGGTATGAGGGAAGATGAAAGCACAGAGTTCTGTATCTTCTGTGTAGGCTTGGATTTCATTCCACTACTTCTGATTGGTGAAAAAAGCATTCTAGAATGTCTTCTGGTTTGTTCTCTCTTAAAGTACTGGTGAGAGGAATAAGGGAAGAAACAGGGGTGAAAACTGAAAAGGGATAGGACTGATTTGGAGAAGAGTTTCAGAAGAAACTTGCAGTAGATACACCATTTTTGTTTGCTTGATTCTTTTTTGGGGGGAAGGGCAAGACTGTTCCTGATTCTTTTCCTCACCTCAAATCCTGAATAAATACAAATATAGCAGAAAATGTACTTACTATGAAATTATAATATTATATATATATAAAAAAATATATATATATATATTTTTTTTTTTGAGATGGAGTCTTGCCCTATCACCCAGGCTGGAGTTCAATGGCACGATCTCGTCTCACTGCAACCTCCGCCTCCAGGGTTCAAGTGATTCTCCTGCCTCAGCCTCCTGAGTAGTTAAGACTACAGGTGCACACCACCACGCCTGGCTAATTTTTGTATTTTTAGTAGAGATGCGGTTTCACCATGTTGGCCAGGCTGGTCTCCAACTCCTGACCTCAGGTGATCTGCCTGCCTCGGCCTCCCAAAGTGCTGGGATTACAGGTGTGAGCCACTGTGTCCCACCTGCCCTATATATTTTTGGTGATACAGTTTATCTCAAAAAATTAGGAGGGCATATATCCCATGTAGAACTGAACATTTCTTCAGCTCTCAGAAACAAGGCTTGTTTCTGCTAAAGGGAAGAAATGTTCAGTTCAACATGGGATATACTCCCTCCTAATTTTTTGAGACTAATGATCAGCCAGTTTTTCAAATTTGGAAATTTGAGGTTAAAAAGAAAATCTAAATGAAGCCTAATTTGGCAAGTTAGAAAATATAGTTCTTGTTCAACTTAAATAGTATACAAATTCTGACTAGAAAAATAATAAAAAATAATGTAACAAATACTTGCTTAAATATGGGCAAACTATTTTAACCTATACTTCAGAAAAGAATATATGCAAATGGCCAATAAGCACATGAAAAGATGTTTAAAAGCACTGATCAGCAAGTAAATGTGAATTAAAACCACAATGAGATACCACTATGCACTTACCAGAATGATTAAAATGAAAAAGATTGACAATACCAGTGCTGATAAGGATCTGGAACTCTCAAATATTGTTGATAGGAATGTAAAATGGTACAACCACTTGAAAAACAGTTTGGCAGTTTCTTAAGAAGTTAAACATACATTTACCCCATATGATGCAGTTATTCTACTTCTAGGTATTTCCTTAAAGGAAAAGGAGATACAGTCATGCACTGCATAATAATCTTTTGGTCAACAATGGACTGAATATATGATGGTGGTCCCATAAAATTATAGTGGAGCTGAAAAAGTCACAGTAATGTGAATAATGCACAATTCATTATTCATGTGTTTGTAGTGATGCTGGTATAAACGAATCTACTATACTGCCATATAAAAGTATAGCATACACTATGTACAGTACATAAGATTTGATAACTGGTTTATGATTTATTTACTATACTATATTTTAAATTATTTTAGAGTATATTCTTTCTCCTTATTAAAAAAAAAAGTTAACTGTAAAACAGCCTCAGGAAGGTCCTTCAGAAGGTATTCCAGAAGATGGCACCATAGGTGATGACAGCTCCATGCATGTTACTGCCCCTGAAGACCCCCCAGTGGGACAAGATGTGGAGGGAGAAGACAGTGATGATGATCCTGAACCCTGTGAAGGCTTAGGCTAATGTGTGTGTTTGTGTCTTAGCTTTTCATAAAAAAGTTTAACAAGTGAAAAAAAAAAATAGGGCCAGGTGTGGTGGCCCATGCCTGTAATCCCAGAACTTTGGGAGGCCAGGTGGGTGGATCACTTGAGGTCAGGAGTTCGAGACCAGCCTGGCCAATATCGTGAAACCCCGACTCTACTAAAAATACAAAAATTAGCTGGGCATGGTGGCGCATGTCTGTAATCCCAGCTGCTTGGGAGGCTGAGGCTGGAGAATCGCCTGAACCTAGGAGGCAGAGGTTGCGGTGAGCCGAGATCGTGCCACTGCACTCCAGCCTGGGCAACAGAGTGAGACTCCATCTCAAAAAAATAAAAAAATAAAAATAAAAAAAAAGTTAAGAATAAAATAGGAAAAGGCTAGGATAAAGATATAAAGAAATAAAATATTTTTGTGCAGCTGGACAATGTGTTTTAACCTAAGTGTGATTACAAAATAGTCAAAAAGTTAAAAAAATTTAAAAGTTTATAAAGTGAAAAAATTACAGTAAGCTAGGGTTAATTTATTACTAAAACAAGAAAAATTTTTAAAAATAAATTTAATGGGCTGGGTGTGGTGCCTCATGCCTGTAATCCCAGCACTTTGGGAGGCTGAAGTAGGCAGATCACCTGAGGTCAGGAGTTGGAGACCAGCCTGGCCGACATGGTGAAACCCCATCTCTAGTAATAATACAAAAATTAGCTGGGTGTGGTGTGGGCACCTGTAATCCCAGCTACTAGGGAGGCTGAGGCAGGAGAATTGCTTGAACCTGGGAGGCGGAGGGTGCAATAAGCCGAGATCGCGCCACTGCACTGTAGCCTGGGTGACAGAGTGATACTCTGTCTCAAAATTAATTAATTAATTAATTAATTTAATGTAGCCTAAGTTTACAGTATTTATAGTCTACAGCAGTGTACAGTAATATCTTAGGCCTTCCCATTAACTCACCACTCACTGACTCAGAGCAACTTGCAGTCCTGCAAGCTCCTCCATTCATGCTAAATGCCCCACACAAGTGTACTATTTTTTTATCTTTCATACCACATTTTTACTGTGTCTTTTTGTTTAGATAGGTTTAGATACACAAACACTTACTGTTGTGTTACAACTGTCTACAGTACTCAGTATAGTAACATGCTGTACAGATTTGTAGCCTAGGAGCAATAGGCTATATCATATAGCCTGGGTGTGTAGTAAGTTATACCATCAGTCTATGATGTTTGCCCAATGAGAAAATCATGACACATTTCTCAGAATGTATCCTGGTCGTTAACGGACACATGACTGGGTGTCTATACAAAGACATGAATGTTCATATAGTTTTATTTGTGATAGCCCCAGAAAGAAAAGAAACTCAAATGTCAATCAACAGGTGAATGGATTAAATCAAACAGTGGTATAACGATACAATGAAATACTATCAGTGATAAAAAGGAATAAATCATATTGATACACATGACGTGAGTGAATCTCAAAATAACGAAAATAATTGTAATTCTTTTTTACTATTTAAAATAGTGATACACTAGGCATAGTGGCTCATGCCTGTAATCCCAGCACTTTGGGAGGCTGAAGTGGCAGAACTGCTTGAGCTCAGAAGTTCAAGACCAACCTGGCCAACACAGCAAGAACCCATTTCTAAAAATAAATAAATAAAAAGTCATAGAAGTCTGATAAAAGAGTACATACGATATGATTCCATTTATATAAAACTCTAGAAAATGGAAACTATAATAACAGTGGTTGCTTGGGGAGAGAGGTGGGAAGAAAAGATTCTAAAGGGGCATTTTTTGGGCGGTGATGGGTATGTCCATTATCTTGATTGTGGTGATCCTTTCATGGCTATATACATCTGCCAAAACTTACCAAATTGTATACCTTAAATACATACAGTTTATTATATGCTAACTATACCTCAATAATGCTGTTTTTACAAAGTCACTAATGGCTGGGCGCGGTGGCTCAGGCCTGTAATCCCAGCACTTTGGGAGGCTGAGGCAGGCAGATCACCTGAGGTCAGGAGTTGGAGATCAGCCTGGCCAACATGGTGAAACCTCCGTCTCTACTAAAAATACAAAAAATTAGCCGGGTGTGGTGGCACATGCCTGTAGTCCCAGCTACTTGGGAGGCTGAGGCAGGAGAATTGCTTGAACCCGGGAGGTGGAGGTTGCAGTGAGCCAAGATTGCACCATTGCACTCCAGCCTGGGTGACAGAGAGAGACTCCGTCTCAAAAAAAAAAGTCACTAATAAGATTTAAAAGATGTTGATAATTGTTGAAATTGGGTGATGGATACATGAAGGTTCATTATACAATTTTCTTTATTTTTAAGTATGTTTGAAATTTTTTGGTAATAAAAAGATTTTACTTTACATCTACTAGGAGGGCTATAGTGAAAAAAAGATACTAGTAAGTGTTAGCAAGAATGTGGAAAAATTGGAAACTTCATTCATTGTTTGCGGGAATGTAAAATGGTGCACCTACTTTGGAAAATAACTTAGCAGCAGTTTCATCAATTCCACTTAGCAATTCCACCCATATATAGCCAAAAGAATGAAAACCTATGTCCATGCAAGAAGTTGTAAACAAATGTTCACAGCAGCACTATTCATTACAACTAAAAAGTAGAAATAACCAACCAATGCCCATCAACTGATAAATGGATAAACAAAATATGGTATATTCATATAATATTATTCAGCATAAAAAGGAATGAAGTACTGATATATGCTACAACACAAATGAAGCTTGAAGACATTATGCTATGTGAAAGAAGCCAGTTCCAAAGGACCACAGATGGCACAGAGATGAATAAAGAGGTGAATGGAACCTTACTTACCCTTATCAGGCTGAGAATTTGGTGGAGAAATCTGATCATATTCACTCAGTTTTTCAGCATGAATTTTCAAATAGTGAGACTACACAATAACTGGTGAGCTAAAAACCACAATTCAGAGATCAAAAATCAATTTTTGTCCAATTCTCCACTCTCACTCATCTGAAACCAAACACAATCTTGTTACAAAGATTAAATAATTCAAAGTTTATAATCACATCAACATAGACCAATCATCTGAAAATTCACAAAATTCACCTTCATTTTATTAATTTGCTTCTTATAAATCTGAAAATAAACCCTAACTTTTAAAAATGTTTAAACATACTTTATTTTTATAACAATATATTTTATATAGTTTTATTTTTAACTGACAAGTAATAATTGTATATATTTATGAAATACAATGTGATAGTTCAGTACATGTATATAGTGTGGAATAATCAAATTTGGTGAATTAGCATAGTCATTACTTCAAATGTTGATCATTTCTTTGCAACGTGAACACTTAAAATAATCTTTTACAGCTACTTTTAAAAATATTGAAATAATAAATACATTTTGAATATACATGAACTATAGTCACCTTCTTGTGCAATAGAACACCAGAACTTATTCCTCCTATCTACCTGTAACTTTGTACCCCTTGGCAAATGTCTTTCCTTTCTCTGTCCCCACTCCCCAACCCTACCACCCAGCCTCTGGTAACCACCATTCTACTCTCTACTTCCTTAAGTTTTTAGATTTCATGTATAAGTGAGATCATATGGTATTTGTCTCTCTGTGCTTGTAAAGCCCTAACTTTTTGAGCAATTTTTTTTTACCCTGGAATAATAAATAAGTTTTGTTTATTTAAGAAGAAATTACTCCAGATTTATTCTACCCTAGGTATATACCCCAAAGAACTATAAATTGAAAAGAACTATAAATTGAAAAAGCACTTGTGAGTTTTAATATATTTGGTCTGAACTAAAAGTTTACGAATAGAATTTCGCTTGCTTTCAAATCAAAGTATCAGCTTCAGTAGATAATCCTATGATTAGAATTACTTCTAACACAAAGTTTTATGTTTCTGTTTGTGACAGAGACTACCAGTTGCCTTCCAATACATTTTTTTCTTCTTCCTTAGTAACAAACCTTAGGAAATGTGTCTAGCTTTTAGTCTTTTAGACTACATTTTCTGGCCATTCTTAAAGCAAGATGTAGCCATGTGAATAATTCTGGTCAATAAGAAGAAAGCTGAAGTGTTGTGTAGGATTCTAGGAGGGATCCTCCCTTCTGCTGCTGAAATGAGGATGCCATGGTTAGAAATCAAACAGTCATCAGAGAACATGAGGAAGTAAGTCAGGGCCTTAGAATAAAAAGAAAATGTCTGGGTCCTCTCTGATGATCATGGAACTGTCCTAACAGCTTTGTACTGCCTAACTCCACACTCTTAAATGAGACAAGGAATAAACTGTTATGGGTTCAAGCCATAACAGAAAATAATCTCTGAATATATTTAAAGCCAACCATGTAAGAGTAACTAAAATGTAAATGTAGGGAAAAGGACACTAACATTTTCAGAACACAGTTATGAATGATGTATATTTTCTGTATTTTTCTACATTGAATATTACTTTATAATCCCATGAAAGTTATTTTTAAAATTTCAATGAAACTCAAGTTATCACAGAGCCCGCCCTTTGACTATTTCTTAGACCTCTGGGCTCTGAAGACTGAGCCCAAAATATACTAGACTAGAATACAGTAGATTAAGAATTAGGGCAAGACAGAGATTGTCACTTCCATTTTTCAGGTTGAATAAACATACTTAGAGAGGTCAAAGTGATTTGCTCAGCAATTAATGGTGGAGTCAAGGCTTGAATCCAAGTTCTCTCAATCCAAGGCTAAGACATGACTGTAATTATGGTACTTTAATCTCAACCATCACACATGAAATAAAATGCAGTTTCTGACATGATTATCAAGAGGGAAAACTAGATGAGTTCTCTAAAAAACCACAGCAGGCCTTATGTTTCATTTAAGTAAATGTATCTACTACTTTTGGTATCCCAGACACCACAGATTAAAGAGATCCAGTAGCTCATCCAGGTCTCAGAGCGTGAGAAGAGCAGAATGGGAAAAGCCATTGTAATGTAGTATACAAAAGACTATTCTTTCTCCAGGATACTATTATACAGCAAAGATGATACAAGTGAGGAGCTATACCATATAAAAGGAAGTAACACTGGACAGGGAATCAGATCTCATTTATTGGCTTAGTCATGCCCATGACTATCTAAAAATAATCACTACTCCTCCGGATCTCAGTTTCTTCATCTATAAACTAAGGAAGTACAATCATTAGACATTTTACCTTCCAATGCTAGCATTCTATAATCCTGTGCCTTGAAAACAAGGCAAAGTCAAGGGTAAGACTGCTGCATATTATGTTGTAACCTTTGATTAATTTGATTAGTAAAGGAAGACTCTGGGGATCTATAATATCTCTTGACTTATATTAATATTTTCCTGCTCAAGCTTCATAATATCTTCCTTATATTTACCACAAGAACTGATACAGTGGCTTTCTGGATAAGGTAGAAGACAGAATGGAGAAAGGAAAAGAAAATGAGCTTCAGAATTAGAAAGATCTGAATTTAAATCCTACTTCCCCAAATGTAAGTCAGGAAGTTATTTCCCTTTTCTGAGTCAGTCATCAAAAGGACAATACTTTTCTTGTATGGATTAAATAAGATGACATATATGAAGTTTACCCACTACATTTAAAAAGTGACATTAGGACATATTCCTTCTATTTTCAACCTACCTCATAATGCAAAATCCTTTGTTATTTGAACTGTAACACTACTCCACAGACATCTTTTATAAAAGGTATCTGTAAACAAAGTTCAGTCTTTGTTCATTCAATGTGGTATCTATCAATAAAAGAGAGGTAAGACAGAAGATTATATTAAATAGTTAAGGTAATATTTTTAAACTTCAACTACTATATTTCATATACCATCTCAAATCTTAATTTTCTGAGTGCTTGCAAGGCTAGAGTAATAAATTTTTGCTCATTAGAATAACAATTTTAATATGAAAATATTTAGTAAGACTGTAATATTTAATATATTAACATATTTTTTAGTCTACAAAACACCATCCTGAAGGAAAAGTTACTGGGGCACCAATATTGAAAGCCTGGGCTAAGAAATCCAGTCTTGGCATTTTATGTTTTAAAGCTAACAATCTCAAGAAATGCAGTCGATTTTAAGACAGCTAATGATTCTAGATACATCACCAATGTCATCTGAGAATCACATGGGGGAACCACAAACCATCTTTATTTTTTTTTTAAAACAGGGTCTGGCTCTGTCACCCAGGCCAGAGCGTGATTCTCCTGCCTCAGCTTCCTGAGTAGCTGGGAGTACAGGCGCATGTCACTGTACCTGGCTAATTTTTGTATTTTTTGTAGAGATGGGGTTTCGCCATGTTGCCCAGGCTGGTCTCGAACTCCCGCGCTCAGGTGATCCACCCGCCTTGGCCTCCCAAAGTTCTGGGATTACAGGCATGAGCCACTGAGCCCAGCCCACAGACTATCTTAACCTGTGGTAGGCAACCTTCTTCCATGGCTGGTACAAATACAACCACACAAATTTCACTGAATAGAGCTCAGACAAGCCCTTCAAAGCTACAGTCATATTCACATATTAGCTTCTACAACTTTTGCTGAAAGTGTTTCTCACTTAATGAATTATCTATGCCAAAATTACTACGTTTACACTTGGGGTCTATACTTCAATCTAAAGTTCCTAACAGCTAAAATTTATTTTATAGAAGTTTACCAGTTTATACATAGGGTGCCAATCATGTAACATCAAAATTGTACTTTCTACACGGCAGTTTAAATGGATGAGTTAGAATCATATGTAATGTCATGGAGAAATGCCCATGATATATTAACGGGAAAAACAATATGTAGAACTCAATCAATTGCTCAATCATAAAATCCAATTTTAGTATAAACAACCCAACATATACAACCCAAACTTAAGTATATACATATGTATTTACTGTAAGGAAGGAATTAATGCATTTGGCCTCCAATCCATTCACTTCCTTTCCTGGAGAAGAGGGAAAAAGACAAGGATGGTGACATCCAGACCTCAAGTAAAGAGCCTAATGATATTTGCTGGGAGGAAGACATCTTACCACTAAAATGCTCTTAGCAAGATGTCCCTGGCTAAAGATTAGCTGTAGTAAATAAACCCAGAATCTATGAGACATCTCTTTCTGAAGAATGCCACATAAGCTATACAACTCTCTAGGGTATAACATGGAGATGAGTCACAATTTAAACATTCCCACTGTGTGAGGTGATCTTGTGAATCTTACTTAGAAACCTTAACTATTTATTCTGGGCCAGAGATACATGTCCAAAGGGGAAAACATGGTGTATTGGTCTGTTCTTACACTGTTACAAAGACATAACAAAGACTGGGTAATTTATAAAGGAAAAAGGTTTAATTGACTCACAGTTTTGCACAGCTGGGGAGGCCTTAGGAAACTTACAGTCATGGTGGAAGGTGAAGGGGAAGCAAGGCACTTTCCTTTCAAGGTGGTAGGAAGGAGAAGTGCTGAGTGAAGTGAGAAAAGCCCCTTATAAAACCATCAGATTTCGGGAGAACTCACTATCATAAGAACAACATGGGGGAAACTGCCCCCGATTCAATTACCTCCACCTGGTCTCTCCTTGACATGTGGAGATTATGGGGATTACAATTCATTATGAGATTTGGGTGGGGACACAAAGCCTAACCATATTACATGGTCTGAGGAGCCATCCTTCATGTATTAGACACGCTGCTTCAGTTGAGTCTCTTGACTGCCTGTATCCTTGAAATAATTAGTAAACCTGATGCGTTTGATTTGACAGTCTGATCTTGTGTGTTAGCTCAGTATCCACAGAAAAAAATCTGAAAAGATATATGCTAAACTTAATGGGGTTTGAGAAATGGGAAATTGGGTCAAAAATGAGTAGGGTCAAACATTTAACATATTGCTCTTTGTACATCTCTGTATTAATTTTTGCAAAAAATATACAGGACTTTGTACTTTTAAAAATTCCATAAATATTTAAGTTATACTGGGTATCTTCAAACTAATCTTAATATTAATGCCAGTGTATGGGTTAAAAAGATTTGCTTAAAAATATTATGTGCTCAAGATAATTATAAATCAGAAACATTTTAGAAAGGACTTGAAGAGTATTAAAAATGTATCTCAGGCTGGGTGTGATGGCTCATGCCTGTAATCCCAGCATTTTGGGAGGCAGAGGCGGGCGGATTACTTGAGCCCAGGAGTTTGAGACCAGCCTGGCCAACATGGCAAAACCCTGTCTCTACTAAAAATACAAAAAATTAGCCGGGCATGTTGGCACATGCCTGTAATCCCAGCTATTCAGGAGGCTGAAGTACGAGAATCTCTTGAACCCAGGAGGTGGAAGGTGCAGTGAGCCAAGATTGCGCCACTGCGTTCCAGCCTGGGCGACAAAGTGAGACTGTCTCAGAAAATATATATATATTATATATAATATCTCAATTATTTTTTAGTTGTTTTAAAATAAAGGACTTAATTACATTTGACTCTAAGGTCAGCAAGGTAAAAAGGTTAATACAAAGGTTTTCAGAACTTCCCTTGACTCAGAATTATTGTACAAAAACTGACATGGTGATGTGATGGTGACTTTTCCATTAAAAATCTTGGTTTGGCGTAGTGCTTCGTGCCTGTAGTACCAACACTTTGGGAGGCTGAGCTGGGAGGATTGCTTGAGACCAGGAGTTTGAGACCAGCCTGGGCAACACATTGAGACATCTGTCTCTACAAAAATAAATCTTTAATAAGAACAGGTAAATACTGTCTTTTGGTGACAAACAAATCAGAATACATGGAAAGCTTACTGAGGACTAGTTATTTAGAAGCTCAAGATATCTTAAAATAGAACAATAATTTCCTTCCTGGTTCAACCCTTAATACCAACCAGGCATTTCTAAAAGGCAATGTTGTAAGCTGAGGTAAGAAACTTGGGGTTACCTTTAATTCCTCTGCCAACTAAGCTCTCATTTTTTATGTTAAATAGCAAAATATTCTCAAGCTCAAAATCTCAGCCATTTTCCTCCTGAGTCATGTCTGTTCTAGCTTTATAATATTTTCAAAGCTATTCTTTCATTTTTCAATACCTATAACATTATTTAGTTCAAGTTCTCCATGCTTTTGGACTTTATTAAACTTTATCACTACTTATTGAGTTTGTCTTCAAGGTACTCTGGTGAGTACTGTGGGAAAGGATAGGAAAAAAGAGATGAACCTTATCGAATGCCTACTGTATGCCAAACAACAGATTATTGTTTCTGTTTTTTACTTTTGCAAGAATTTCTCATAAAGATTAGGATATTGGGATTTAAAGAAATTAAAATATGTTGCCACATGTGCTATTTGATAAAGGCAGATATTAAACCTTGGTTTATCTCAACCCTTTCCCTTACATTACACATAGCTGTTCCACACATTGGGAATAAGTGAACAAGACAATTGTTAATATTGAGGAATTCATAATTTTGTAAAAAATGATATGCAAAGAACTATGATGCAAGACAAAAATGTGTAAAGTGCTGTAAGACATAAGAAGGTATAATGTGTTCTTGGTGAGGGGTTTGTGGTAAAGAATAGATTCTGAATGGACACTTAAGGAGATGGGTAAAATTTAGAGAAAAAAACATGAGTAAAGAAAGGGTATTCTGGAGGACAGAAGGGCATTAGAAAAGGCATTTCTGCTTTAGATAAAACAAGACATGCATAAAGGTAGTGAAAGACAGTGCTAAAGGTGGAATGATGCTAAATCATAATATGCCTTATTTGGACATTTGGATTTAATTCTGCAGTCAATAGGGGAAGAAAAAGAGACTCAAAATGGAGATATTGTTAGGTAGCTGTTGCAGGCAAGAGATTATTGGGCTGCACCAAAAAAGTAGCAGAGCTAACAGAAAGGAAGGGAAGAATATGAGAGATATTCTAAAGGTGGAATCAAAGGAATTTGTGATAGCTGGGAAGAGCAGATAGACGGGAGAGTGGGGGCAGAGACAATTCTAAGGCCTTGATCCTGCGTAAAGTTATCTTTGACAGAGAAAGTAAGGAAGAGGAAGAAGAGTTGTTACTGTTGTTGTTATCCCCCAGAAGGAGAGAAGTAGGGAGTGGAATGAATAAGCATTAAGCATTCAAAAAGCAGTGAATTTGATTTTGGAACAAATCCAGATTCTATCAAATGTATAGTATCTTGCACATCTCTCCTTTCCTGTTCCATTCTTCTATGTGTTTAATACCTCTATGTCAAGTTGGGTTTAAACAACCTGCAGATGTTTTATGTACCTTGAAATTCCTTACAAATTAAAACAGTTGGGTCCCTGAACTAATTGTATATGTATCAAACTTCAGTACACATGATGGGTAACAGGAACCACTAGAGGAAAGAAAGCTCGGTAGTGAACTCTAGGCATTTGTAGAAATCTTTCCTCAGAAAATTTTGACATCACCTCTCTTTCACTTGCATAGTGATTACTATATATTTACTCATTACAAAGGTTGCAGCATTATATAGTTTGAAGAACACAGACTGTGATTGTTGTGGAGTAAAGTGAAATTATCTCTTCCTCTAACCTGGACATTATTTTCATCCTTACCATTTTATTTTAGCATTAGTTATTTTTTAAATAGTCATCATATTATTGGTTTCTAATGACCTTTACAATTGTTAAAATCCTGGAGGTAGCATCTCTCCCCCCCGATATTGGCTATCTTCTCCCATGTGATATGGATGTTGACTGAATTATTTTTCTAAATGCAGGAATTAATACTTCATCTTGTTATGGGTTTAGACCATTATCTTTTTTTTTTTTTTTTTTTCCAGATGTAGTCTCCCTCTGTCCCCCAGACTGGAGTGCAGTGGCACAATCTCAGCTCACTGCAAGCTCCGCCTCCCAGGTTCACGCCATTCTCCTGACTCAGCCTCCTGAGTAGCTGGGACTACAGGCACCTGCCACCACACCCGGCTAATTTTTTGTATTTTTAGTAGAGACAGTGTTTCACTGTGTTAGCCAAGATGGTCTCGATCTCCTGACCTCATGATCCAACCCCCTCGGAATCCCAAAGTCCTGGGATTACAGGCGTGAGCCACTGCACCCGGCCTAGACCACTATTCCTAAATGAGGTTTCTCTTTGTTTCTTTTCTTTGACTGCCCACCCCCACCCCACCTCTCTCTTTCTTTCTTTAAAAAACCAGAGTCCCTGAGGCTGGAGTGCAGAGGCATGATCATAGCTCGCTGCAGCCTTAACTCCCGGGCTCAAGTGATCCTCTCGCCTCAGCCACCAGAATAGCTAGGACTATAGGCATGTGCTAGCATGCCCAGCTAATTTTAAATAATATTTTGTAGAAACAGGAATCTCATTATGTTGCCCAAGCTGGTCTTGATCTCCTGGCCTCAAGCGATCCTCCTCCCTTGGTCTCCCCAAGGCTGAGATTACAGTTGTGAGCCACCGCAGCCACCTGAGAATTTTTTAAAATTCAAATGATCTTAATCTTGGTATTTGCTATGGCTCCCACACATACTTTTTATATGCATTCAGTCTATGACTTCATTCACATTACTGGTGAAAACTTTAAGCAGGATAAGGGCAAGATAATACCTATGGCATGCTACAAAGAATCTACTCTCTTCTTGCATCTAGGATTTATCTATTTATTAGCAATCTATGGGTTTAATTAGAAAGATATTAATAACTTGATAACATCTGAGTTTATTTCAAAATCAAATTCAGCATCTTTTTTAACACTATGCTTCTCCACTCTACTCCCTACTACTCTCCTTCTTACGGGTCTGATCTGTTTGTACTACACTGAAGTCTTATTTTTCCATTTTGTTGATATTTGAAATACAGGAAATGCCCTTCTAAAATTGTAACCATCCTTTCTACAGCAGTGGTTCTCAATCTCAATCATTTTGACCAAAACAATCTATAGGCAGATAGGAGTAAACTCTTGTAGTCAGGAGGTCTAGGGGTTACAGCTTAAAGAGATCAATCACACACACAGCAGAAGTATTTCAAGTTTCATGGTTTACCTTAACAACTCATGAACTTCTTGAACTCTAGTCTTAAAACTTCCATTTCATATAAAAAGTCATTATTTAATCTCTGAATAAATTATGCCAATTAAACTTCAAGTATATTCCTGGCACAATCTTGTATCTCAGAAACCTCAGGGAATCTCATTATGCTCACTAAAGAAATATGGTCCTGCAACATTCTTTTGATTTATTAGTAATCTTTCATAAAAGAAACTAGGCATGGCATGACTTGTGTTTTCAATAAATGCATATTGCCTTTTAATGTTTATTTCAAAGTATCACATTCACAAGCGACCTATTAATAACCTGTCCTGTAACACTTTTACAGCATCGCCCTTACAATGTATTAGGTACTGTTCCAAGCACTTATACATAGTAACTTTTTTATGGAGATGAAGTTTTGCTCTTGCTGCCTAGGCTGGAGTGCAATGGCACCATCTTGGCGCACTGCAATCTCTGCCTCCCGGGTTCAAGCGGTTCTCCTGCCTCAGCCTCCCGAGTAGCTGGGATTACAGGCATGTGCCAGCAAGCCCAGCTAATTTTTTTGTATTTTTTTAAGTAGAGATGGGGCTTCTCCACGTTGGTCAGGCTGCTCTCCAACTCCTGACCTCAGGTGATCCACCCACCTCAGCCTCCCAAAGTGCTGGGATTACAGGCATGAGCCACTGCGCCCGGCCTCACGTTACTAATTTTATCCTCATAAGAACTCTATGGGCTCAGTACAATTACTTTCTATATCTTATAGAAGAGGAAACTGAAGCACAGAAAGGTTAAGGAACATGTCCATGGTTGCAGTTAGTAAATGACAAGGCAGTCTGGCTCCATAATCTGTTACTGACTTGTGGCATGCTGCCTTCCTAACTGATGTAAAACTTCTCAGTCTACATTCTGATATCCATTTCTCCTCCTTAAAAATCTGAAACATTTTCTGATCTCCATGTTTTACATATCTCTCCATTAAAAAAATGGAAACTGGCTGGGCACAGTGGCTAACGCCTGCAGTCTCAGCACTTTAGGGGGACAACGCAGCAGGGATCACTTGAGTCCAGGAGTTCAAGACCAGCCTGGGCAATGTACCAAGACCTTGTCTCTACAAAAGAAAACAAAAAAAAAAAAAAAGAAAAAAGAAAATCAAGCCACAGAATATAGGATAAATATTCTCAACTAACGTATCAGACAAGGGACTTACATCTAGAAGATATAAAGACTTTTTATGACTCAATTATAGGACAAACTCAATTTAAAAAGGGCAAAAGGTCTGAACAGATACTTCAGAAAAGAATATATACTAATGACTAAGTAAATATGAATTAAACCACAATGAGGGGTCTGCTTTTAACTTGGACTAACGTAACTTCTTCATGCAATAAACTGAAAAGAGCCATGCTGTCTAGTAAAAAAATAAAAATAAAAATAAATGAGATACCACTACACTCTCACTAGAATGATTAAAATTAAAGGACTAAGAATAACAAGTGCTGGTAAAGATGTTAAATAACTAGAACTCCCATACATTGCTGGCTAAAATGTCAAATGGTACAATAATTTTACAAAGGAGTTTGATAATTTTTTTTTTTTTTTTTTTTTTGGAGATGGAGTAGCTCATGCTAGAGTGCAGTGGCATGATCATAACTTACTGCAGCCTTGACCTCCTGGGCTCAAATTATCCTTCCATCTCAGCCTCCTGAGTAGATGGACTATGGGTTCATGCCATCATGCCTGGCTAATTTTTTGTACTTTTTTTTTTTGTAGAGATGAGGTTTTGCCATGTTGCCCAGGCTGGTCTCTAACTCCTGGGCTCAAGCAATCTGGCCATCTTGGCCTCCCAAAGTGCTGGGTTTACAGGTGTGAGCCACTGTAAAAAATTATCAGCCACCCAGCTTAATTTTTTATGAAGTTAAATACATAGCTACCATATGACCTAGCCATTCTACAACTGTGTATTTGACATGAAAACATATCCATGCAGATTTGTCTATGAATGTTCACAGCAGCTTTATTTGTAACAGCCAAAACCTGAAACAACTCTAATGTCCATCCACAGCTGAACAGATAAGCAAAATGTGATATATACCCATACAATTATTCAGACATAAAAAGGAACAAAACAGCAACACATGCAACACGGATGAATCTCAAAACCATCACGCTGAGCGAAAGACAGACATGAAAGAGTATCTACTGTATGATTCTATTTATAAAAAGTTCTAGAAATGCAAACTAATCTCTAGTAATAGCAGCAGATCAATGGTTGCCCAGGGATAGAGGTAGAGGGGCGAATGGATTGTAAAGGGGCATAAGTACTTTTGGGGTTGATGGAAATGTTTGACATTTTGCTTATGATAGTGGTTTCATGGGAGCATACACCTATCACAAATTCATTGAATTGTACTTTTTTTTTTTTGAGACAGAGTCTCACTCTGTCGCTCAGGCTGGAGTGTAGTGGTGCAATCTTGGCTCACCGCAACCTCTGCCTCCTGGGTTCAATCAATTTTTGTGTCTAAGCCTCCCGAGTAGCTGGGATTACAGGCATGAGACATCATGCCCAATTTTTGTATTTTTAGTAGAGACAGGGTTTCACCATGTTGGCCAGGCTGGTCTCAAACTCCTGATTTCAGGTGACCCACCCACCTCGGCCTCCCAAAGTGCCAGGATTACAGGCGTGAGCCACCGTGCCCGGCCTGAATTGTACATGTTATATGTGTGGAGTTTATTATAAGTAAAATGTACCTCAATAAAGTAACTAAAGGAGTTTAAACTTTTTTTGGAATAAGAGATAATTCTACCTTAAACTGATTTTGAAATGTTGGCTTTGTTTCCAGAAAGATCATCCACCCAACAAAGGTTAAGTCACTTCAGGCACTACTAAGAACTAGTGACTGTAATACTGTTACTTAGCTCCATTGCTCCTTTGAGTGAAACAGATATAGGAAGCCTGGAATCAGTTCTGCCACTTATTAAGTTATGTAACCCTGGTCAAGCTTCTTAACCTCTCCGCCTTAGGTTCCTTACCTCTAAAATAGAGACATAACATATACCTCAAAAAGTTGTGGTCCTTATAGAAATTAATACATGCAAAGCACTTAGAAGAATGCATGGAACAAGGTAAGTGCTGTATGGATGAACTATTTGTATTGTGGTTCAGGATTTTGTCTATTTAACTGACATAGTGAGATGTTCTCCCAACCAATTAGTCTAGTAACTACAGAAAGACAAATATGGTTACCCATAAACAAGGCAGAAGTATCTGAAAGGAGTACCTAATTCTTTGTATTTCAAGCTAACTGATGTTTTAGAGGGACTGTATTTATGGAAGTTGAAGGATGGACCTGATCCTTACTCTCTTTTCTAATTGCTCTGATTTTGAACCAACTTTCTGTTTGGTTTTTTTGAGACATGGTCTCATTCTGTCACCCAGGTTAGAGTGCAGTGGTGCAATCTCGACTCACAGCAGCCTCAACCTCCCAGGCTCAATTGATCCTCCTGCCTCAGCCTCCCCAGTAGCTGGGACTACAGGCATCTGCCACTAAGCCCAGCTTATTTTTTATATTTTTTTTGCAGACATGAGGTCTTGCTTTGTTGCCCAGGTTGGTCTCGAACCTCTGGGCTGAAGGAATCCACCTGCCTCAGCCTCCCAAAGCAGTGGGACTATGGGCATGAGCCGCCATGCCCAGCCAGGTCTTTATTTCAGTAAAAATATGTAAAACCACTGTGAAAGTTAAAGTAACAAAAACTGCACATCAACTACTGTATTAAATATGAAACACATGACTCATAATTCAAAACTGTCTAAAAAGAGCTTCATATCTTAAATACTAGGAATCATTCTACTTTTCTTAATTCTAGATTTACCAATCTGTTACATTCTACCTACCTTTTAGAAACAGCAAAACCTGAATTTAACTTTTTGAACATGTTTCTCACAAAACGCAACTTGACGCTGAATTATTTATTTATTTATTTATTTAAAGAACAGGGCCTTGCTATGTTGCCTAGGCTGGTCTCAAACTCCTGGGCTCAAGCGATCCTCCTGCCTCGGCCTCCCAAGTGCTGGGATTACAGGCATGAGCCACTGTGCCCTGCCTAATTTAACTCTTGCACCATATGAAATGTTTTTCAGACATCTCATGTTTGATGAATAAATCAACTGAATTTGAATAAAAAATGTAATAAAAATTTTCATGCCTCACAGCGTGACCTGTTGTGATAATGGCATTTAATCATAACAGCATAATAGGTTTGTGTTTTTTTGAGACAGGGTCTCACTGTCTCCCAGGCTAGAGTGCGGTGGCGTGATCTTGGCTCACTGCAGCCTCCGCCTCCCAGGCTCAAGTGATCCTCACACCTCAGCCTCCCGAGTAGCTGGGACTACAGGCACACACCACCACGCCTGGCTAATTGTTTGTATTTTTAGTAGAACCGGGGTTTCACCATGTTGCCCAGGCTGGTATCAAACTCATGAGCTCAAGTGATCTGCCGCCTCGGCCTCTCAAAGTGCTGGGATTACAGGCATGAGCCACCATGTTTGGCCAGCATAATAGGTTTTTAAATGGTTACTAAATATCTTTAATCTTTGAGGAAAAAATTTTATGAGCAAAATTAGGATGCTAATTTGGTTATATTTTAGGTGTCAGTAGCTTACTTCTTCCTCTCTAATAAATACACCAAATTACTGACATGGTCCTAGACTTTTCAATCTAACTCACTAACATATATTAGGAGACATTTTATATCTCTCCATCATTTGCACCTTTTTTTCTGTCAGCAATGTTATGTCATTTTCAGTGTATTTTTTTTTTTTGAGATGGGAGTTTCACTCTTGTTGCGCAGGCTGGGGTGCAGTGGTGGGATCTCGGCTCACAGCAACCTTCACCTCCTGGGTTCAAGCAATTCTCCTGCCTCAGCCTCCTGAGTAGCTGGGATTACAGGCGTGCGCTACCATGGCTGGCTAATTTTGTATTTTTAGTAGAGACAGGGTTTCACCATGTTGGTCAAGCTGGTCTCTAACTCCTGACCTCAAGTGATCCACCTGCCTTGGCCTCCCAAAGTGCTGGGATTACAGGTGTATTGGGCCTGGCCTCAACGTATTTTATTGAAGTTATCTAAAAGTATCTTATGTTTTATGAGAAGGCCTATGAATGCAGTTTTGTTTTTTGATATAACAGTAAATAGTATTTTTAAAAAAATGTTTCTAATAGCTTTTTGCTGGCATTTAGAAATACTATTGATTACATATATAGAACTTGTACTTTACTCCCCTGCTGAACTCACTATTCTAGTTGCCTTTTCCTAGATTCTATGGGGCTTTTTACATAGATGATCATATACTCTGCAAATAAAGACAGTATTATTTCTTGCCAATCTGTAAACCTTTTATTTTTCTTGCCTGAATGTACTGGCTAGGCGCTCTAGTACAATAATGAATAGAAGCGGTGAGAATGGACATCCTTGTTTTATGCCTGCTCTTAGGGAGTTCTGTAATCCAATACTATCTTAATCTTAGTAAAGACCACGCAGAGCACAGCACTAAATTTTGGGAGACTAGGCAACTGATTCTGTTATCTTTGCCAAAACATGTTGTTTGATTCCTTTTTTCCCCAGAGGTCAAATCCTATTTAAAGTGTTTTCAGAGAACTTAATTGGGGTAACAATGCAGCCCAATACCTGTCAACAGCATGAATACTCTTTGCTATAATATAATGCTCATTGTTAATCTTGCTTTTTCAGGAAATGAGACTAGTGTCTGATCTACAGTTTGCCATGTTCTAGCTACTTTACATTAATACAACAATTACAAAAATAACTAAGGGTTTATTATGGCATATTCCCAATGACAAAATACAAATGAAGTAACAAAGTCATTAATTGGGAGTACATGTTTAGTATCAAATTTATCTTTTTATTTAAAGTAAGTCTTTGAATGCCAATAATCATAAGTACTCTATGGCTAGCTACCTCAGGGATCATGCTTGTGAAGTTAGTTTTACTTGGATCCAAGGCAGATATCCTACATCAAAGAACATCAAACATGCGCCATTCCTTCTAATGGGTTAGTTAATGTGAATGGGTTTGTAAGAAGGGGGAAGCGTATCAATGCTTACGTCCTTGGGAAGCTGAAGTAGGTGGATCGTTTGAGTCCAGAGTTCCAGACCAGCCTAGGCAACATGGTGAAACCCCGTCTCTACTAAAAATACAAAAAAACTAGCTGGGCATGGTGGCATGTGCCCATAGTCCCACCTACTTAGGAGGCTGAGGTGGGAGAATCACCTGAGCCTGGGGAAGTCGAGGCTGCAGTGAGCTGAAATTGTGCCTCTGCACTCCAGCCTGGGCAATCGGAGTGAGACCCTGTCTCAAAAGAAAAACAAAAACAAACAAAAACTGAGATCAACACTTCTGTCCTAACATATGTGGTGAATGTAGTAGGGGCAATTCTTAGTCATTTTAACATGCTTAGTTAATATTTTCACTTACTGACACCTAATAAAGGCAGCAAGTCTGAAACTAACAAATAATCATTAATGTTTCTCCAGACACACTCTAATCATTCTTCCAGGCTGCCAACTTCAGATCTACATTAACATAATGTGCTCTGGTGTGCCTGTAACAAACATGTCATGTGCAGAGCACATATTTATGCAAAACAATGAACTACTCCTGATATCTCAGGAGTCTGACTAATCCATATTTAAAACTACATTTTCTCCAATTGCTCTTTATTTTTCTCCCTAATTTCATTAATAAATACAACTATTGAGCTCTTTAAAAGGGCTGGCCTAATTCATCTGTATACCCTTAGTACCAAGTATAATATCTGGCACATAACAGGAACTCAAAAATGTTTTCTGAATAAACTTAAGAAGGGTTATTAGCTAGATTTTCTTTATGTTGTTTAACTTGAGTCTCCGCTTAATATCATGGAAACAAACGAAAATATTTTTAGGCAATTACTATGTAAATGAGTTAATTACTCAATAAGTAGCCAGAAATGTCCTTCACTCCAAAACCGAGTCAATTTTTTTTCTTTTTCTTAAAAACAGGTAGAGCTGGGTGCGGTGGTTCACACCTGTAATCCCAGCACTTCAGGAGGCTGAGGTAGGCAGATCACTTGAAGTCAGGAGTCCAAAACCAGCCCAGCCAACACGGTGAAATCCTGTCTCTACTAATAAAACACAAAAATTAGCTGGGCATGGTGGTGCATGCCTGTAATCCCAGCTACGTGGGAGGCAGAGGCAAGAGAATCACTTGAACCAGGGAGGGAGAGGTTGCAGTGAGCCAAGATTGTACCACTGCACTCTAGCCTGGATGACAGAGACTCCGTCTCAAAAAATAAATAAATAAAAAATAAAAACAGGTAGATAACCAAGAATTTTTGTTGTAGTTTTGTTTTTACTATGATTACTCAGGAATACCATTATTTAGTGAAACTTTTTTTAACTGTCAAAAGTGTTTGAGAAACTTCACCAAATAAATTACAAAGTGTCCTGGAAAATCTTGACACCACAATAATAAATTCTAAGTATGTCTATTTCTTTTAACTATGGAAACATGGTGTTTCTTTGGATTTTTGTGATTAATTTTTTCCATTTCCTATTTGTAACCTTATGCCTTCTATATCTTCCTTACTTGCTTTTTTTTTTTTTTTTTGAGACAGGGTCTTGCTCTGTCACCCAGGCTGAAGTGTAGTGGTGTGATCACAGCTCACCGTAGCCTCGACCTCCTGGATTCAAGCAGTCCTCCTACCTCAGCCTCCCAAGTAGCTGGGACTACAAGCATGCGGGGCCATGCCTGGCTAATTTTTATTTTTTTTTTTTGTAGACAGGGTCTCACTATTTTGCCCAAGCTGATTTCAAACTCCTGGGCTCAAGCAATCCTCTGGCCTTGACCTCTCAAAGTGTTGGGATCACAGGCGTAAACCACCATGAACAACCTTTGCCAATTTTTAATCCTTACTGATATTTGCTCTTTATCCAGACCAATACAGAGGAGTTCCTCAGAAGGATCGGTATAGGTGAAAATGGATTAGCAGATGCTCTTCAAATCAGTTTTAATGGTCCTATCGGAATTTTGAAAGTCAGAGTAGAATTTTAATAACTGGAAACATGACAATTCTTTGATACCTTTGGAGGAATCTGCTAACAAAGTCTTAAAAAAATTCTAGCTAAGTGCAAGCAACCTTTTTTCCATTGGCAATTAACTCTTATACATACCTAAAATAAAAATATATTGAGTCCTAGCCATGTTTTAGATAGTGTGACATATCAAATATTTGCCAATTGTCAAGTGGCAGTAACTGAAATTTTAATGAAAGATATTTACCGGAAGTAAAGTGACAATAGGTAATTTTTTAGGTAACAATTATATTGTTTTTGAAATTCTAGTGAATAGTCTCAACCTTAACAGAGATTACTCTGAATGTCATCTGAGATTACTTTTTGAATGTCAGCCATTATAGGTCAAAGTTTCATATGCTTTATGAATTACAATTTTAGTACCCAGCCATGTCAAGCCATGGAAAGAATACCAACACAGATGTGTTAAATCAGTTCACAATTTTAAAGCTGTAAAAGAACTGAGTTTGGTTGGTGCAGGGTTCTTCAACCTCGACACTTCTGGCATTATGAGTAGGATAATCCATTGCTGTGTGAGTGTGGGAACTGTCTTGTGTATTTTAGGATATTTGTGGCATCTCTGGCCTATGCCAAGTAGGTGCTGGTAGCACCTGCACTTGCTCACCATGTTCCTCGTGGGTTTAGAAGATAATCCCAAATGTTGAAATCCCAAAAGGCCAAAATCCCAATTGCAGGATAGCTGCATGTTAGGGCAGCTTTCATGGACTATCTCTGTGCAACTGCCCATAATCTATTCCTGTAATACATTTTCTCATTTGCCAAATTATTTTTTTCCACTATCTTAAACTGTCAGACTTTTTTTTAAAAAAATAATTCACCATGCTATGTATTTCATCTTTGCATCATGTCCAATACTGGAAGTGTAAACTGCAGAGACTGAGAGTTCTAATTTGTCTTATGCATTTTTTGCAAATTTGACTTCATGAAAGTACATTATCAGAACACTGACTTTGTGTGTAAGCACTGTGCATGTACCTAAAAACGCTGAAACTTCCTCAATAAATGAAGAGATAAGAAATGTCTTTTGCATATCTGCATTTGTGAAAGATAAAAATTTCTTGAGGTTTCACCCCTTTGGGCAACTGCATAAGTGAATAGTGAGTGACCCATTATAGTTTAATTTCTTGAGGTTTCAGCCCTTTGGGCAACTGCGTAAGTGAATAGTGAGTGACCCATTATAGTTTTTGATCTATCTCATCAAAAGACTTGTCACAGTATTTCAGATGACCAGTTATAAAGCTAGGTGCACACGACTACCAACCATCGTGACATGCTTTTATACATTTCCCTTTTTGATCTACTTCTTCATGAATACAGTTCATCTGCTCATAACTGTTACATGCATGTTGTGACTGTTAGTATACTTGTGTCTGCAAAATGTTACTATTGCCTTTCATTGCGTGAAATGACCTACAAAGTGTTGTCATGTTTTTGTTTCTTAAATAAATCCCCCTTTAAAAATGTAAACAAACATATTTTAAAGAAGTAAAAAAAGTACTTTTCCCACATTTATTATTTTCAACATTTTAGTCTTTTGTGACTGTGATTTTGAGGATTTTAGACTTTAGGGATTTTCATCTTTCAGGATTTCAACATTCAGGATTCTGTCTCTTGGAATTATGATTGGCTCTTCTCCCTCTCTGCTCAATGATGACAACCTAAAATATCTCCGCATTATCAGAGGTCTTCTCGGGGGTACGATCATTCCTAGATGAGAGTCACTGGGCTAGTCCAATTCCCCCACCGACAGATGACCAAACTCAAATCCAGAAAGTGTGGGACTTACTCAGGGTCATTTAGCTGTAGGAGAAACTAGCACTAGAACCTATAACTAGTCAGACTCCTATTCCAGTATTCTCATTTTACCACCCTGAAGTGGAATAGAAAGGTTACTGCTAGTACTGTGTGAACTGACATCTTTTAAAGTCTTTTGCACATATTTAAAGTCATTGCAAAATCAAAAACAAAAACACATGCTGAGTCTGCCAAAAAGCTTTTTTCCACGACAAGTTGTTTCCAAATCTTCCTGTGGTCTGGCCATGTGAGCCAAACTGAATTGTAGTCTTTTAACTGCTCAGGCTTATTTATTAGTGAGAGGCAGGAAATGTGTTATAAAAGCAAAATAATCCAGGCTGACTGAAGACACTAAATCTAGTCTTCCAAAACTGCCTTCACTAAGAGAACTTAATAGTCTCATCATTTGGTTGCAATGACTAATCCCCATTTTTAGTGAACAGAAAAAGTGCTTACAAAAATGTTTTAAGAAATCTGCAGTATTTTACTCCTCCGCCAGTTCTCCAAAGTCAATAGACACAAAGTCAATTGTGTAAAATATTATGGGATAACACACAAAATACAATATCTCATCATGAAAAAGGATAAAGAAGAAATCAGTATTTTTATGGGGTTATATTTATAGGTGTCTCTCTTGGAAAAAGGAATCTAAATTATTCTACAATATTCTGGCTCCCATCATCTTTCACTCTGAAGACAAAAAGCAACATAAGGCAACACAGCAAACACTAAAAAATTTGATACTGAACATGGCTGAATGTTTTACTTAGGTCTTCTGCAGTGGGATCAAGCACTATCAACTAAAATCATTCCCAAAACTGCTTTAAGCCTTATCTCATGATTTGCAACCAGCAGGCTGTTTGCAGACATATAGAACTATTATAGTAAGAACTCAAACATCTCTTAGATTAAGATGGATAAGAAATAGCATTTTGTGTTAGGGGCAATGTGTTGGAGAACTGCAAAAGCTCTCCCCATCCTTGGAGAGTCGACCAAAATTTAACATGGCCTCTAGAAGCCTAAGCCCACGTCCATGAGGGCAATCCAGCCCTCTTTTGAGCTCCTGTTGGAAAAGCCAGGCTGTCAAAAAAATTTTTACTGTTTGTTCTAGCCAACACCTAATAACAGCTCCCTGACTTCCCTTTTAAAAGGCATTTACTAAAAAGGGCTCACAACTACGAATCCTCCTCTGTTCCTTTGAGATGTGTTTGTACCTCTTACAACTCAGGAGTGTCTTTCTCAAGGACCTGAAAGCCATCGCTCTGAAATGTAACCAGGAAGGACTGGGCCTGACTCCCAGTCTCTGTGGGAGGATAGTATTTTATCTTAGATAATTCCCAGATAGGAGACACAGCTGGCCTACTTGCGTTTTTACAATGATCAGCACTTTGTAATTTTTCACCTCCCTGACTCTACTTGAGCCCTCTCTTCCCACTCCCTACTCCCTTCATCTCCCTTTAAAACTCGCAGTCATCTCGGTGAAAATAGGAATGGAGCTCAGTCTTTCCCCTCTGTCAGGAGTTGCGGAATAAAATCCTTTTTCAACGCTTTAACGTCCAGCTTCGTGTATCTCTGACATTGGTAGGTACATATTAAAACTCAGCTGGGCGCGGTAGCTCGCGCCCGTAGTCCCAGCTACTCCGGAGGCTGAGGCAGAAGGATCGCTTAAGCCCAGGAGCTGGAGGCTGCAGCGAGCTATGATCGCGCCACTGCACTCCAGCCTGGGCACAGCGAGACCTCCGTCTCTAAATTAGAGGATTAAAAGCACACACACATAAAACCCCAGATCACTATCAAGACGGGCCTATAAATCTTAGAAGCTTGTCTTATAGGGCCATATCCTCAAAAGCCTAGGATAACTCCAAAGTGATCCCCCCCTAAACCTCATCCCCTCTTCTCTTCCCCCAAGGGCCCCGCTACTTCCTGCTTTCCCCGATTCCTAAATCCACCTCTCCCTAAGCGTCCTACGTCAAAGTCTCTACTTTCCAGGATGCTGAACTTCACCAAACGGAAGCTTACTCTCTTCCACGTTTGGGCTTTTCTCTATTTATCCCTGTCCCCTCAATTTTCGAGTTTCCTCACCCCACTTCCCTTTCCCTGACGCTCCGGGTCTAGATTTCCTCCGGGTCTAGATTTCCTCTTGGTCGCCCCTAGTTTCCCACTCCGACCTCGGCTTCCTCCGCAAGCCGAGCGCCCCTTCCCTCCGCACTCCACTCGGAAGCCCTGGCGTCTCTTTCCGGGGGCGGCGGCCGGTGAGGGGTGCGCGGGACTCGGGCCGCGCCCTGGTCGGCCATTTCGCACACTCGGGGCGCGCCCGGCGGGCTGGGCGCGCGAGGCCTGTCCTGGAGCGCAGGAGTTGAGGGGCTGAAGACCGGGCCGCCCCCGCCGCCGGGGCGGGAACTCACCTTCTCTGAGGCAGGGGCGGGCGTCTACAACTACTGTCCCCCGCCCCGCCAACGCCGCCAGCCAGGGGATAAGCCGCGGTGGAGGTGGCGGAGAGGCAGGAACAACCGCTGCCGCCACCGCCGCCTCCGCCGCCGAGCAGGCTGGATGGGAGGAGGAGGCGGAGACCCGGCTTCCTGAGGGGAAGTCGCCGCCACTACCGGCTTATGACTGGACAGCACAGACGCCATGGCGGCGAGACGCGCTACTGCGCTTGCGCGGCCAGCCCAGCGCCCAGGAAGCCTCTTGAGCCCCGCCTTGCTGCTTGCTTCGCCCGCTTGGCCTGGCAGTTCCCGGCGCGGCTCTAATGTCTTGCTGGCGCGACTGGTTTTGATCCTGTCCGTCTGCCCTCCTTTTTGGGGCAAGGAAAAGTTCGTGGGGGTCGCTCGCTCGCCTTGGGAGAATGAATATAAAGCCAACTGATTAAAAAAAAAAAAACTGGAAATTTACAGTTCCACCCTCAAAGTATCTCAAAAATACATGATCTGTTGCCTTATCAACAGAACCTACAATATAGGTTCGTGTAACAAATGCGCAGTAAGCCAAACACCGACATATTCAGTGCTTAGGAGCGGGGGAAGGTTTATTCCGTTTGGCCAAAGCGAGAGAGCGGGAGAAGAAGTCTCTCAAATACTGACATGCCTTAGAACGTAACTGGGGGGCCTTTATGAGTAAGGTAAGAATACAGAGGGTGGGATCCCCCATGATCAAAGCTGTTTCCTCCCTGGGACTCTAGGTCTCATCTGCCCCATTAGATGATGCCCCATCTGGACCATCAAGGAGGTCTGCGTGACCTAAGGGTCATGGTTGTTTTGTTTGTGATAGGGTCTCGCGTTGTCGCCCAGGCTGGAGTGCAGTGGTGGGATCACCACTCACTGCAGCCTCGACCTCCCAGGCTCAAGCGATCCTCTCACCTCAGCCTCCCAAGTAGCTGGGACCGCAGGCATGCACACATGCCCGGGTGATTTTTGTTCATTTTTTATAGAGATTGGGCAGGGGGTGGGGATGTCTCACTATGTTGCCCAGGCTGGTCTTGAACTTCTGGGCTCAAGTGATCCACTAACCTCGGCCTCCCAAAGTGCTGGGATTACAGGCGTGAGCCACCGTGCCAGGTCCATTGTTCTTTAAAAGAAAAACAAGTTCATCAATCTTGCCTGCACTCTGGGGTTAGGATATGAAGTTAATCAATCACTAGTGACTACCCTCTACTGAAATGACTACGTGCAAGCAAGCATGCATGGAGGAAGAAAAAGACAAAGAAAAGGAATATAAGTAAAACAAAACATTTTATGATCTTTACAATAAAGCCTCAGTTATAATCTTTCCTTTATTATGCCCTAAATACACAGAGTAGATTAAGCACAATCCTTTGTCATCATACGTCGTCATCATTGGTCCATAAATGACCTTTTTCTCTCTCTCCCTGTTGCTCTTTCAGCATGTACATCTATAATATACATTATACACACAAATATGTATGTATGTGTATATCTCATCATCTCATCCCCTGTTTCCCAAAGAAATCACTAACCTGGTTTGTATTCATCATTTCCTTTCTCTATTTATTATCACACATAGGCATGGCTAAAACACATTTAGATTGTTTTTAAACGTTATAAGATTTACACCTTTATGCAGTACGCTGGGACTCGTTTGTTTCACTTAATATTTTGAATTTCGTCTAAGCTGTTGAAGACAGCTGTAATTTGTTCATTTCACTGCTGGACACGACTCCACTGATTTTCCTGTTGATGGGCACGTCTCCTGGTATACTGTGGAAGAGTTTATTTTGGGTATTCTCTACTTTCCTGTCACATTGCCGTTGCCTTATTTCAGATTCTCATCAACTCTTGCTAGAAACGTGCTAAGATCTCCCTCTGACTTCAACTGCTCCAGTCTACTCTCCATATTGCTGCCAAAGGGTTCTCTCTAAAAGTCATTACTGGCTCCCCAGTGTCTGTTGGAAAAGGTCAAACTGAGTACTATGAGGTTTCTGTGCACCTCCCTGATCTCATTATCTTTCCACTGCCCTTACCTCCCCACCCTGCTATTACTTGTGATTCAGCAACATTAAACCTATACTGATTCCTGTAAATACCACACTATTGCAAAACTCAACTCACAGTACTGTATACGCTTCTCCCTCTTTCTGGAATGCCCTCTTCTCCACTTCCTCACGAATTTCTCTTTCCCTCAGAAATAAATACTATTCTAAATTCAGCATTTTTCATTTCCATGTATTTCTTTATAATTTTACTACATATGTATGTACCCCTAAGTAACATGAAATATTGCATTGCATGGTTTAGAACTTTACGTAAGTGTTATTATACATACTGTTTATTCATCTGCAATGTTTTTTACATGGCCTTTTTTATATTAACTCATGCTGATATGTGAGGTTCTCATTCACTTTCACCGTTCAATAATATTCCATTTTATGAATGCACCACTACTTACCCTTTCTCCTACACGTTTTCGGTAGACACTGAGTTTGTTTCCTATTTTTGCTCCTCCAGTTGGTGCTGCTTTAACCTTCTTGTGCAGTCTCCTTGTGCGTGTGGATCAAAGTTTTTCCAGGTTTTATACTTTGGAGATGTTTTTCACAAGGAGGCCTCAGACATATTTCTTACTTCTCTGAACCTCCATTTTTTTCATCTTCAAAATGGCCACAATATCCACCTCAAAGGGTGCCATGAAACTTGTGGTAACGTAAGCAAAGAACAATGTCACACATTCGAAGAGATGTTGCTGTTAGAATAGCTTTCAAATGTATATGAAACACTGGGACATAAAATGCAGTAGTCTGGTGCCAGATGGTAAAGAGAAGTATACTACTTATGCATCTGTAGCTCCCGCAGTAGCCTCCCAATTGCAGTTGTTGCACCTGTCACGCTGTTTCTTGGCCTTCATGTCTCTGCACATGCTGCCATGTCCTTGGGTCTGAAGTGATCTCCTCTGGTTCTGAGATTCTGGTCACCCTCCCTACTTCTCTTGTCTGTCTCTTCTCCGAAGCTTTCGTTGGTTCCTCAGAGCCCTGGATACCCTTCCCCTTAGCCTCCTATCTCTCACCACCCTTACATGCTCTTCCATAATCCCCTTTAAAGGTCAATGTCTTGAAGACAGGGCCTACATTTTACACATCTTTATTTTATTTTATTTTATTATTTTTTGAGACAGAGTGTTGCTCTGTTGCCAGGATGGAGTTCAGTGGCGTGATCTCGGCTCACTGCAACCTCTGACTTCCTGGTTCAAGTGATTATCCTGCCTCAGCCTCCTGAGTAGCTGGGATTACAGGCACGTGCCACCATGCCCAGTTAATTTTTGTATTTTTAGTAGAGACAGGGTTTCACCATGTTGGCCAGGATCATCTCGATCTCCTGACCTTGTGATCCGCCCGCCTCGGCCTCCCAAAGTCCTGGGATTACAGACATGAGCCACCGCGCCTATTTTACTTTATTTTTTGAGAGAGGGTCTTGCTCTGTCACCCAGGCTGGAGTGCAGGAGTATGATCGTGGCTAACTGCAGCCTTCTCCTGGGCTCAAGTCATCCCCCAGCCTCAGCCTCCTGAGTAGCTGGGGCTACAGGTGTGCTCCACCACACCCAGCTAATTTTTGTATTTTTTGTAGAGACGGGGCTCTCAGTATGTGGACAAGGCTGGTCTCGAACTCCTGGACTAAAGTGATCCTCCTGCCTTGGCTTCTCAAAATGGTAGGATTACAGGTGTGAGCCACCATGCCCAGCCTTACTCATCTTTATATCTGGGGCAGTGGGCACGGTGCCTGATACACGGGCTGATAAATGCATGCAGGATGAGTGAATTTAGGAATTCTTGGGAGGAAAGGATTGCACAACTAAGGATTTCTTGGAGCCAGAGGGAGAAAGAGGGAAGCAAGCATGCTTTTTTAGTAAGAACACATGGACTAGAGAGTGTGAAGTTTTGTCAAGGATGCAATTATGCAGGATATCATGGATAATCAAGGAGGACACCTGTTCCTGTCACCCTGGAATGTGAATGGTAGTTGTGCACAAGAACTTCTTCCTTGATCAGGTCCCTCACACAGTGTATGAAATGAATGAATGAATCAGTCAGTGAATGTACTTGAAAGCAGTGAGCTTCTCCCCAACTCTGGGCCTATGTGACATTGCCAGGTATTAAGCTATTATTAATCTAAGCATGGGTTGGCAAACGTTTTGTATAAAAGGTCAGATAGTAAATATTTTCAGCTTTGTGGGCCATATGTTCTCTGTTGCAATTATCCAACTCTGCTGTTGCACTGTGAAAGGAGCCATAGAAAATACGCAAAAAAAATGAGTGCAGCTGTTTTCTAATACACTTTTATTTATGGTCACTGAAATCTGAATTTCATGTAATTTTCATGTGTCACAAAATAGTTTGTTTTTTTTTTTTTCTGAAGTAGGATCTCACTCTGTCACCCAGGCTTAGTGCAGTGGCACAATTTCGTCTCACTGCAGCCTTGACCTCTGGGGCTCAAGTGATCTTTCCACATCAGCCTCCCGAGTAGCTGAGACTACAGTCGTGCAACAACTTGCCTGGATAATTTTGTTTATTTTTTATAGAGATTAGGTCTCACTATGCTGCCCAGGCTGGTCTCAAACTCCTGGGCTCAAGCTATCCTCTTGCTTTGTCCTCCTGAAGTGTTGGTATTACAGGCATGAGCCACGGCACCTGGCCAAAATAGTCTTTTGATTTTTTTCCCAACCATTAAAGAAGGTACAAACCATTCTTAGTTTGGAGGTTAAGGAACCTTGACCTTGGTCTAATTGAACCTTAGCTCTGGGTACAAAGGAGGTCAAATCCAGGGATAAGGGCTGTCCTTTAACTAAAGTAGTCTTCAGATATAAAATCTTGCAGCTCCTTTGATCTGCCACTAGATGGTGATCATTGCAGGTGTGTGGCTCAGCCAGTGGGTCTTTCAAAGAGATGACTGGAGCTCTTCCAGGTATGATAGATAGATTAACAGCTACAGTATTAATACAGACACACAAGCTGTCCCAATGATTCAAGACGTATCACAAACCACATGGATTTGATTGCTATCTACACTCTTTCACACTTATTTGTACATATTCCCTGAATTGCAACATACAGGGGAAATGTACTCACTCTCTCAAGGCCTCTGAGGTTATTAGCTCAAAGGCTCAGAGCAGTAGTACAAACACAGACTACAGTTAAAGATTTGGGGGCTGCAAAGTGGCATCTGGGAACAGATTCTACCTATGATGCAATTTAACAAGTAGAGCCCCTTCTTACATTAAGAGGATACTTGAAGCCATGCCTAGCCTTTTGATGATACACTGATAACTCTCCCAAAACAGCCCCTACTCCTGGCCTCATCATGTCCCTTTCTTCTACCTTTGAGCTACCTTTGATTAGGGACCCAGCATGACCCTTGCTTCGTAAATCCTGCATCAATTGCCTCTCACATTCTTTAGGGTGAGGGAATGCTGGGTATCCATAGGAATGTTCTTGGCTTGTGTGTGTATGTGTGTGTTGGGGAGGGGTTGTGTATGTGTGTGTGTATGTGTGTGTTGGGGAGTTCAGCTGAAATAGAGACAGAGCGATGGCCTGGACATCTTGTTCCTTAGTGGTAATTTTTGTCATCCCCTTGTCTGAAATCTCCCAGCTCAGCCTCTTTCCTGGACCAGGAGCTCTTTGGCTTGAGCTATTTCATTCTTCTCCCTTTCTCACTACCCTTCTTTATTCAGATACAAAAAAAGAAGGTGCCTGGATGCTTACTAAAACCACTAACAATGGAAAAATTGACATCTTCCTGGAGTGGAGAAGGGCTTATCTACAGAAACATGACTGTGAAGGTCTGTGAAGCTCAAGTCTACGATCCTAATCACTATATCACATGGTCACACAGTTATGTCCACCCTGGCCCCTAGATTGATCTCTTAGGAGATGCAGAATGGATCTACTTTTTCCGTATTTCAAGATGTAAGACATCAACAATGGCTGTCATGTGTTTCCTGAATTTTTTTTTTCTCCGAGATGGAGTTTTGCTCTTTTGTCCAGGCTGGAGTGAAGTGGTGTGATCTCGACTCACTGCAACCTCTGTCCTCCACCCCGGGTTCAAGTGATTCTCCTGCCTCAGTCTCCCTAGTAGCTGGCATTATAGGTGCCCACCACCATGCCCAGCTAATTTTTGTGTTTTTAGTAGAGACACGGTTTCGCCATGTTGGCCAGGCTGGTCTGGAACTTCTGACCTCGGGTGATCCACCTGCTTTGGCCTCCCAAAGTGCTAGGATTACAGGCATGAGAGCCACCGTGCCCGGCCTGCTTCCTTAATCTTTTCTTCTCTGCCCAGTCATCTCCAATAGGTCAATAATGAAGCAGCCTAATTGTCTGGGGTGACATCTGAGGTTTGTTGTCTCACAGCCATGGAGATTAAGAATGTGGACACACAAAGAGTGAGGTTAACAGCAAAAATTCAACAGGCAAAATAAAGAGAATAGCTTTCTGCTACAGAGAGGGGTCCCAGAAAAATGGGTTGTTGATCCACGCTGAAATGAAGAGGGTTTTATAGACGAGCTAGTGGGGAGGTGGTGTCTGATCTACATAGGATGTGAAAAATGGGTTAGGACCAGGTGTGTCATCTGCACAGGGCTCGAATCTCTGACAGCCCCCACCCCAATCTTTTATTATGCAGGTGGGTTTTCTACCTGAGCTTCTCTTTGTGGCCCATTTCTTTTTTACTGTACACATGCTAACAAAAAAGGGAAGGCAGAGCCCCATGTTCGACATGCCTGGCCCCCAGGTAGCCCTTTTCTATTGGTGCAGCTGCCAGCATCCCCTGTGCAAGCTTCCAGCTTCCTTATCTATGTTTGCAGTTCGGTCTTCCAGGCTGTTCTTTGCTAGAAGGAAATGATTTCTAGGGCTGCTTTTTGTTAGAAGGGAAGTTCTGCTGCGCACTCTTTTGCCCTCACTCTCTGCCTAAACAGTTTTTTTTTTTTTTTTTTTTTTTTGAGACAGAGTTTTGCTCTGTCACCCAGGCTGGAGTGCAGTGGCATGATCTCGGCTCACTGCAACCTCCACCTCCCAGGTTCAAGTGATTCTCATGCCTCAGCTTCCCTAGTAGCTGGGATTACAGGCATGCACCACCACTCCTGGCTAGTTTTTGTATTTTTAGTAGAGACGGGGTTTTACCATGTTGGCCAAGCTGATCTCGAACTGCTGACTTCAAGTGATCCACCCACCTTGGCCTCCCAAAGTGCTGGGGTTACAGGTGTGAGCCACTGTGCCCGGCCTAAATAATTTTTCTATCTCCTGTATCAATAAGAAATCTTTTCAAAACTCTAGATGTGCTTTTTCTCAAGACAAAGACCAGTAGTTCTCAATGGAGGCAAATCTACTACATAGGAAGCATTTTAGAAATGTGGGAAGAACTTTTGTTTGTCACAATGATTGCAGGATGCTACAGGCATATTCTCGGCAGCACCAAAGTCATCAAAAAAGGGTTGGATTTCAGTAGGGGGAAAAACAAACTGGGAAGGGCTGCAGCACAGGCAGATGGGCAAAAAACTTTTACATAGGATTGATGTTGATACGTGACATATGAAGGCCTTATGCCCCCTTCCCCACCAACAGTCTGGGAACTACTGTCAACTCTGTGTCCTTAATCCTGGCCAGAGATGCTAGATCCCCTGAGAAGCAGGGGACAGCCTGGTACAATGAAGACTCTCTGCCCACCCCGCACAGCCTCAAATATCTGTATGTGCTCTTCAGGTAGGCAAAAAGCCAGTTTATGATTGTCTGAGTCTGGAAATCCATTTTGTAAGTAATCGTAAAGTAGTTTTTGTAAAGTTTTAATATATGCTGAATTTTCCAGCAATGCAACTTCTTGTTAACCAAAGAAAGATCAAACTTTATTTTGTTTAGAACTCCCCTAAGAGTCGCTCACCATTTCAGAAAATTATGGTCACAGGCAACAATATGGTATTTGTGTCCTCAAAATCAATCTGCATTTTTGTTCTCACTATCATAGTGATTCCACTTAGAGGTACAAACATCTAGCCATTTTATCTCATCTTCTAATATAGTTGTACCCAAGCATATGCATAGTGAGCACATTTACACATTTAATTTACAATAAATAGATATTACTACAAATTAACTTTGATTTTCTTTCACCTTTGTTAGATTAGACTAGTCATTTTTCTTAGGTATAAGAACGAATAAATTATATTATGTAAGAATTTCACTTTAAAGTAACAAAAAGCATGTTACATAATATTTACTATAATGAGACTAATATAGTAAATATTTACTATATTTACTATTGCTGCTGTGACAAAATATGACAAATTTAGAGACTTTAAAGAACATAAATTTATTATCTTACAGTTCTGGTGGTCAGAAGCCAGAAATGGACTTTACATGGCTGAAATCAAGGTCCGCAGGGCTGTGTTCCCTCTGGAGGTTCTAGGGTAAGAATCTGTTCCCTGGCCTTTTCCAGTTTCTTGGCTCATGGCCGCTTCTTCCATCTTTAAAGTCAGCAACACAGCCCCTTCAATATCTCTCTGACTCTGACCCTCTTGGTTGCATTGTCGCATCTCCTCTGACCCTGGCCCTCCTGCCTTCCTCCTATAAGGATCCTCATGATTACATTGGTCCTACCAGGATAATCTAGGATAATCTTCTCATCTCAAGATCCTTAACTTGATCACATTCACAAAGTCCCTTTTGCCATATAAGGTAACATATTCACAGATCTAAGCATTAGAATCTGCACATCTTTGGGGCCTGTTATTCTGTCTACCACCCTTTAATAATATAATAACCATTGTTCTGATAAGGTTGAGGCCCACAGGTATAATTAAAGTCCTGGGCTTCCTCTCTCCATATGGTCTTGGGGCTGGTAAATTTCTTCCTTGTCCGTGGCTTGGGCTGAACCTGCTCCAAGAGTGCCTAGTCTAGGGAACAAGCTCATCTGAGCCAGGCTGAGCCCCTGGCCCCTGAGGGCAGACAAGTTATTGCAAGACCCTGAGTTGCCAGGCAATGTGGATACAGGGTATTCATTGGGAGTCAACCTGGATTGAAAAAAACCTTTTTTTTTTTTTTTTTTTGAGATGGAGTATCGCTCTGTCACCCAGGCTAGAGTGCAGTGGCATGATCTCGGCTCACTGCAACCTCCGCCTCCTGGGTTCAAGTGATTCTCCTGCCTCAGCCTCCTGAGTAGCTGGGACTACAGGCGTGTGCCACTACGCCCAGCTAATTTTTGTATTTTTAGTAGAGACGCGGTTTCACCATGTTAGGCAGGATGGTTTCAATCTCCTGGCCTCGTGATCTGCCTGCCTTGGCCTCTCAAAGTGCTGGGATTACAGGGAAAAAACCTTTTTAATATTTCCTCTCCTCTCCTCTCCTTTCCTGAAAACCCCTCCCCTCCCCTTCACTTCGCTTTCCTTCCCTTCCCTCCCCTCCCCTCCCTTCCCTTCCCTCCCTTCCCCTCCCTTCCCCTCCCCTTCCCTCTTTTTTCCTGAGACAAGAGCTTGCTCTGCTACTCCTCCCCTCCCCTCCCCTCCCCTCCCCTCCCCCCCTCCCCTCCCCTCCCCCCTCCCCTCCCCTCCCCCCCTCCCCTCCCCTCCCCCCCCCCCCTTCCCTCTTTTTTTTCTGAGACAAGATCTTGCTCTGTCACCCAGGCTGGAATGCAGTGGCATGATCATGGCTCCCTGCAACCTCTGCCTCATGAGCTCAAGTGGTCCTCCCACCTCAGCCTCCTGAGTAGATGAGACTACAGGCATGCGCCACCATGCCTGGTTTATTTTTTGTATTTTTGGTAGAGACAGGGTTTCACCATGTTGCCCAGGCTAGTCTCAAACCCCTGGGCTCAAGTGATTCACCCGCCTCGGCCTCCCAAAGTGCTGGGATTACAGGCATGAGCCACTGCGCCTGGCCTTCTTTCTCTTTTTTTTTTTTTTTTTTTTTTTGAGACGGAGTCTTGCTCTGTTGCCCAGGCTGGAGTGCAGTGGCGTGATCTTGGCTCACTGCAAGCTCTGCCTCCCCGGTTTACGCCATTCTCCTGCCTCAGCCTCCCAGTAGCTGGGACCACAGGCGCCGGCCACCACGCCCAGCTAATTTTTTGTATTTTTAGTAGAGACGGAGTTTCACCGTGTTAGCCAGGATGGTCTCGATCTCCTGACCTTGTGATCCACCTGCCTCGCCTCCCAAAGTGCTGGGATTACAGGCGTGAGCCACTGTGCCCGGCCTCTTTCTCTTTTTTTAACTCTCTGTTTTGTAGAATTGTTTTTCCCCTTGGGAGCATGCAGTGTTTACTTTTTGAGGCACCTAACTTTACATGTCTTAAGTTATTTTGCTCTTCAGTGTACATCAGAAGCTGCAGAGATATTCTCTTGCTGTCATGGCTATGTATTCTTACCTAAAAATCAGGATATATGATCAGACAATGAACTTTCAACATGCTTCCAAGAGTCGAAGGTGTTTTGGGAGATTCAATTGGTTGAAGACATGTTAAAATTTCTGGTACATCGTGATAGTTTAGGGAGGATAATGTGACAGAGTAAATAAAATAGAATAGCTATCACTTAATGAGTACTTTATGAAGTGCTAAGTGCTGTGTTATCCCCTTTTACATATTATCTAACTCTCACAATCCAGTGAGGTAGAAATTATCACCCTTGTTTCACAGGTTCCATCTCAAGTGGTAGTAGCAGGCTTAGAATTCAAACTCAGATTCATCTGACTCAGAAACCATACACTCAGAAAAATCCAGGAAATGCCCCTGCCCACTGCCCCCCACCCCCGCCGTCACCCCCACCCCCAACCCCCACCAGGAAATAGATGCATCCCAGGAACTAAAAATCTTACATGGAAGTCAAGCCAGAGCTCCAGATCTGCAAGTGTATTTCTTTTAAACCTCAGTAAAAGCTGCCTGATAGCCAAGAACAGTGGCATTTAGTTCAACGGGGATTTTAGATTCGTCTTTCCAGTGTCCTCACTCCTGAGTAAGAAGAAGGACAGAGCACGTTGGTATTTTCCTGGCAGCAGACACATGTTAAAGGAAATTTGATAGAAAGATAGAGATGGGGGTTGCTATTTTTATAGCCTGCCTTGTCTGTATCCAGCCTGCCTCCAGCATACCAGCATCACCAGCAGTGCTAAGAACAGGGAATTCCATGCTGTGGAGTAGGGGGTGCTGTAAGAGCCCCAGGTGATACTGGAGAGGAAAAATGCCCCCTTGGAGCCTAAATAGTACTGTTACGTATATGCCAAGGGCTCAGTTTAGCTTCTTCTTATTATTTATTTATTTATTTATTTATTTATTTATTAATTTTTTGTTGAGACGGGGTCCCACTCTGTCGCCCAGGCTGGAGTGCAATGGCGCGATCTCGGCTCACTGCAACCTCTGCCTCCCAGGTTCAAGCAATTCTCCTGCCTCAGCCTCCTCAGTAGCTGGGATTACAGGCGCCCGCCACCACGCCCAGCTAATTTTTGTATTTTTGGTAGAGACGGGGTTTCACCATGTTGGTCAGGCTGGTCTTGAACTCCTGACCTCAGATGATCCATGTGCCTCGGCCTCCCAAGGTGGGGATTACAGGCGTGAGCCACCGTGCCCAGCCCTCAGTTTAGCTTCTGCTGCTAAACAGTCCACCCTTGGGAGAGAGACTGAAAAGGGTGGGGCGAGGGCCCATCTCACTTGAGAAAGTGCAAGCCTGACAGCTGAAGGGTCCCAGAGCAGCAAATATCACCTTGTTTCTATGGGACCATTCCAGCTGTCTGCTTTTGATTGACAGAGGCATCTGGCTGCTAAAAATACCCTCCTGACCAAATGTTCCCTACTCCAACTAAAGCCGAACAGGATTGTTGCAGTTCAGAACTTAGCACATACAGATAGCTTCTGCTTGCAATGGAACCTCTCAAAACTTTTCAGGCCCTATGCCATATTAACCCATGGTCATTTTCTGTTCTGTCGGCTTTGCTGGGTGATGAATGAAACTCTTCCCAGTTCACTTGTTCTCTTGTCTGTCCCATCCCCACCTCCAGGAAAAGTAGCAGAGGGGGAGGTGAGGGCCCAGTAGCTGAGAGCGAGTAGGGAAGGGGAGGTGGCTTGTCCATTTATAGTCTTGCTCTTTGGGATGCTGAAGGTGCTGAAATAGCAATGACAAGAGACTTGGCTCAGTGTTAAATAACTGCCGCGCTGGCCTGACAGTCTCTGAGATGACAATAGGGAGAATGGAGAACGTGGAGGTCTTCACCGCTGAGGGCAAAGGAAGGGGTCTGAAGGCCACCAAGGAGTTCTGGGCTGCAGATATCATCTTTGCTGAGCGGGCTTATTCCGCAGTGGTTTTTGACAGGTATGAAATGTGGGGAGTTGCCTTCTCTCCTGTTAGTTTGGCTGGGGCCAAACTCTAAAATACTTTGCTCTCAAAAATCATCAGGGGAAGGGATAAAATTCATGTGCTCTTTTTTCAACAAAATGGCACTTCTGAGAGCTAATTTTTCTGGCACAAATTTTTCTGCAAGGGATCATTGCCAGTGTGATTTGCTGTGGCTCCTAGAAGGGTGGTGAAGGTGAGCAAAGGCTTCGGGGGCACTTTCTCCCAATACTGGCCAACTTGGCTGAGAGGGTGTGCTGGGAGTGGAAAGGTGGGTGTGGTGCTGTGGGAAACATTTTCCGACAGAAAGCTCTATATTTTTAGCTTTCTTTTTATTATAAATACATTACCAGATAAAGTAATTGCTGAGACTTTAAAAATTATGAACTATTTGTATATTTATAATTATGAATAACCCAGGAATCCACTTTCCCTTGAAAAATCTGAGTATCACCCAATCCCAGTCCCCTCTGTCTTTCCTCAGATATTACCCCTGCTATTATTTCAATGTATTTCCTTCTAGAATGTTCCTGTGCTATTACATACATATATCTGCACTTAACAAGATGGATGGCTGTAGTCTGTCTGGTTTTTTTTTTTTTTTTACAGAAATGGTGTCATACTTCAGATGTCATTTTAGAACTCACTCTTTTCCCTAAACAACACGTTTTTGATGTCTATCCTTGCAGGAACTTTAAATCTATAGATACTTCTTTTAAATTCCAAAGATCTATTTCCTTTATAGAGCTATCCATATAGATTCATATGCCATATGAATCATCAATCTTAATTTTAAATATTTCATCCTATAAATATATGACATTTTATTTATCCATTCCCCTATTGAGAGACAATTGGTAGTTTTTAATTTTTCATGAAATAAAATGAAAATCCTTGATCGTGTCTACCTGTACATATGTTCGATTGTTCTCCAGGGCACAGGACTAGAAGAGGAATTGCTGGGCCGTAGGATGTGATGTTTTCAGTTTTATAGGCTCTCCAAACAGGCTCTATTAAATTTACATTCCCGCTTCCTCACGACCTTGGCCACACTAGACTACCAAGCTTTTAAATTAGTAATAAATCTTCATTTTAAACAAACCTACATGGTGATTACATTAAATTGTCAATATTTTCTGAGATCAAGGTTGGGGTGACCTGCTTGACATCTATGTGGTTTGAGTCTGATAACCTAGGCTTTGTGGTTGGCTGGCTGCACTGACCACCCTGGGAAAGGGCACTGCTTCCCACAGATAACTTGATTAGTATTCACATTCTCTTGTCTTCCTGCCCACTAAGACCTTCAGGGAAAAGGGTGTGAACTGGGGCATATGGCTCACCACCACTTGAGGAAAATAAGGGGCTGAGGTGACTTTTTCAGGGGGAGCTTGTCTTATTTCATTAATCTGTGTGTGTGTATGTGTATGTGTCAGGGGAGGGGTGAGTACAGTTAGGGAGCCAGCTGGATTCAGAGTGAAAACAACCCAGAAACACAGGGACTGTCAACACTAATTCTGGCGCTGCCAGTGAGTTACTGCCTGGCCTTGTGAAGAACATCTCCATTTGCTGCTTCCAATTCCCCAAAGTCAATCTAGCCAATCAGTTCCATTTCAAGAAGGTTAAAGTTGAATGGGCTTTCATTCCATTATAAAAGCAAGGCATTGTCATTTTAGAAAATTTAGAAAGATAAGACATCACACAGCGATAACCACTCTTAACATGTTGGGTATCTATTTTCGGTTTGTTTTAAAACATAGGTTTCATTTGGCTGTAATATACTCATTATACAAGCTATTATGCTTTTTCATTTAATAATTTTGACATCTTCTGTGCTATTATACACTCTTCAGAGACATAGTACTTAAGGGCTACGTCTTCTTCTATTACCTGCTGATGACTGGCCATTTGGATTGTTTCCATGTTTTTGTTATTATAAATAATTTGTCATTCATTTGAAGTAACAACTATAAAAACACCTTCATATACATTGCAGATAAATGCTACATAAAATCATATATTATTTTTACAATGGTAATAAAAGTGGGATAATTGGTATAAATGACGTTTAAAATGATTGAAAAAAAATCTAAAAGAGATAGTTTTTTTTTCAAAAAATGCTTTACCCAAACTTGTCACTGCATAGATGAGGGAGCTGTGCTTTCTTTGGTTATACCAGAGACAGCCCAAAGAGGCATTAAAGGAAAGTTTTATGCATTTTAGGCTCCTGGTGAGGCTCAGCCACCATAGATGAGAAACTTGATTGCAGAGGTGGGACTGAGTCACCCACAAAAGTCACTGTACAAAACTGGCTTGTTTTAATCCATCTTACTGCAAGACAGGCTTTCCTACTCTTCCACACAAATGTGGAGAAAGATTTTATTTTTAGTTGAGCACTGCATTAAATGAAAATTAATTCTTTCAAACAGTGTGTATTATATATTCTAACATATATATTATATGTTATATTGTATATATTCTAACATATATTATATAAAGCATAGCAATAAATCAACACCAAACCAACTTAACTAGAATATTCCAATATGTTACATCTTCTCTATCCTGTTGCATGCCTGCTCCAAAGGTAATTATCCTAGGTTTTGTGTTGTATATTCTACTGCCTTTTAAATAATAGTTTTGGCCGGGTGTGGTGGCTCATGTCTGTATTCCCAGCACTTTGGGAGAACCAGGCGGGCGGATCACCTGAAGTCAGGAGTTCAGGACTAGCCTGGCCAACATGGTGAAACTCTGTCTCTACAAAAATACGAAAATTAGCCAGGCATGATGGCAGGTGCTTGTAATCCCAGCTACTCAGAAGGCTGAGGTGAGAGAATCGCTTAAACCCGGGAGGCAGAGGTTGCAATGAGCCAAGATCATGCCACTGCACTCTAGCCTGGGTGACAGAGCAAGACTATTTCTCAAAAAAAAAAAAAAAAAAAAAAAAACAGTAATAGTTTTATCACAGTCACATATTTCTAAACAATGTATAATTTAGTTATGTTTTGTTTTTGATCTTTTAAACAAAGGTACAATATTATATGTGGTTTTATGCCACTTGTTTCTTTCAATGAAATGTTTATTATTCATCTGTATGGTTTTGTGAAACTAATAAAATGAATAAACTTTGTGTGTGTCTGTGTACCAAATTTATTTTTCCATTCTCCTGTGAATGGTTGCTATGAACATTTTTGCTCCTATCTCTTGGAAAGCAGATACATGAGGTGTGTATCACAGAAGTGTAATTACTAGGCCAGTAATATATGTGTTATTTGGCTTTAAAATATAATGCCATACTGTGAAATGCTGGTTTGTAAACCTGAATTGTGTCTTTGTTAGAATGGGCTTTGTTTAGCATTAACAGTAACAATCCAGGCCCTTAAATTATGGTCCTTAGTCTGGTTAGGATCTCTTCACCTTTGATGGTCGGAAAAGCAGGTACTCTTCTTGAAGGTAAGAGAGCAAGAATAAAGCTGGGAAAATTCTTTCAGGCCTAGCTATTATGTAGCACTTGGATTAAGTGCTAGGCATGACTAATCAATCAGGCACACCTTCCTCCTGAACTCCAACTTGGCCTCAGAATCCCTTCCAGCAGGTCCTCCAGGGGGCTACTACCAATCAATGAGAACTAGCATTTAAAAATGAAGTCTATTTGCCATCCTCTTAGGTGTTGTGGTTGGGGGCTGGAAGGGAGTGAAGTACCGTTACCAAGGGGTTGCCTTTTTTGGACACAGTATTTTATGGTAGTTGAGATACCGGGGGTGATGCACGAGTGGGTAAAAGTTGCTCTCTGCCCCTTTAACTCTCCACTCTGAGAGTTTCCAGTTCTCAGGGGGAAAGTGAGTGGGAGCTCTGTGGTACCTTAGCCCAAGTGATCCTCCTAGCTTCTACATAGCATGGGGTCAAACTGGGAATTCGCAATGCTGGGTTTTGTTGTTGTTGTTAAGGAAGAAAATAATAATTCTCTGCAATCTTAACATTTGGAAAAAAAAAAAAAACCCCAGCTATTAACATTCTGGTGTATATCCTCCTTGTTTTCTGATGCAAATACAATGCATATAAAATGTTTTCTTGATTCTGATGAGTTATAGGTGGGGTGGGGGTCCTGGAAGAAATACTACATTATTATTGTTATTATTTTTATTTTTTGAGATGAAATCTTGCTCTGTCAGCCAGGCTGGAGTGTAGTGGTGAGATCTCGGCTCACTGCAACCTCTGCCACCTGGGCTCAAGTGATTCTCCTGCCTCAGCCTCCCGAGTAGCTGGGACTACAGGTGCATGCCACCACACCCAGCTAATTTTTGTATTTTTAGTAGAGACAGGGTTTCACCCTGTTGCCCAGGCTGGTCTCGAACTCCCGGCCTCAAGTGATCTGCCGGCCTTGGCCTCCCAAAGTGCTAGGATTACAGGCGTGAGCCACTGCGCCTGGCAGAAACACTACATTAAATATATGCTTTGATTGTAAGACACAAAATGTCCCTAAATTCTGGATATTAAAATATGGGAAAAGAAGTTTATTTCAGAATGGAGGGAAAATGGGACATACATAATATGCTATATTTATCAATTCCAGAATACATATTTTAACTTCTCTGAAATCATAATGTATCCTAAAATCTATGGCTGATTATGGTTTAATTGGCAGATTTTTTTTGATTTCTTAGTAGTGAATAAAAATGGTGCATTTAATAATTTCAGGTTCAATGTAATTAAGTTGTATACACTTTTTCTCTCAAAAAAGTTGGATTATTTTGTAACCTGTTTTATTTACTTCATAATATGTTGTGAACAACTTTCAAACCATTAATATCCTTCTACACCATTTTAATGGCTGCATAGTATTCTTTTTGTTGACTTGTATATTAATTTAATTAGATGCCATATATTAGTTTTTATTTTCATTTTAGATTTTGGGGGTACATGTGCAGGTTTGCTACATGGGCATATTGTGTGATGCTGAGGTTTGGGCTTCTAATAATCTGCTTGCCCAGGTAGTGAACATGGTACCCTATAGGTAGCTTTTCAATTCTTCACCCTCTCCCTCCCTCTCCCCTTTTGGAATCTCCAGTGTTTATTGTTCACATTTTTGTGTCTATACATACCCAATGTTTATCTCCCACTTCAAAATGAAAACATGTTATTTGGTTTTCTGTTTCTGCATTAATTTGCTTAGGAGAATGGCCTCCAGTTGCACCCATATTGCTGCAAAGGACGTGATTTTGTTCTTTTTTAACAGCTGTGTAGTATTACAGGGTATATATGCACCAGGTTTTCTTTATACAATCCACCATTGATGGGCACCTGGGTTGTTTCCATGTCCTTGCTACTGTGGATAGTGCTGTGATAAACATATGAGTGCAGGTGTGTTTTTGGTAGAATAATTTATTTTCCTTCAGGTAGATATTCAGTAATGGGATTTCTGGGTCGAATGGTAATTCTAGTTTTAGTTTTTTGAGAACTCTCCAGGCTGCTTTCTACAAGGGCTGAACTAATTTGTAGATGCTATGTTTTGGAGATCAAGGGTGTGCTCTTCTTTTTCCTAGTAGATCTTCCCATATATCTCTGATTATGTATTAAAGACAAATTCCTACAAGTATAAATTTTGAATTCAAAATACGTTTTTAAGGCTTTTGATATAGATTTCCAAATTACCTCATCAAAGGAGATCATACATTTTTCTACTAGCAGCACAGGGGTTGTCTCCTCATCCCAATACTGGCCAACACAGAAAACTATTTCACTTTTTCATGTTTGTCAACTTAATCTGTTAAAACTTTTTTTAGTATTGTTTTAACTTGAATTTTTTATTATTAGAGAAGTGAAAGTTTTTTAACATTTGTTCTTTTATGAATTGTTGTTTTCTTTTGATGCCCTCAATTTTTAAGTATATGCATAACTCATTTGTTTATTACTCCTTTATGTCTAGTTCTCCCCTCTATTACCTAGCTCGATGCACATAACAGATGCTCAATAAATACTTGTGGAAAGAATCAGGGAGGGAAGGAAAGAGAGAGAAAGAGAGAGGGAAAGAAGATGGGGTTTCACTATGTTGCCAAGGCTGGTCTCAAACTACTGACCTCAAGAGATTTGCCTGCCTCAGCCTCCAAAAGTGCTGGGATTACAGGCGTGAGCCCCTAGGCACCTGGCCTTTAGTTCCCTTTGCTGCTGTCACAAACTACTGTAACTTCAATGGCTGAAAACAACACAAGTTTATTATCTTATAGTTCTGGAGGTTAGAAGTCTAAAACAGGCTGACACTTCTGTTTCTTTGCTATCTCCATCTACTTGAGGCTGCCCACATTCCTTGGCTCATGGCCCCCTTCCTGAATCTTTAAAGCCAGCAGTGTAACATCTTGTTCCCTGCTGACCTCCTGCCTCCTCTTATAAGGACTTGCAATTACATTAGGCCCACCTAGGAAATTTGGGATACTGTCCTTGTCTCAAGGTCTTTAACTTAATCACTCATGCAAAGTTCCTCTGCCATGTAATGTAATCTATTTATAAGTTCTGGGGATTAAGACATTGACAATTTTTGGGGGGCTATTATTCAGTCTACCCCAACGAAAAAGAATTTTCTAGATTGATCCAATTCATCACAAAATATGTTAAGAAGGAGCAAGGACAGTTAGTGGATTTTTTTTTAAAAGTTCTTTAAATAAAAACTTGAGCAGTCTCTAAATTATTCTGGTTACAAAGTTGAAAGTGACCCGGAGATTATGTATATATAGTGTGTATATAGGGAAAAAGATAGTGGGGAACATGAGAAAAAGTTGAGTATTTGTAAATAAATTACTGTCAACCAGGCTTTTTTTGAAAATGGAACCAGTTATGAGCTTTCTTAGGTGCGGCAGAGCAGGTGGGGTTAGTCAGTGTAATTCTGTGTGAGCATGTGGGAATGGCAGGATCAGCCCTGGCAGACACACAAACACACATGTGGCCTTTAATCTGATAACAGCTGGTGGTTGGTTATTGGGGGATAAATGATGCTATAAATGGAAATAATTTAATAAAAGGATTAGAGAAATTCCGGAACAATTAGTTCAGAAAATGAGTAAGTGCTAAACTATTCAAGTGACAGCCTTAAATGTTTGCATTGGATGTTGAGAATAACCACAGTCGACTTAGAATTCTGCTTTTCATTTGGCACTTTTAGCTGCAGAGGCAAGACATGTCGACATGTTACACAACCTGTTGTGAGCTGTATTGCTAAATATTGCTCAATAATTCTTAAATCCAGAAGTCTGAGAATGATTGCCTTTTAAAGATGGATTAGATCAAATGGCAGGTTGTCCCCATAATGATGCTATCTTTACCCACTCGCATCCCAGGATGTGTTCTGAACATGAATTGAGGGGGGTGCTTCAGCTAGGCCATGGAAATGTATACAGGTCTTAGTAGGGTGTGTGAGCTGTGGCAGAGAAAATCTTGAGAATTGATGTTTTAATAAAAAAAGGGATGTTAAAAATAAATTGACAATCTCCAGGCTTGATCCAAGGAAACAGTACCTTTTAATTCTTTTTTTTTTTTTTTTTTTTTGAGATAGGGTCTCACTCTGTTGGTCAAGCTGGAGTGTCATGGCACAATCATGGCTCATTGCAGCCTCTACCTGCTGGGCCCAAGCCATCCTCCCACCTCAGTCTCTGGAGTAGCTGGGACTACAGGTGCCTGCCACCATGGCTGGCTACTTTTTATTTTTGTTTTTTGTAGAGGCAGTGGTCTCACTATTTTGCCCAAGCTGGTCTCAAACTCCTGGGCTCAAGTGATCCTCCTGCCTCAGCCTCCCAAAGTTCTGGGATTACAGGTGTAAGCCACTACCCCAGCCCCCACTGACTTCTTATGTCAAGGTATTTAATAGTCAGTGCAAACATGAATCTCATGATCTCATCCAACGGCTAACTCTGTCTCCTATATGTACACCCCCACACCGACACATTTGCCTATCAGTGCCTCTTTCTGGAAGACCTCAACCTTCTCTGAGTACAAACTCAGCCTATCTCTCGAGGTCAGAACAATGCCTCCTCATCTCGTAGGTGATGCCTTTCTAGATTGCCTCTCCTACCTCAGTTGAAGTAGTCTCTCTTCCTCGAAACTTACAGCAAGTTACCATGCTTGTGGAATGTGGGTCCTGCCTTGTTTATATGTGTTTATGTCCCATCCCAGCCTGGGGACTGCTTGAAGGCAAAGTCGGTATTTCCTTTATCTTTTTTGTTTTTGAGACAGAGTCTCGCTCTGTCGCCCAGGCTGGAGTGCAGTGGCGTGATTTCGGCTCACCGCAAGCTCCGCCTCCTGGGTTCACGCGATTCTCCTGCCTCAGCTTCCCGAGTAGCTGGGACTACAGGCGCCCGCCACCACGCCCAGCTAATTGTTTTTTGTTTGTTTGTTTTTAGTAGAGACGGGGTTTCGCCGTGTTGGCCAGGATGTTCTCGATCTTCTGACTTTGTGATCCGCCTGCCTCGGCCTCCCAAAGTGCTGGGATTACAGACGTGAGCCACCGCGCCCCGCCTTCCTTTATCTTTTAAGGCCCTCTATTACCTAGCTCAATGCACATAACAGATTCTCAATAAATACTTGCAGAATGAAGCAGGGAGGGAAGGAAAGACAGAGGGAAAGAAGAAAAGAAGAAGGAATGAGAAAAAGAATTTAAAATATTGTGAAGTTATCTGGGTACTTGAGGGATGGGATGTTCTTTAAGACACCTACCCCAGGCTGGGCACAGCAGGCTTACGCCTGTAATCCCAGCATTTTGGGAAGCTGAGGCAGGCGGATCGCTTGAGCTCAAGAGTTTGAGACCAGCCTGGGCAACATAATGAAATTCCATCTCTACAAAAAAATAAAAATAAAAACAAGCCAAGCGTGGTGGCATGTGCCTGTAGTCCCAGCTACTTGGGAGGCTAAGGTGGGAGGGTCGCTTAGGCCCAGGAGTTTGAGGCTGCAATAAGCAGTGATTATGCCATTGCATTCCAGCCTGGAGGACAGAGAAAGACCCTGTCTCAAAAAAAAAAAAAAAAAGACACTTCCCTCTAATTTTTGAGGAGAGACCTTCTGGCAGGCTGGGAGTTTGTAAGCATCCCTGAAAGACAGAACGGTTGAACTGTTGGTCCTGTCCTCTCTGGCTGAGTTTTTGGAGGGCTTGCCCACCATGCAGGCACCTTGTCTTTGCATTTATCTGTCCGTGAGCAACTATTTCCATACAAGGAGCTGAGCAGCAGCTGCCCTTCCAGCCCTCTTCACTCTGACAGATCACAGAGTCCAGCAGGGCTGCAGAGCAGAGTGAGAGGGGACCAGCTGCTGGAGCAGGGCACATTCAAGGCTGCAGGCCAAGCAGGTGGGCCTTGTAGCTGCATCCGCCCGCCTTCTGTGCTGGGAGCAGCGTCCGGCGTCAGGGACCCTTAAGAGAATAATATCCCTGTGAGGATAATGATCTCGGCCAGTCTAAAGGGTTGCTGTGAAGATTTTTAAAAAAACGAATCACTAAAAACATCTCTTTGAAATGGCAAAGTGCTGTGTAAGTGGGAGTTGATACCTTCTTGTGTGAATAGGAATGTAAGACTCGGGAGAAACGAGACTTGCTGAAGGTCACCCAGCTAAGACTGCCTGGGACAAATGCTCTTTCTCGGAATCCAAAAAGTGGCTTTAGGACTTCATGTTATTTGGACACTCTCCTGCACTAGGGGCAGTAAGGCAGGGGAGGGGTGGGCATTTCTTTTTTTTTTTTTTTTTTTGAGACGGAGTCTCACATTGTCACCCAGGCTAGAGTGCCGTGGCGTGATCTCGGCTCACTGCAAGCTCCGCCTCCCAGGTTCAAGCGATTCTCCTGCCTCAGCCTCCCTAGTAACTGGGATTACAGGTGCCCGCCACCACGCCTGGCTAATTTTTTGTATTTTTAGTAGAGACGGGGTTTCACTATGTTGGCCAGGCTGGTCTCAAACACCTGACCTCAGGTGACCCACCCGCCTCGGCCTCCCAAAGTGCTGGGATTACAGGCATGAGGCACCATGCCCGACCAGGATGGGCATTTCTGTCAGGGGAGTGCCCTTGTCCCCATACGATGTTCTCCTGTAGCTGGGCTGTCTTCCTCTCTGGCAGCTGCCTGGAATGAGCTGGTGCTGGGGGTGAGAGGAGCTCAGCGATCAACCTGGCCCAGCCCTCTCTGAGTGACAGGCAGGATGGGTGGCCCGGGCTGATGTCCACTGAGTACTTATCCAGTGCCAGGCTCTGTGCTGACCATCTTACACATGTTATTTCTTTTAACTCTAAAATCACTATGAGAGTGGTGAGATTTCAGAACTTCTTGTAATTTTCATCTTGCTTGAATTTTTTAAAATAGTAAGTATATTTCATTCAAAAGTACTGGTCAGTAGTCTAAAAGATAGCAAGATCTAGGTGTTGCTATTCCCATTTTCACATAAGGAAACAAAAGCTTGGAGAAGTTAGGGGACTTGCTCCAGGTCACACAGCCAGTAGATATTGGAGTCAGGAGTAGAACCCAGCTCTGACCAACTCTAGGTTTGACCTTCCATAATACCCAACCCCATGCCGATGAGGGGAGATGGGAACCAGAGGGACAGGCTTAAAAAAAATTTCAGACTACATTTGAAGGAAAACAAAAAAATTCTTGCTACTCAAAGTTGAAGCATCAGTATTGCCTGGGAGCTTGTTAGAAATGCAGAATCCCAGCCCCCACCCCACATACTAAATCAGAACCTGAGTTTTAACAAGATTGCTGGTGTTGTGTGTGCACACTGAAGTTCCAAAAGCCTGACTCTGCATCCTCCTTCTCCCCAGCTCCAGCCTTGCAGCTAAGCCCTACCAGCAGCCGAGGGCATAGAGAGAAGCTCAGCTTCATCCCAAAGGAAACCTAAATTTAAGAACGATAACTTAATGCTTCCTGGGTTTCACCAGCTTTTAAAACTTGGCTCTAGGCCCTAGCAAAATTACAGAATGGGATATAAAACAGATCTGTGATCCTGGAGGAACTATTTGGTGGTTCATATTTGGAACCCATCCAAGTTCACCATGGGAAAAGAAATCATTGATCACATTTTCTTTTTATGAAAAGTATTCGAAGTTTATTACAGCAAAGAATCTCATGAGATAACAGGAATTGATCCAAGGCTTGATAAAATGATTATATAAGTGTAATGTTCTCCCTGTCACCCAATCTTGGGTGAAGGCTGCTTTGCAGCAGCTGAAGGCTCTGTCTCCAGCCTTCTCCTGGTCACAGTGGTTATTAGTGACTTTGAGAACATGAGGGTCATGCCACTGGAATTTATTCTTAGGGACATAATATGGCTACAGTTAATAGCAGATAGATTATTCTATAATCAGGCCCTATTAGAAGTGTATTAAGTTAGTTAATGGGAGCTTGGAGGCAAATGCCAGGCCAGACATATTCTTTCTGTTGGAGCCAGGCTAGGAAAACTTGCCGTAATAAACCCCACAAGCAGCGTGGACTAAGTAAGGACAGGGTTATGCAAGGGGTCCATCCCTGATGTCTGCAATAAGGTCACTGAGTAAGGGGTCTTTGCACAGAATTTAAAAACAATAATCCCAGCACTTTGGGAGGCCAAGGTGGGCAGATCACGAGGTCAGGAGTTCCAGACTAGCCTGACCAACATGGTGAAAACCCGTCTGTACTAAAAAATACAAAAATTAGCCAGGTGTGGTGGCGGGTGCCTGTAATCCCAGCTACTCGGGAGGCTGAGGCAGGAGAATCGCTTGAACCCAGGAGGCGGAGGTTGCAGTGAGCCGAGATCATGTCATTGCACTCCAGCCTGGGCTACAGAGTGTGACTCCATCTCAAAAGAAAAAACAAAAAACAATAAAAGTCAATCTGTTTTTTGTTACCACCATGTACCAGCAATTCTAAACAACGTCAAGGATAAAATACTTCTCCTCACCCCAAAATCCATAAGGGTCTAAGTTCTGAAAAACTGCTCTTGGGTAAACCTCATTTTAGCACATTTTAAAATTACATATCTTTTAATAAACATTGTATTCTGCCTGGAAGTTAATTCTGAGGACCTTTGGTTATACAGTCAGCCATGTGGACTCAACTACATGTGTTCATTGTGAGGGTAAATTCTTAAGCTTCAGAGTTGTTCCAGGTTGTGTTGGCCACAGTCTATGTCTCCAATCCTTGTGATACCACATATTCCCACATTTTTAAGTAGATTAGAAATAAGCAGTGATTATAAAGATGAAGACTCAAAATTTGTTGTTCTAAGTGTTCACCTAGGTGATTACCTAGGTGATCACCTGGAATTTTCATTTGTGTTTGAAATTTAAAACAATAAAACAGAGAATTGTGAAGTGTAATGTTTTTGTTTGGTAGGCACACATATTAGTGTATACATGAAATATGAATGTGTGAATATATGTATATGAATAAAAAGATGGAGGATATTGTACTAGGCTATTCTAAAATGTCAATTTGGGTGTAAAATATGAGAGCAGTTCTGGTGTGGGGTTGCTCTCTGATGGGCGACCTTGGAACAGACAGGCATGGAGTTACAAGTGGCAGGTTACAAGGGACAGACAGCATGATTGTGCTTGCGTCTAACTGTTCCCTCTCCAGACCACCTCCTGGCTCTCCTCCCTTTCTCTCCTGCCTTGGGTTTGTATTCCTGGTCTGAGCCCTGATGCCCCAGAGGTGGACATCTGCTCTTCCTTCCTCGTTCCTAACCTAAGACATACTCTGAAATTTGCAGATGACTCAGAGGTTAGCATACCAATATAAAAGATGACAGAAGAAAATTCAAAATGACCTTGATGTTTTGGAATGCTACCTTGAAAACCATCAGTTAGGGATAAAGGTGAAGACTCCAAGTTAAAAAATTCAGTGTCACAAAGGAGCTTTTGAGCTGATGGATATATTCATTATTTAATTTTTTTTTTTTTTGAGATGGAGTCTCACTGTGTTGCCCAGGCTGGAGTGCAGTGGTACAATCTTGGCTCATTGCAACCTCTGCCTCCCTGGTTCAAGCGATTCTCCTGCCTCAGCCTCCGGAGTAGCTGGGACTACAGGTGCCCGTCACCACGCCCAACTAATTTTTGTATTTTTAGTAGGGACGGGGTTTTGCCATGTTGGCCAGGCTAGTCTTGAACTCCTGACCTCAGATGATCCACCTGCCTTGGCCTCCCAAAGTGCTGGGATTACAGGTGTGAGCCACCGCGCCTGGCCTGGATATGTTCATTATCTTGATTGTGATGATGGTTCTGTGGGTAGATGCATATGTCAGAACCTATCAAAGTGTTATTTTTTAACACTTGTTGTATGTCAATCATACCTCCATAAAGATGTCTAGAAAATGCAATTCTGTCTAGACAAACAGAGTGGAAACTCTGTCTTGACTGCAGCACCTTTGAGAAAGCTTGGGAGGTTCTACTGACTATATTTGTAATTTGACCCTAATTTTTTCTTTTTTTTTTTTTTGAGACAGAGTCTTGATCTGTCACCCAGGCTGGATTGCTGTGGCACGATCTTGGCTCACTGCAACCTCTGTCCCTGGGTTCAAGCGATTCTCCTGCTTCAGACTCCCGAGTAGCTGGGATTACAGGCATGTCCCACCATGCCCAACTAATTTCTGTATTTTTAGTAGAGACAGGGTTTTACCATGTTGGCCAGGCTGTTCTCAAACTTCTGACCTCAGGTGATCTGCGCACCTCGGCTTCCCACAGTGCTGGGATTACAGGTGTGAGCCACTGCACCCGGCCATTTGACCCTAAATTAATGTGAGGTTTTCACTAAAGAAACTAATGGAAGCATAATGTGGAGATCCGGCAAGTGTACATGGCACCACATCTGAATAGCACACTCTGTTCTGGGCACCATAATTGTGAAGTGTTGACACCCAAGCTCTTACCTGTGTTTGGCCAGGAGACAAGATTTGGAGCCGTCTTGGAATCCAATTTACTTGGATTTTTCAGGAGTCCAGTTCCTGCTAATGGACTGCAAATTCCTGCCAGAAAATGCAATCCTGACTTGAGGCAGATGTAAGAAATTCATAGCTCTCTATCTCCAGGGGTTTAGAGAGTTCACTAAGTGGCCGGAGTTCCATGTGGGCCCCATGTGCTCTATTCTGCTGGGGCACTTATGACAAATGACCTTCTCAGGGAGGGTGCACCCTCTGTGGCCTAGTTATGATGGGCTGCATATCCTGCGCAGTTCTAAGTATGCTAGTGTAATTCTACTCCTTGCTCACTAGGAAAGTTTAAGGGAAGGCAAGAGTAAGGAAGCTGTTACTATGAGGATAACCTTGAATCTGCTTATTAGAAATAAGCACTAAACTTTCACGCCCTCAAGTACTTTATGATTGTTAACAAATTAGTAGCAATACACCTCCTAGTGGATGGGGACACAGCAGTGTGTTGAGCTGGCCAGCCAGAGGCTGAAAACTGCCTGGACTTTAGGAAGCCCAGGATGTAGCATAGAGCAGTAGCCCCTGCGGTGCCCTCAGCTGGCTCTGCACCTGTCTATCCCCTTCCAGATGCCATGCTGGGATCAGTGCTAGGGATCAGGCTCAAGGGTCAGGCCTGGCCTTTGGGCTGGTCCTTGAGCCTGACCCCCTGGCACTGGCCAGCACATTTTGCTTGATTTCTCAGCTAAACCCAACCTCCTTCGGCTACAGGGATTTCTGTAGGTGTATCAGAGGCCACCAGAAAGGTGTGAGAATTCTAGAAACCATGTACAAAGAATTGTTTAAAGATCTGGGAGTATTTAACTTGGAGGAGAGAAATGAATGGGAAGCAAGGCAGTGGTCTTCAAATTCTTGAAGAACTGACCTGACCAGGCTTGTTCCATTGGGCAAGGACACAGAAGGCCAAATTAGGGTACAGGAGCAGGTTTTCTGGGGAGACAAATTCAAGCTTAACACAAGGAGGAAGTTTGCAACAATTAGGACTGGCCAACAATGAACTGACTGTTCTCAGAAACAATGAACTCCTTTTCACTGTGGGAATTAGAATATTCATGGCCAGGGATAGACACAAAGGATTTCTGTGCCTGAATGTTCTGTGGAAGCTTCTCCCTCCAGGCTCTGGAATTCTGTGATTCTAAAAGCTCCTGTGTTCTTATACTTTGGAGATCCCTGTTTAGACTGTGGACATCTGCTTGAGTTTACCCATCCACTTCCTTCCCAGGAGCTCAGCGCTCCCCTGCACATCACGGAAATGGTTTTCATTATTTCTTTGCTTCAGAGGTGAGGATTTCTCTTCCCCACATTGTGGGAGCATGAGGTTGAGGTCCAGAGATTCTGTACATCATACCAGATTTCTCTCACTCTGGATGTCAGGCTGTGTCCTGAAATACATTTCCTATGGAGCCTATGCCCTTTTCTGTTTGAACGATGGGTTTAACATGGGATACACGGGGCTCTCTAATGGGAACACTAAGAGGCTGGAAGCACCGGGCGGGGATCCTCATCTTCCCACACCTCTCTCCCTCACCCATCGAATGGGCATGCATTTTCCTCCTCATCACTTCCACCCTCGCTCTGAGCTGGGAGAATATGTCAATGACAGTGAAATCAGTAATCTTGTCATTCTTACTGTTGCAAAATGCACAAACTGTGACATATATCATAGTGTGTAGATATTATTTTGCATACAATACTGTGTTCTGAATAACACTAGTTCACCACACTGCAAGTTCAATTGTTTCTCTAGTAATTTGTGGTATTCCCAGTGCCTAATACATTTAGGTCATCAATTTACCCTTCCTGAATTGAATTGAAGGGCTTATATGCAGAGGGTAAGAGTGTCCTTCACATGGGGGTCACTTAAAAATATTTGGTAGGCCAGGCGCGGTGGCTCATGCCTGTAATCCCAGCACTTTGGGAGGCTGAGGCGGGTGGATCACTTGTCAGGAGTTCGAGACCAGCCTGACCAACATGGTGAAACCCTGTCTGTACTAAAAATACAAAAATTAGCTGGGTGTGGTGGCACATGCCTGTAATCCCAACTACTCAGGAGGCTGAGGCAGAAGAATCGCTTGAACCTGGGAGGCGGAGGTTGCAGTGAGCCGAGGTTGCAGTGAGCTGAGATCGTGCCATTGCACTTTAGCATGGGCAACAAGAGTGAAACTCTGTCTCAAAAAAAAAAAATTGCTAAAGTAATTGTTATAGCTGGGAAGGGCCTTTGGAGGCTCAAACTCCTCATTTTGGAAGGTGGAAATCTGAAGTTTAGATAAATAAGGACCAGCCAGCTGAACCAGTACTGGAACACAGGTGTCCCACTGGCTGCAGGGTGCCCTTTCCACTGTGCTCCCAATCATGTGTCTTCTTTCTCCATTTCCAGCCTTGTTAATTTTGTGTGCCACACCTGCTTCAAGAGGCAGGAGAAGCTCCATCGCTGTGGGCAGTGCAAGTTTGCCCATTACTGCGACCGCACCTGCCAGAAGGATGCTTGGCTGAACCACAAGAATGAATGTTCGGCCATCAAGAGATATGGGAAGGTGCCCAATGAGAACATCAGGTGAGAGCTGGGCACCCTGGTGGTGCTTCAGATTTCCAAATGTCAGGCTGGAATGGTGGCAGTAACAACATTCCCAGATCTAAGGAAGCCAAGCTGAGTGCAAGTCAGGAAACAGCCTCAAAGACTGGATATGGTCACTTCTCTTCACTCCCTTAAGGTCTAAGAGGGAGAACTGGCTGTTGACAGCAGTGATTCCAAACTGCAGTCACAGGCTGAAACTGGCTTGCAGATTCCTTCTGTAGGGCTCCCCAATGTTTAGTTTATTTAGGTATTTTGGATACAGGGTCTGCTCTGTTGCCCAGGTTGGAGTGGAGGGGCCCTGATCACAGCTCACTGCAGCCTTGACCTCCCAGGCTCAAGTGATCCTCCCACTTCAGCCTCTCAACTAGCTGAGACCACAGGCACACACCTCCACATCTGGCTAATTTTTGTATTTTTTTAGAGATGGGGTTTTATCATGTTGCCCAGGGTAGCCTCGAACTCCTGAGCTCAAGCGATCCACCCGTCTCGGCCTCCCAAAGTGCTGGGATTACAACTGTGAGCCACCATGCCCGGACAAGGGGCAAGTATTTTTAAATTGATCCACCAATGTTTAAAAATTGGGAAATTTCACATTTTAAAATTAGGATTTCTGACTTCTCTTGAAAAAAAAAATAAACAAAAAACTGAAAATCTGGCAAAATAGGCTAGAGCTGAGTAGTATCTGCCACCTTTGAAAAAATACAGAGCGTTCTAAGTCACAGCAGCACCACTGCTCCCTGTGGTCATACACATTACACCAGAGAGTGCATTTGAGTTTGCAACTAATGGCCTTTCCTGGTGGCCATCATCAGAATCTCAAGGCCTATAGCTCCAGCCCAAGAGATTCCCAATCCTGGAGGTTCCGCTGGGGTGGGGCTCAGTGCTGGGCTGCAGGGAGATGCTCAGGAAGCCAGCACTGCAGAGCAAAGGAGATGGAGATGGTGACTGGGAGCATTTTCACTGTGTGCATAGTGTGTGAAGTTAAGGCACAGAATGGAATTGTCATATCCTGATGATTTTTAGGAACCTGCAGGATGAAATGGCTCAGTCAACCTCTCCATGCCCCTTAGCTCCATCTATTGAAACACTACATATCCTTCAAGACCTGAAGTAAATGGCACCTCCTATGATAGTGACTGAGTTGAAATCTACCACCCATTGACCTCTATTCTCTGAGCTTCATGACCCTTTCCTCGGTATTTGGAGGCAGCAGATCTTCCCTGTGCTGAGTCGTATTTTCCCCAGTGCTGCCCTGGGCTCCCTGTGAAGACACCTCAGTTTCCAGGCACCTGGAGTCCCATGCGGGGCATTTCTCCAGAAATAACTCAGTGACTCAAACAGGAGAAATCGGGAAGATGAAAAACGTTCTGGAAACAGATGGTTGGTGATGGTTGCACAGCAGTGTGAGTGTGCTTAATGCCACCAAACTGTATGCTTAAAAATGGTTAAAATGGTTCAAAAAGAGGTGGGGGGACAGAAGGGACCCTGAGGTGATGGCACTGTTTAGTGTCTTGACTGTGTAGGTGGATACATGAAGCTACATAGGTGATAGCATTGTATATAATTAAACACACATACACATTCATGAGTGTAAGTAAAACGGAAGAAATCTGAATGATACAGGTGGGTTAATATTCTGGCTGTGATATTAGTTCTCTAAAATGTTACCATTGGAGAAAACTGGGCAAAATGTACAAGGGATCTCTTTGTATTGTTTTCCAACTGCCTGTGAATCTGCAATTATCTCAATTAAAATTTCAATTAAAAAAAATGAGGAGAGGGCCTGTGCTTTGCCCAGCAGATCTCTCCTCAGGGACAGGATCTGTCCTGGACCACCATCCCCTCCCAGATGCCTGAAAAGTGTGCAGTCAGTGGGTGGCAGGAACATTAAAGTGTCCCTGGGTCATAAGCTTCATCACAGGCCACCTAATAGTTAACAAAGAGGGCTTCGGGGTGAAGTATACCCCTTTGTCTCATACTCAAGTCCCTGTGTCTCTATAGGTCTCCTCCTGTCCCACCTGGCCTCCTCCTCTTCCCCCAGAGCCCCGCTCCGGCCAGGCCAGGCCCCTCCCTGCTTCCTGCACGTGGCATGCCCGTGGCTGCCTCGAGGCCTCCGCTCACACTGTTTCCCGGCCTAGATTGCCTTCTCCACTTTCTCACTCCCCAATCATTAAGAATACCAATACTTATGATTGCCAAAAATAAAGTGGAATAAAACAAATCATGTTATGTTTTCAATCAACTTTCTATTAGTACCGATTTCAGAAATGAAATTTATTTTAGGAGATTACCCCTATCCTTATCTCTACCCATCCCTATCTTTTTTTTTTTTTATTATACTTTAAGTTTTAGGGTACATGTGCACATTGTGCAGGTTAGTTACATATGTATACATGTGCCATGCTGGTGCGCTGCACCCACTAACTCGTCATCTAGCATTAGGTACATCTCCCAATGCTATCCCTCCCCCCTCCCCCCACCCCACCACAGTCCCCAAAATGCTTGCTTGTGGAGTTTTACTTTGCAAAAAAATAAAAATAAATAAAGAGTACACTGTATAGCTTCCAAAAAAAAAAAAAAAAAAAGAATACCAATACTTTCACACACAATGCAGACACCTATTACTTCACTTTGTCTTCTGAATACCTCTGGAGGTTAGCATAGCAGGGACTATTTTCCCTATTTTACAAGCCACCAGATAGATTCAGAGAGGTCAAGTGACTTGCCCAGGCTCACACAGTAAGAAGTGGAAACAGGTCATTAGACTCCTGATGCAGGGCTCATCCCAGTAGGCCACACTGTTGAGAGACCCAGGCTGCCGCACCTCTCTGTTTCCCCAGACCCCACGGAACCTGGCTCCTGCCCACACCTCCACCTTTATTTGGTCTCCATTTCTTGCTCCCTGTGCTCCAGCCACCTCTGCCTTCCTGCTACTTCTCCATCATGCCAAGCTCATTCCTTCTTCAGGGCCTTTGTACTCACTGCCCTCTCCTGAAGTGCTCTTTCTCCAGTATCACAGAGCCAGCTCCTCCACCCCTTCCAATTCCAGCTCAAATGTGCCTCCTCTGTGACACTTCCCTGGAAGACCTTAGCTTCCCCACCCCAGTCACTCTCTATCATGCCACCCTGTATTATTTTTTCTGCATAGCACTTTCTATGTAAAATGTGCTTGTTTACTTACCTCTCCCCCACTATATGAAGCATCATGATAGAATAAATTCCATCCATCTAGTTTAAAAACGTATCTTGGGCCCAACATTGTGCCTGGCATGCATGAGACACCCAGTAAATGTGTGTTGAAGGAATGAATGCAGCTGTAGTGGCCTCCTGACGCTGCCCTTCCCACAGGCTGGCGGCGCGCATCATGTGGCGGGTGGAGAGAGAAGGCACCGGGCTCACGGAGGGCTGCCTGGTGTCCGTGGACGACTTGCAGAACCACGTGGAGCACTTTGGGGAGGAGGAGCAGAAGGACCTGCGGGTGGACGTGGACACATTCTTGCAGTACTGGCCGCCGCAGAGCCAGCAGTTCAGCATGCAGTACATCTCGCACATCTTCGGAGTGGTAGGCCCCCTGCGTCCCTTCTCCATCCTCCCTGTCTGTCTCCTCTTTCCTTCCCTCCTCCCACTTGGGGAGGGTGGGGCTTCTCAGAAGTGAACTAAGAGGCAGAAGCCCTGTCTGCCCTGGACCCTGATTTCTATTTCCATAAAGGTCTCATCTAGCCCAGGCAGCCAGAGGCGCTGGAGAAACCGCCTTCTATTTACCGCATGTAGCAGAAACATCTACTGCCCCTTCCATTTCTGAGCCCAGGGACAGGCCTCCAAATGACCCAACTAATAAAATCCGGAGATTCTAGAGTATGATTCCTTATCAAGGAGGGGCCATGGTGACAGCTGGGATCGTCCAACTAAGAAGTTTCCAGAAACTGTCAGGCCAGAGTTGGGAGGGGAGGCCAAGAGGACTGAAGGAGGACAGGAGTTTGAAGTGAAGACCCCTCATCCTGGACTCTGTCTTCTGGCCTTGTTTACTGTGAGGCCATTCCTGCTGTATCTGAATTGGCATCCCACATACAAATTTTACTTATTTATCCATCTCTGGATGGTAGATTTGGATGGTAATTTATCCTCTTACTTATCTGCACTTTTTACATTTTTTTCCTCTCCACGTTGAAAATAAAGACCCCCAATCACTATCCCTTCCTGCCCACCAGTCACTTTGGAAACCTTTTTCCAGGTCTGCCAGGCAGGATTGATGTGAAGCCTGGAGCAGTGGGGGATGTGAGCCAGAGAGAGGGGAGTCAGGGTTTTGGGGTGGGAGCAACCAAGCCAGACGAGGCCATAAGAGTCCGGGAAGTGGGGGCGAGAACCCGGTGGATGAGGAGGCTCAGGTCCTGGCTGTGGGGATGGATGTGTTCCATCTGGTAGGCCAGGACCTTTATGTGGTGAAGGTGAGCAGGCTGAGGACGGAGGAGGACAAACATCACACTGACATCTCTCCAGTCTTCACCATATTGGGGGGCAAAGGGAGAGAGATTGATTGAGTCTAAGGATTTGGCTCACGCAATGGTGGAGGCTTGGTAAGTCCAAAATCTGCAAGGTAGGCCATCAGGCTGGAGATCAGGGAAGTGTTGCAGTTCAAGTCCGGAGGCATTCTGCTGGCAGAACTCCTTGCTCAGGGGAGATCAGTCTTTATTCTATTCAGGTCTTCAACTGATTAAATGAGGCCCACCCACATTCTAGCAGGCACTCTGCTTTACTCAAACTCCACCAATTTAAATGTGAATCTCATCCAAAAACACCTTCACAGAAGCATACATTATAGTATTTGACCAAATATCTGGGCACCATTGACCAGCCATGTGGGCACACAAAATTAACCACCACAGCTTCCCATGTATTATTTTACACAATCTTTACAACACAAGGTAAGGTCCATGCTTTCAGTATTTCTATTTTATAGAACAGAAAACCTAGGCCCAGAGGGGTTACATGACCTCCAAAAGCCACATGGTCAGCTTGTGCCCAGGGAAAGTCTAGAAGCAGTCTGTATTTTCAGGAGCCAGAGCTTCTACCTGTTTTTTTTTTTTTTTTTTTTTTTTGAGATGAGGGTCTTACTCTGTCACTCAGGCTGGAGTGCAGTGGTGCAATCATGGTTCATTGCAAACTCCATCTTCCAGGCTCAAGTGATCCTCCCGCCTCCCAAGTAGCTGGGACCACAGATGCATACCACTATGCCTGGTTAATTTTTGCTTTTTTTTTTTTATAGAAGCAGGGTTTCACCATATTGCCCAGGCTGATCTCAAACTCCTGAGCTCAAGTGATCTGCCCATCTCTGCCTTCCAAAGTGCTGGGATTACAGGCGTAAGCCACCACGCCTGGCCTAAGCTTTTACTTTTACCTGTTATGTTCTATAGCCTTGGGGTGAATTGGTGTGTTGAGTAATCTTCGGCATCCCTGATAGGTCTGGGGACTAGGGCTAGAGGTCATATAATTACCAAAGGTTAGAGCTGAAAAGATCCTTGGAGCTTATCTAGTCCAATTTATTCAACCTATAGATGGGAAAACCAGGGCTCAGAGAAGAAAGAAGTTTGCTCCAAGTAGTACAGCTTGTTAGTGGTACTCAGAGGCTTAACATCATGAACTTACTAAATGTCTGATGAGAATAAATGGAGAAAGTGACACTCCTCCATATCTATGACAAATATCCATGTGAGGGCATAAATGTCTACTGAGTTTCTGTTATGTACAGCATGTATTCATAGATGTATTTATAGATGAAGTGGAAATCTGCATGCAGTTACTAATGTATTCTACGTTATATTTATTCTTATGTATTTTTCCTACTGTGAGAGCAGATATTTGGTGTCTGTTTCTGTAAAGAAAAATTTATTTTTAAGGAAAAGAAAATCACTTGGATGCCACATCAGTAGTAACCAACTTGATTTGCCTTGAATCTCAGAGATAAGTGTTAAATATGGCACTCATCAGATTTAACAACTGTGAGCAGGGAATATAAAACTATGCACCAGATACAAAATAATCAAAAGAGATGTCAATTTTTTTTTATGAACAGCTACAGGAGTTTAAACTGAGTAGGCAGAGGAAACAGGGGAAGGAAAAGCTCACACACACACACACGCCCACGCGCACACAAAGCAGGGTACAGAGAGAAAAACCAAGACAGAGACTGAGGAATACTCATGTAAGACCCAGATACAGAAAAAGGAAAATATTTCCACCTTTGACTCTTTTAGAATAGAGCCACAAAAAACTTTCAAGGTAGGGCTGCATTTTTGCAGGTATGGGACTGTTCCATGGCCCTAATCTTGTGTGTCATCTGGAGTCACGCAGAGAACAGGAGACTAATTGTTCTGTGTCCAGACTCCCTAAGCATCTCCAGGGTGAGACTGGGTCTTCTGTTTTTTAAAACTCCTTTCAACAGCTAGGATGTTGTTCTGTCCATGTCTGTCGACTGACTCTTTCATCTTTTCCCCTGGGTAGATTAACTGCAACGGTTTTACTCTCAGTGATCAGAGAGGCCTGCAGGCCGTGGGCGTAGGCATCTTCCCCAACCTGGGCCTGGTGAACCATGACTGTTGGCCCAACTGTACTGTCATATTTAACAATGGCAAGTGAGTATGTCTTTATGTGGGGGTGTGTGTGAAGGGGATGGGGAGACCTATGGTGTTTTCTCCACTTGACTTAAGCCAAAGTCAACCTGCTAAACCTGAACTAGCATAAATTTTAAATGTATAGCACATAGAAATCTCATTCCAGAATAATTGTGAATGAGAGAAAGGCATCATGGAGGATATCAAAGAATTCAACCTGGGTCATTTCTGAATGTGTATGTTTCTTGGGGCTGCCTGGACAGGTTAGATAAACCTTTAACTACTATTTTAAAACTTGAAGCCTAGGATTATCTGTCTAGAGGTCATTTAGTCAAGGTCTCAGCAGGAATCAGGAGGCACACTCAAAAGGTTTTACCCAAATAGAATTGAATGAAGGGACAATTTACAGAAGTGTGGACAGGGTTTAAGATACTAACAAGGGGCAGGGACTGGTGGCTCATGCCTGTAATCCCAGCTCTTTGGGAGCCCGAGGAGGGGGCGGATCACTTGAGGTCAGGAGTTTGAGATCAGCGTGGACAACACAGTGATACCCCCGTATCTATAAAAAATAAATAAATACATAAATAAATACATTAGCCGGGCATGGTGGTGTGTGCCTGCAGTCCCAGCTACTCATGAGGATGAGGCAGGAGGATCACTTGACCTCAGGAGGTTGAGGCTGCAGTGAACTATAATCATGCCACTGCACTCCAGCTTGGGTGACAAAGTGAGACCTTGTCTCTAAAACCAAACCAAACCAAACCAAACAAAATAATATAACAACAAAAAGAAACTAACAGGAATGGTGAGGTGCCCAGGGACTAGCAACACATGAAACCATCACCACCTCTAGGCCTGGAAGGGCAGGTGAAGGAAGCACTGTTTCTGCAGCTAGTGAGAGCTGGACCCGGGATAGAGGGCCCCCAACAGCTCAGCTGTGGCTTATAACTGTGTCTAGAGAAACCAGCCAGCTGGCACCATGGCTCAGAAAAGAGGAAGCCAATGGACTAGATAGTCCAACCCCTCATTCCCCCAACCTTCTGCTCTCCTACCATTGGCCAAACCCCAACCAGAAGCCAGACCGCAAAGAAACCTGGGTGACGCAACCCTCAGAGGCCAGCCCCCTTTTCTGAGACAGCACAGATGAGGGGGGACATAAGGGCACATGATGGATTTGGGGGTGGGGTACAAATGGAGAAGAATCAGCAGATGGAATGAGCTCCTGGTGGTCCATGGCTCAGGATGGGGAAATGTAGGGGAATGAGGCCCGAGCAATATTAATTGCTTTTGCTCTTAGAGATGAGCTTTTATGACAGATACAAGCTGACTTTGAGCCATCAACAATGAGCAAGTTTCCCCCAAAAACTTCCTAGAAGCCAGACAATGGTGTCTGGTTCTCAGCTGAGAATCGGGCCTAAGCTTCAATATGCCAAGTACCCTGATTTCTCTTTTCCTTCCTATTTCTGAAACCAGGCTCTTAAGTAATTGAGAAAGTCACTCAAGATGGGAAAGTTTATTTTGGACTCAGATGATAATCTTTTCTCAGCATTTGTGTTTCCTTTCTGAAGCCTTTTGGGGTCACTGGCCTGGATCTCATGGAATCCTCCCTAGAGGGGCTGTTGACTGAGCTTGACCTGGTTGGCAGAGAGGATCAAATTCAGCCATGTATGGGCCTGGGCCTTCTAGATGGCCCTCTTCTAAGTGGTGGTGACCCAAGGCTCCTCTTGTCATTGGGTGTAACAACCACAGGAATCTAGGAACTCTTTCTTCTGTGTCTGCTCTGGCTTCCTTGCATCTACTAATTTCTAGCAGCCACATTTTATCCAGGCTTCTTGGCTTTTGTGCAAGAGAAGGTGACTTTGCATTTCCTGTCTAGCCACCTGCCATAGTGGAAAGAACCCTAGACATGGGGTTAGGGGCCCAATTTGAACCCCAACAATTTTTACATACTATCTCTGTGACCTAACCAGACTCCATGTGCACTTCAAACTCTTTCCAAGACAGACATCCAAAGAGGCAATGTTTATTCACCCAGGATGCTTAATAGAATGATAATAACAACATTGTGCATGTTTTTCCAGCACTCTGCTTTTAACTGTCTCATGACAGTCTCATTACAGGTGAGAACACTGAAACACAGGGAAGGGAAGGAACTTGTTCAGGTCAGGGCTGAGTACCTTTGAATCCAGAATGTCTTGTTCCAAATTCAGTGCACTTTCCCTATACTAGGCTGTGTCTTGTCCAGTGAGTCCAGCTAGAAGGGGCTAGGATAAAGGTTATTGTGATGGCCAAAGCTTTGATACTGTGACCCAGAATGCTGTACACCCTTGCACTGGATCACACCTGATCAGCCAATGATAATGATTTCCATATGGGTGTCTGTTTTGTCTTTCAGTCATGAGGCAGTGAAATCCATGTTTCATACCCAGATGAGGTGGGTCAGTCCTTTCAAGCATCCCTGCTCCTCTGACCCATCTCCCTCACTTACCTGGTTTGCTGGGGCCACCCATTCCCGAGACTTCTTGGCTGCCATCTGTCCATAACGTCCTTCTGCATCCCAGTGTCTCATCTTTTTAATGCATTTAAATTAACCATTTTTTCCTTACCCACATATCACCTGCCTTGCCTTTGCTTTATTTTGCCTCCTTTCTTCCTCCCTTTCATGCCTCACTTCCACTGCTCTTCCAACCTTGAAGCATGAACCCTTGTAGTCCACATCGTCTTAGCAAAAGCCTATCTTGTCTCCCTAAACCCTGCTTACCATGAAATGGGGACTGTGACTGACCTACTAAAGGACTGTCTGTTTATAAGCCCCAACTTCTCACCCAGACTGGGCTCCAAAAAATAGCATCTATAACTGATATTTTTAATAAATATTTATTCCTAGTATTCCGCTTACTGCTTCTGACCAACTATGAATTAGTAGTTTAGGTTAAATTTTACTTTTCTTAATGACAACCAAATGGCCCCAGATGGGTCTTAGGGTGGGGTTGACAGCTCTTGAAATAGTCTTTGGATTAAGAACAAAATGCTGTGTGAGAGTTTGGGCTTTGGGAATGCTGGGGTAGAAGTGGTTGGTGCACTTGAGTCTGTGCTGGTGTGCACTGCACGTGAATTTGGATGATTCACATCATCTCTTGGACTTGGGTTCCACATCTGTAGAGAAAGGTCAAGAGGAGAGTGCTCTAGGGACCTTCCTAGTTCTAAGTCTCTGCAGCTCTGGGCTCTGTCCCTAACCTCTGTGAGAAATACTTAAATAGGCTGCCTACTTGTGGCTCAATTAGCTGAACTATGGAATTGCAGATTGTTTGAGGTAGAAGGGGTCTGGGGTCCAGAGTGGGGATGAAGCTTGTCCAAGAAAGCTGGTTGGAGGGAGAGCCAGGGCTAAAACCCTCATCTCCTGCCTCCTGCAGTGCTTATTTCAGGCTGGTCTCCATTCCCCTCCCCCAATCTCCAGTTTCAAGTAAGGTAAAATCAGGCATACATATATGCATCTTTTCATATTTAAGTGACATTAAGTTAATTTGGTTTTGAAAAATTTCTAATACCATTGAAATAATCAGACACCCTGAGACCGTGCAAGAATTGGCACAATCATGATGGGAAGTAAAATTACTGGAAATTCCAGCCCAATTGGCCACTGATTCACTGTTGCATTAGAATATGTCACTATGGTGGGCTGCCTCTGTAAAAGGGACTCGTGGGGGCAGAATTGGTTACTTACCCAACAGAGTTAAACACCAGAGATCCACACTCTATCCTGGCCCAGGAGTTTCTCACACAGAATTATTAAGGACATTAGTAGAGTCCTAAAAATCAAGGGCTTTGATGCATCTTAATTCCCATGCATTGAAGACCCAGGAAGCAGCCTGAAAGCAACCAGGCAAGGCTACTATGTTGAGGACAATTGTGAATGGTATGAAGTACCATTCATGATGGTATGAAGTTCCAATCCTGGCTCTGTCCCGAAAGTGTTGTGGGACCTATCCCTCTTGTGTCACTATCCTCATTTGTGAAATGAGTGTCCCTGCAGCTCAGACATAGGATTCTAAGCAGAACTGTGAGCAGAATCACCCGGCCTTCCTCTCCTACTGGCCATTCATCACTATAGTAACCGCTGCTGCTGAAAATTGGGGTAAGGAACAAAGGAAAGGAGGGACAAATGGTGAGCAGGCACTTCAGTTTTGCAGGCTCCACAGGAGTTGTTTTTATACATATTATCACATTAATAGGCATGTCAGTGTATCTCACTTTGGGAGAAGGATTTTTATCCATAAGTGGTCACCTCAGATGCCTGGATATGAACGTCACTACCATTCAGCAGTTGCTCCCTTGACTGTCACCTCAGACCACAGGGAAGGGGCTGCCTTTGACTGGGACTCTTCTCAGGTGCTGGAGTCTTGCCCTTGCTTTTGCATGCTGTCCAACTGAGCCTTTCTGGAAGGTAAAAGAAGTGACCACGGATCTCTGTGCAGATGCTCTCCCCAGCCCTCTGCATCCTGCCACTTCCTCTCTGGATGATGGCTTCCTACTAGGCAGGGAGGTCCCAGGATTCTGGGGAGATACAGGAGCATGGTTTAGGACCCAGCTTGCAGGGCCCACCACTTGTTTTCTGTAGCTGTCTGGCCTTGTGGTGGAGGATGCATGGCTGAGAGGTCCACGGACTGACCTCCACCTGTTTGGCTCAGCTGGATGTCAGTTCTGCAGTGGGTTTTTACCTTCAACATCTTCAGTACCTATCACATTAGGTAAGGTGGGTAGTGCTGTAGCTAATTGAGGGTCAGGTCTAGGCTGGAAGGGAACTGAAATGCCATCTGCCCTTGCTAACTACCTTCAACCAGTAAGCCACATCTCCCAATAAACACCAAAGTGAACAATGCAGTAAGCTAACAGAGCCAGCCTTTGTTTATTTGCCTTCAGTGATCTCCAGTGGGCTAAGTCTCCTTAGGTAATTTGGCCTGAACCATTGGACTGAAGGTTAAGAGGTGACTTCAAGTTAGACACAGAATGGGCCAAGGTTGTGGGTAACCGAATGTGTATGTTTCTGAGAGAGTAGTCCCCAAACTAACCAGAAAATATTTTTAGGTTTTTTCTTGTTTGGAGTTTTTGCCTTATTATTTCTCCCTTCCTTTGTTACAGACAATCAGTAGCTAAAAAGTAAAAGGAGGCTTACGGGCATGGACGTTCTGTCTGGTTTTATGACCAAGCCCAGCTCTCTACTAGGAGTCTATTTGAGCTGATTCCACAGTAGTTAACTGAATGGAATGGATCAGACGGTTCTAAGGAATAGAGTAGAATTACCCAGAAAATCATCCTTTAGGTCACATTTCTCCTTTTGTGGGGTCAATGGGAGTTTCTGAGTGTCAGTGAAAGTCATTGTCTTTGAGACCCAACTCCATGAAGCCTTGGAGAGCACGGATCCCATTCCAGTAGGCCTGGATTCGATTCACCTTTTCCTTTCACCCTGCTTCAGAATTGAGCTCCGGGCCCTAGGCAAGATCTCAGAAGGAGAGGAGCTGACTGTGTCCTATATTGACTTCCTCAACGTTAGTGAAGAACGCAAGAGGCAGCTGAAGAAGCAGTACTACTTTGACTGCACATGTGAACACTGCCAGAAAAAACTGAAGGATGACCTCTTCCTGGGGGTGAAAGACAACCCCAAGGTACACACAGCCCTGCTGCTGAGGTGTTTGTGTCTGTCTTCTCCGGGAGCCAGTCACAGGTGGTTTCACAGCTAATCCGTGTGCCCTGCCCATGAGCTTCCTAGGGAGCAACTGTCACCCTGGGGAGGAGGCAGGGCATGAGAGCAGAGCACCGCAGGTAGGTCCCAGCTAGGTCCTGGCACTGCCACTTGCCAGGTGTTTGAGTTTGGGGAAGTCACCCAGTTTTCTCAACAGTAAAATAGGAATGATGGCCCCACTGCAAGAGGTTGTTATAAAGATTAAAGGAGATGACGTGTGTAAAAGGAGTGGCATACGGAGTAGACACTGGAAATTTTGGTTCCTCCTCTTACTCCTTTATGAGTTGAGTGATGTTGAGAATTTAAGGTGTTCAAATCAGATGGGCAAAGAGATTTATCATCTGGTTATCAAAAAGATATTCCTAGTCCCATGGGGATGGGCAGTGTGGAGACAGGGCTAGGTTTAGATTGGTCAACATCCTGAACTCCTGGGTAGCTGTTGCCAGTTGATGGTGAGTCTGTTGAGCAGCAGAGGAAGGCTTGCTGAGGGGAGGTCAGGAACCCAGCTGAGCTGGGAGAGAGAGCTGAGCCGCCAGGTGTCAGAGTAGCCAGTTAAAGCAACAGAGCAGAAATGAGAGTGAAGTATTTAATCACTTACTGCAATGGTGTAAGCAAGAAGCTAAAACCGAAGAAAGCACTGACTCCTCTTGTCCATTTCCTCCAGTGAAGCTGTGCTCAGGGGGAGGATGAGGGGGATCAGCACAGGCATGGAGGCGTCTCACATGACATTCTCTTTTATAAGGACGCTAGTCCTATTGGGTTAGGAGCCCACTCTACTCCAGTATGATCTCACCTTAACTAATTACATCTGCAATGACCCTATTGCCAAGTAAGATTTCATTTTGAGGTAGCTTCTGGGGCTAGACTTCAACATATGAATTTTGGGAGGATACAATTTAACCCCTAACACTGTGTGTGCTACCATTTATGAACATTAAAAGGCACACACACACACACACACATGCACACCCATGTGCATGCAAGCATACTCGGTTTCCATACAGACAGAAGTAGGAGGACCAGCGATGCCTGGGGTGAAGAGATTGACAGTCACCCCTCCCAGGCAGAGACAAAGCAGTTGGGGTCCAAGGATTTATGTTTTCTATAGGAACAACCTCTTTTCAGAGAATCAAAGGTGTGTATTCTAGGACATGTATATTGGATGCATGTGAGAGGCACTGAGCACTGCATCATGGGCGCTACAGAAAAGAATTTGTTATTGCACTCACCCTCACCCCGACCTTTCAGAACCTGCGGATAACATGTCTTATCTGTGAGCCAGTCAGCCTTCCCTCCTGGAGACTGGCCCTGAGTATTTGTTTCATAACTTGCTTCCACACTGCTTAATTTATTTATTTTTATTAAGAGGCCAGACCCTCTTTTCTCTATTCTAAAATAAAACAACCATGCGATCATTTCTTTAGATTTTTTGATGTTTACCTGGCAGTTTCAATAGTTCAGTAGGCTATGTGTGGCCTTTAGTTCCCATCCCTTCACTTTAGATATGCTGTTACCAGCTGGTGACAATACACACACATCTCCAGTATGAATTGCAGAGTTGGCATTTCTCTTGATATAAAAGATTGATGATTTCTGCTTGAACCTACCTGAATTCAAGGCAAAAGCTTTCTATTATATTTTATATCAAATTGAGTTTCTCTATCAAAACAACTCAAAAATAACTCACCTATACTAACTGAGCAGAAAAAAATTGAGTATATCTTTTTAAAAGCAAATGCTTCTTCAGGCATTAAAAAAAGGCCATCATAATGTAGTAGGAAGAATACTGGAAGAAGAATTATGAGGCCTGTGTACTAGTACTGGCTATGACTCTAAACATCTGAGCTTGGCCAAGTCTCTTCCTTCTGGGCCTCAGTTTCCTCATCTGTAAAATGGGGAGTTGGACTAACTTATTAACCATTTCCTCAAGCTGGACTATCTACAATGTCATCACAATCATTTCCTTTCTTTTCCCTATAATGCTGTACCCCACCCTGATAAGCCTCCATCAGTACACCAGCCTCAAACCTTCAATTGCCATCAAAATCTTTCCTAGCTCCTTAATATATGCGTATGTAAACCTATGTAGAAATAAAAACCAAATATTTTTAAAACGGGAAAATAATAGCAAAACTTATGACATTTTTCCTCAGTTGTGTCTCTGGACTGTCTTTGTTTAGGCTGCTTAGGTTTTCTTTTATAATCATTCTTTTTTAAATTTTATTTTATTTTTATTTATTTTTGAGACGAGGTTTCACTCTGTCACCCAGGCTGGAGTGCAGTGGTGTGATCTCAGCTCACTGCAGCCTCGACTTTCTGGGCTCCAGCGATTCTCCTGCCTTAGGCTCCTGAGTAGCTGGGACCATGGTGCATGTCACCGCTGCTGGCTAATTTTTGTATTATTTGTAGAGACGGGGTTTCACCATGTTGCCTAGGCTGGTCTCAAATTCCTGGCCTCAAGTGATCCGCCCGCCTCAGCCTCTTGAAGTGCCGGGATTACAGGCATGAGCCACAGTGCCTGGTGGGTTTTTCCCTTTCTCTCTCCAGCCTTTACCCATGGTTTTCAAATAGGAATGTGCCAGGTCGGGTGCGGTGGCTCACGCCTGTAATCCCAGAATTTCTGGAGGCCGAGGCAGGCAGATCACGAGGTCAGGAGTTCGATACCAGCCTGGACAATATGGTGAAACCCCATCTCTACTAAAAATACAAAAATTAGCCGGGCATGGCGGCCCATGCCTGTAATCCCAGCTACTCGGGAGGCTGAGGCAGAAGAATCACTTGAACCCAGAAGGTGGAGGTTGCAGTGAGCTGAGATCGTGCCACTGCATTCCAGCCTGGGCGACAGAGCGAGATTCCATCTCAAAAAAAAAAAGAAGAAGAAAAGAAAAAAATCAAAGAGAAATGTGCCAATTTTTCCAGGCTTGGGAACCAACATCCTTCTTACCCCTTCTCCTTCCTCTTTGGCTCCTTTTCCTCTGGCTTCTCCCCTTTCCTCTGGCTCCTCCCGCGTTCATCTGGCCCTTCCCCCTTTCATCTGGCCCTCCCCTTGTCCTCTGGCCCCTCCCCTTATCCTCTGGCCCCTTTCCTTATCCTCTGGCTCCTCCCCCTTTCCTATGGCTCCTCCCTTCTCCTCTGGCTCCTCCCCCAGCCCCTCAGATCCCCCACCTCCTGCTCCTTCTCCTATGCCTCTGGCTCCTCCCCCCCTCTTCCTCCTTGTTTTCTGTAGAATTTGATGCTCCTGGTGACAGCGGCCTTTCACAGCGGGGGTTCCTTAAATCCTGTCTGCAAATCAGAGTGTTCCTGCCTTTTCTCTGAAGAGTGGAGCCAAGTGGAACAGCCCCGTTTCCTTTCTCAGAGTAGATTTATCACATGTTGCACTTATTAATTAACAACCTTTCTGCCAGGTTGTTTTGGGGAATCTTGTAAGTTGCCTCTTTAAAAAAAATTGACTCACTTCCAGAGCTTCAAGTGACACTCCCTTACATCATCAAATTGAGCAAGACTTTGATGAACACTTAACCAGTTAGTATTCTCTTAATCTATCCTACAAGCTTCTGATTACTCCAGAAGATTCACTAAGAATTTTGAGATTTAAAGATAATAGAATTTACAGTAGATTAGATATTAGGGGTCATACACTATACATGATTTTGTGAGTCATTACTTGGGCAATAAGCTACGGCTATAACTAGAAATGTAGGTTTGACAGATTGATGGCACACCTCTGGTCCACCAGTCACAGAACTCTGCACAACCAGGCAAGACATGGGCTTAATTCCAATAGGCTTAGGAAAGCAGTCACACACTGAAATGACTTCTTTGGAACAAAGACATGATTTGAGTTCACAGAGGGCTGAACAGCATTCCGGGGCACAAGGCAGCAGCTGGTAGCAGGCAGGAGGGCAGCCAAAGCCAGAAATCTCAGCCAAATCAAAGGTCAAGGCAAAAGTTAAGCTAGGAGTGAGACCTGCAAGTAGAAGCTAGCGCACTGATGGGTGCATCCATTGTCAGAGTCAGGCCATGGAACAAATACAGGTAGACACATAGAATAACTAACTCCCGGGAGGCCCAGATACAGAAGGATATGGAAACAAGGATAGCCAAAATTATAGGGATAGCCAAGAGCTACACAAAAGCCAAAGTAGGTGAGGTGGGCAGAAGAACAAATATAGTACCCCTTTCCTTAGGAGAGCCTGACCCTGAAGCAAGGTGTCCTGGCCAGAGGACTCTCATACTGCGAGATGAAAACCCATGGCAGAACTGGTCCAGGACAGCTGGAAGAAGGAGGGAAGATGGTCTACAGAGGGGGATACATTTTCATTGGAACAAAAGCCCATTCTCTTGTTACTTTTTGGTAGTTTACTGAGGGTGGCTTCACAAAACAATGTAAACCGCAAATCGAAAGGAAGCTGTTGAGTCTAACTCTTCAGAGTGAAAAAATTGGACAACCAGAGAACTGGTTAAATAAGTTATCCTAGCTTCATATAGCGGAAAACTTTACATTTATTAAAATGATGATATAGATAGTTTTATATTGATATGGGAAAATGTCTACAATATACTGAGTGAAAAAATGCTATAGACAGATATATGGTATAATTCCAGTTAGAAAAAATAGTCAATCCTATAGGCACATACACACACATATGCATGTGTGTGCACACGTAGGACTGAAATTCAGCCAGTGCTTACTGGTAAAGTCATTTAGACATATCCATTGTTTAATTTAATTTAATCTAATAATTTAATTTAATTTTCTTTTGAGACAGGGTCTCACTCTGTCACTCAGGCTGTAGTGCAGTGGTGTGATCTCGGCTCACTGCAACCTCCGCTTCCCAGGTTCAAGTGATTCTTGTGCCTCAGCCTCCCTAGTAGCTAGGACTACAGACGTGTGCCACTATACCTGGCTAATTTTTGTATTTGTAGTAGAGCTTGGATTTCACCCTATTGTCCAGGTTGGTATCAAACTCCTGACCTCAGGTAATCTGCCCGCCTGGGCCTCCCAAAGTGCTGGGATTACAGGCGTGAGCCATCGTGCTGGGCTGACATACCCATTGTTGATGGTCCCTGTCTGTGCTTTGATTGGTCAGTGCTTTTTCTGTATCAGTCATTAAGTATTTTAAATATTATTTCTGTATGCATGCATAGGAAAATGTTCCCCCAGATACTAACTGTAGTCATTAGGTGGGTTCTAGGGATTTCTTTTTTTTTTAACCATACTTTTTAATATTGTTTTAATTTTCACAACTTGCATATGTCAATTTTACAGTCAGAATAAATAATAAAGTTATTTTCATTTTGGAAGAAAGTTATAAAAGATTTGCTTAAGCAAAAAAAAAATGTTTCAGAAAAGGACTTCTGATAGGAATAAGCATAGCATGTAAACTTCTTGTTTGGACTTTGAGAAATTTGGCTCTTTTTCTTCAAAATTATTATGTCCCTGTGGGAACTGCCTTCTTAATTTTGGCACTTCCTTGCCTCAAATATCAAAACCTTGTTTTGTTTTGTTTTTTTTGGTAAGATCACTAGGCTGCTTAGGCAAATGTAATAATCCTAATGAGTCTAGATTTCACAGGAACAGCTGACAGATATTCTCCTGTTATCCTTTTGGTCAAGACAAGGAAATACAGGCTGGATGCTAAGACATTTGGAAGAGTTTGAATAATTATAATCACAAGGAGCCTCCTTAATGAACTCGAAGACAAATTGGAGTATGATTTTTGGGTCAAGTCCCTGGGCTCTGTCTTCAGCCCTGTGCTGGCTGGTATTTAAATCAATGACTTGGATGAAAACAAAAATGTAAGGATGTACCTGTGGAATATGTGGTTGACTTGAAACAAAGAGGGAGAGCAGCAAATATTTTGGGTGATAGAATCCAAAATGCCAGAGAAAACACAATAGGGATCAATGTCAGGTTCTGCCCTGGGGTTCAAAGGGCCAGGAATTTGCACAGGCTGGGATGATTGGCTGACAGCAAGGGTCTGGGACTTGGCTTAATAGAAAACACAAGTCAGAAATATGATGAGGGAACTGGAATAGCTACAGGATCTTGGGTAGCATTTACAGGAATGAGGCATTCAGAATGAGGAAGACATTAACCTTGTGCTACATTGAATGTCAAAGATGGCAACTATTCAAAGGTGGAATGGGTTGCCTCATGAAGGCATCTCTAGCTCAATGTGTCTCTCTTTCCCAGCCCTCTCAGGAAGTGGTGAAGGAGATGATACAATTCTCCAAGGATACATTGGAAAAGATAGACAAGGCTCGTTCCGAGGGTTTGTATCATGAGGTAAGAATTCACTTGTTATAGAGGATGGGGGTAGAAAGGAGGGTGGAAACATTCTCCAGTAAGGGAGGGAAGTGGCGTGAGAACGGGCGGCGGGGGAGGGGGGCTACCAAGCAGGTTATTTTTCTAGAAGATGTCCCTTGGTTGAGATCATGACTCTTCTTGTCCGTAAATCTTTAGCATCTCTTAGGGGTGCGTTCTCAGTGACTGTTTAACCCAATGAAACTGGGTCTGAGGGGAGCAAATGCAGCCAGACACTTGTCCCTGGGGGATCTGTGATAGCTAAACCTGGTATCGGAGATGGGGGAATGCAAATGCCAGTGGACATACTGGGAGTGAGTTGCTTGTTTTCCCATAATTGAATGCATGTGCCAGCTACAGTTTTCAGTCTCTCCCAAATGAGCATTCAACCTTGGCTCTTGAAGCACCAGGGATTCTCAGCTGGCTCTACACTAGAATCACCTTTGAAAAATTTTGATGCTCAGGCCCCCACTCAGGACAATTTCACCAGAATCTCTGGCCATGGGACCCTGATATCAAGATTTTTAAAGCTCTTGGGTGATTTCAATGTGTAACCAAAGCCGAGACCCACTGCCAAACACTGGCCTGCGGGGTATTTGCATTGAATTAACCTGGGCAGCTTATTGGAAATACTGATTTCCATTCTCATACTCTAAGATGTGACTCATTCAATCTGCAACAGAAAACAGGGACCATGAATTAGTATTTTGTTCCTCAAGCTCGCTAAGCAACTCGAATGTTAATGTCACTAGGGCATGCAGATTTGGGAGATTAATTTCTATTCATTTCTATTTCTATTTCTTTTTTTTTTTTTTTGAGATGGAGTCTCGCTCTGTCACCCAGGCTGGAGTGCAGTGGCACGATTTCGGCTCACTGCAAGCTCTGCCTCCCAGGTTCACGCCATTCTCCTGCCTCAGCCTCCCAAGTAGCTGGGACTACAGGTGCCCGCCACCACGCCTGGCTAATTTTTTGTACTTTCAGTAGAGAAGGGGTTTCACCATGTTAGCCAGGATGGTCTCGATTTCCCAACATCATGATCTGCCCGCCTTGGCCTCCCAAAGTGCTGGGATTACAGGCGTGAGCCACTGCGCCTGGCCTCATTTCTATTTCTATTTCCCTTCTCCTCTTCCTCCTTCTTTACTAACTCATTTATTGCACATTTCTAAACCCTTACTGGGGTGGCCAACACAAGACACTCTCCTTGCCTGGAAGGAGTTCTGTCAGGTGGGTAGACAGTCACACACACAAAGTGTTATTGTACAACATGGAAAATCTGTCAGAGGCACGAGGTGGGAGCTGGAGTGAGCAGGAGGGCCCCACTGGCTCCATTGCCCTGGGTTCTCTCCTGTTCGTTTCTTCTCCTTCTCCATTCAGACTTGGCAGGGCTAGGTGTGGCTCTGGACACTGCCTCCATAGGTTTAAGAGGATTGTTTTCAGGATGAATTGATTGCCACCATCATTTTTCCACTCCCCGCCACCTCGGGGTGGCCCCCACCACCTCGGGTTGCCTCATGAACTCTGGGAAAGTCTCAGAGCAAAATTAGTTCTCACTGATTTCAAATGGAATTGTATGACATTTCTCCCATGAGAGCAGCAAAGGAAGGAGAGGAGAACAACAAACACCTAAAATCTAGAGACCACTAGACTTTGTAGGGTAGGGCCTAATCCTATGTCTGTACAAGAGTCAGTCAGAAAAGCCTGACTCCAGGACGATTGCGGTCAGGTCCATCTTTTTCCTCACCAGGGCCAAGGCTGCATCCTTCTGGGGATGTTTCCCAGCTTCCTGGGAGCCTCCTTCTCTGCTCATCCATCTTGAACACTTCAGTAGGACATAATTATTCAAACTCACTGAGCCTCAGAACCACCCAGGGGCTTATACAAACTACACATCCAGGGTTTCTCTCCCAGATATTTGGTTTCAATTGGTCTGGGGTAGGACTTGAACTTCAGTGTTTTAAAAAAGCTTTCAGATGTTTCCAAAGCACAGTGAGTGGAGAATCACAGGAATGGTGGTGAAGCTGCGGCTCAACTGCTTGGTTTCAGTGCTTGATCCATTGCTCACCATCTGTGTGACTTTGGCAAAGTATTTACCCTCTCTGTGCTTCAGTTTTCTCATCTCGTAAAATGGGATTATTAGTAGTACTCATCTCAATGTGTTCTTATAAGATATATAAATATATTTGTATATGTATATATGCGCATGCATATATACACACACACACACACACACATATCGATATCTTTAGAGAATTGGTTCTAGGACTGCCACAGATACTAAAATCTTCAGATGCTCAAGTACCTTGTAAAAATAGTGTATTTTTGCGTACAACCTATGCACATCCTTCCATATACTTTAAAGCATCTCTGGATTACTTATAACACCTAATACTATGTAAATGCTGTGTAAATAGCTGTTATGCTGTATTGATGTGTTTGTATTGTTTTTTGCTGTTGTATGATTCTTTCTTTCTTTTAAAATATTTTTGGCCAGGTATGGTGGGGCTCATGCCTGTAATCCTAGCACTTTGGGAGGCTGAGGTGGGCGGATTGCCTGAGCTCAGGAGTTGGAGACCAGCCTGGGCAACATGGAGAAACCCTGTCTCTACTAAAAATACAAAAATTATTTGGGCGTGGTGGTGTGCACCTGTAATCCCAGCTACTCAGGAGACTGAGGCAGGAGAATCGCTTGAAGCTAAGACGGGGAGGTTGCAGTGAGCTGAGACTGAGCCACTGCACTTCAGCCTGGGCAATGGAGTGAGACTCTTGTCTCGAAATATATATATATATTTGACCTGCAGTGGGTTGAATCCATGGATGTGGAACTTGTGCATATACAGATCTGACTGTACATATATGTGTGTGTTTGTGTGTGTGTGTATGTATAGCTTTCATAGCTTCCTGCTACCTATTGATTTTGGAAACTCCTCGCTGTGCTGCATCTGCCATGTCTCACACCATTACCCTTCCCATTCTTACACCTTAGCCAACAGGACCACTTTGCAATTCATACCCCAAACCTGTGCTTTCCCACCTCTGTCAGCAATTGCCCCAGTCTTAAAAAGAATGATTGTCTGGTATCACCATGATGGTCGCGTATGTGAATTAAACGTGTGCTCTGGTGCAATGGTAATGGGCAGGGCCTCTGTCTCACTCTAGGTTGTGAAATTATGCCGGGAGTGCCTGGAGAAGCAGGAGCCAGTGTTTGCTGACACCAACATCTACATGCTGCGGATGCTGAGCATTGTTTCGGAGGTCCTTTCCTACCTCCAGGCCTTTGAGGAGGCCTCGTTCTATGCCAGGAGGATGGTGGACGGCTATATGTAGGTGACGATTCTAGGTCTCAGATAGTCTCCTGGAAGTGTGTGTATTCCAGGGATGGCAAATAGATGGCACATTTACTGGTGCCTCTCCCTCCTATACCCACAGCAGGCGTCAGTAATCCATCATGGTTCTCTTTTTGACTGAGTCTTTTTATCATGGTGCTCCAGTGTTAATGACCAATCAGAGTTTGTGCTTGAGATGAAACCTATTTGTCATCCCTGGTCTTTCCCAAATTCTCCAGCACATCTATCACTTGGGTGGCATCTTCTGCTTTTGACTTCCTTCAGGCTAACCCCAGCTTGATTTTAAGTGATTGGACCCTGCCCTCCACCCTGTAATCAACACAGGCAAGTCTAGGAGCTTTTATTTATTTATTTATTTATTTTTAAAAGAGCCATCAATCACTTTGCTTAAAAATTGTAAAATTCTGGCCAGGCGCGGTGGCTCACGCCTGTAATCCCAGCATTTTGGGAGGCCGAGGCGGGAGGATCACGAGGTGGGGAGATAGAGACCATCCCGGCTAACATGGTGAAACCCCGTCTCTATTAAAAAATACAAAAAATTAGTCAGGCATGGTGGAGGGCACCTGTAGTCCCAGCTACTTGGGAGGCTGAGGCAGGAGAATGGCGTGAACCTGGGAGGCGGAGCTTGCAGTGAGCCTAGACTGCGCCACTGCACTCCAGCCTGGGCGACAGAGCAAGACTGTCTCAAAAAAAAAAAATTGTAAAATTCAATTCCCTTGCCTTCCATCTGCCAATACCCTCTCTTGCTTTCTGTGTTTATGTTGTCATGCAAATTTGTGTTTCTGGCCAAATAAGTTGACACACGTTCATTTCTTTGAGAGGATGTTAGTCATAAACAAAATGTAGATAAACTGTACAACATGCTAAGGAAGCCCTGCAAAAGGGTGCCAACCAGGTGAAAATACAATGCTGTCTCAAAAAGGACATTTAAATTATTTTTTTCTCCCTTGACCTTCCTACCACTTTTTGGGGAGACGTCTGAGGTACTCCCAAATGCTGTGAGCTTCCTGTGCTCAAGCTCAGATAATATGGAGTCTACAGAGGCAGGGAGGCCTCCTTGAGCTGCAGTGGGCTCCTCCCAGTTCGAGCTTCCCAGCGGCTTTGTTTACCTACTCAAGCCTCAGCAATGGCGGGCGCCCCTCCCCCAGCCTCGCTGCCGCCTTGCAGTTTGATCTCAGACTGCTGTGCTAGCAATGAGCGAGGCTCCATGGGTGTAGGACCCTCCGAGCGAGGCGTGGGATATAATCTCCTGGGGTACCATTTGCTAAGACCATTGGAAAAGCGCAGTATTAGGGTGGGAGTGACCCAATTTTCCAGGTGCTGTCTGTCACCCCTTTCCTTGGTTTGGAAAGGGAATTCCCTGACCCCTTGCACTTCCCAGGTGAGGTCATGCCTTGCCCTGCTTCGGCTTACACTCGGTGCGCTGCACCCACTGTCCTGCACCCACTGTCCGACAATCCCCAGTGAGATTAACCTGGTACCTCAGTTGAAAATGCAGAAATCATTCGTCTTCTGCGTCGCTGACGCTGGGAGCTGTAGACTGGAGCTGTTCCTATTCGGCCATCTTGGCTAGAGTCCCCAAGCTCAGAAAGTATGATCCTGGTCCCTTTTTCTCACAAGGAGTTGGCTGGGCAGCCCAGGCCGGAGTTTCAGCTGTCACAGCCTCACTGTGTAGAATGTTTGGCAACTTGTTCCATATCTCTGTGCCTCAGTTCCCCCTTGGCGGCTACAGAAGCCTTGCAGTGCTGAGGGGAAGACAGATGGGCTTAATCAACAAGGGCACTTTATACATTATTAAATTAAGTGCAGATATAAGGGTGATTGGTATGATGTATAATTATCTGCTATGCTCCCACAGGAAGCTCTACCACCCCAACAATGCCCAACTGGGCATGGCCGTGATGCGGGCAGGGCTGACCAACTGGCATGCTGGTAACATTGAGGTGGGGCACGGGATGATCTGCAAAGCCTATGCCATTCTCCTGGTGACACACGGACCCTCCCACCCCATCACTAAGGACTTAGAGGCAAGTAGCGTCTTGAGGCTGGTGTTCCCTTCCTGGCCTGAGCTTTCTGAGGATGGGAGTGTGAGTTCAGGTGGACTCTGCTTTAGAAAAGTCCACATACTCCCAGCTAGACAAAAGGGAACTCAGAAACGCTTTAGCCCACTACCCTTGTGTGTTAGACTGTTCATGTTACCCTAAATGAATACCTGAGACTGGGTAATTTATAAAGAAAAGAGGCTTATGTTGGTTCATGGTTCTGCAGACTGTATAGGAAGTGTGGTGCTGGCATCTGCTTCTGGTGAGGGCCTCAGGAAGCTTCTAATCATGCCAGGAGGGAAAGGGAGCCAGTGTGTCACCTGATGAAAGAGGGAGCAAGAGAGAGAGGCAGAGGTGCCAGGCTTTTTTCAACAAGCAGATCTGGTGTGAACTCAGAGCGACAACTCACTCCTACCAAGTGGGTGGCACTAAGCAATTCACGAGGGATCTGCTCCCATGACTCAAGCACGTCTACCAGGCCCCACCTCCAACACTGGGGATCACATTTCAATGTGAGATTTGGAAGGGACAGATATCCAAACCATATCACCTTGCTTCACACATGAGGAAACTGAGGCCCAGGGAAGGAG